>NC_000016.10:70926136-71229166 GCF_000001405.40 Homo sapiens | reverse complement strand
CCCCCACCCCACAACAGGCCCCGGTGTGTGATGTTCCCCTTCCTGTGTCCAAGTGTTCTCATTGTTCGTTGCCCACCTATGAGTGAGAACATGCGGTGTTTGGTTTTTTGTCCTTGTGATAGTTTGCTGAGAATGATGGTTTCCAGCTTCATCCATGTCCCTACAAAGGACATGAACTCATCCTTTTTTATGGCTGCATAGTATTCCATGGTATATATGTGCCACATTTTCTTAACTCAGTCTATCGTTGATGGACATTTGGGTTGGTTCCAAGTCTTTGCTATTGTGAATAGTGCCGCAATAAACATATGTGTGCATGTGTCTTTATAGCAGCATGATTTATAATCCTTTGGGCATATACCCAGTAATGGGATGGCTGGATCAAATGGTATTTCTAATTCTAGATCCTTGGGGAATTGCCACACTGTCTTCCACAATGGTTGAACTAGTTTACAGTCCCACCAACAGTGTAAAAGTGTTCCTATTTCTCCACGTCCTCTCCAGCACCTGTTGTTTTCCTGACTTTTTAATCGCCATTCTAACTGGTGTGAGATGGTATCTTATTGTGGTTTTGATTTGCATTTCTCTGATGGCCAGTGATGATGAGCATTTTTTCATGTGTCTGTTGGCTGCATAAATGTCTTCTTTTGAGAAGTGTCTGTTCATATCCTTTGCCCACTTTTTGATGGGTTTGTTTTTTTCTTGTAAATTTGATTGAGTTCTTTGTAGATTCTGGATATTAGCCCTTTGTGAGATGAGTAGATTGCAAAAATTTTCTCCCATTCTGTAGGTTGCCTGTTCACTCTGATGGTAGTTTCTTTTGCTGTGCAGAAGCTCTTTAGTTTAATTAGATCCCATTTGTCAATTCTGGCTTTTGTTGCCATTGCTTTTGGTGTTTTAGACATGAAGTCCTTGCCCATGCCTATGTCCTGAATGGTATTGCCTAGGTTTTCTTCTAGGGTTTTTATGGTTTTAGGTCTAACATGTAAGTCTTTAATCCATCTTGAATTAATTTTTGTATAAGGTGTAAGGAAGGGATCCAGTTTCAGCTTTCTACATATGGCTAGCCAGTTTTCCTAGCACCATTTATTAAATAGGGAATCCTTTCCCCATTTCTTGTTTTTGTCAGGTTTGTCAAAGATGAGATGGTTGTAGATGTGTGGTATTATTTCTGAGGGCTCCGTTCTGTTCCATTGGTCTATATCTCTGTTTTGGTACCAGTGCCATGCTGTTTTGGTTACTGTAGCCTTGTAGTATAGTTTGAAGTCAGGTAGCGTGATGCCTCTGGCTTTGTTCTTTTGGCTTAGGATTGTCTTGGCAATGCAGGCTCTTTTTTGGTTCCATATGAACTTTAAAGTAGTTTTTTCCAATTCTGTGAATAAAGTCATTGGTAGCTTGATGGGGATGGCACTGAATCTATAAATTACCTTGGGCAGTATGGCCATTTTCACGATATTGATTATTCCTATCCATGAGCATGGAATGTTCTTCCATTTGTGTCCTCTTTTATTTCGTTGAGCAGTGGTTTGTACTTCTCCTTGAAGAGTTCCTTCACATCCCTTGTAAGGTGGATTCCTAGGTATTTTATTCTCTTTGAAGCAATTGTGAATGGGAGTTCACTCATGATTTGGCTCTCTGTTTGTCTGTTATTGGTGTATAAGAATGCTTGTGATTTTTGCACATTGATTTTGTATCCTGAGATTTTGCTGAAGTTGCTTATCAGCTTAAGGAGATTTTGGCCTGAGAAGATGGGGTTTCCTAGATATACAATCATGTCATCTGCAAACAGGGACAATTTGACTTCCTCTTTTTCTAGTTGAATACACTTTATTCTTATAGCTGTGTAGTGGTATCTCATTCTGCTTTTAATTTGCATTTCCTGGTGATTAATGATGTTGAATAACATGCTTACTTGTTATTATATCTTTGGTGAAGAAGTTTGGTGAACTTGGTGAAGTTTCTGTTTGTATCTTTTGCCCATATCATTCATATATATATATATACACACACACACACACATACACATATATATATACATATATATATGACAAAAGTCAGATATTTAATTTGCGAATAATTTCTCCCAGTATGTGACACATCTTTCCTTTTTAAAACATTTTGTTACTGAAATGCCAGGGGTTTGATCTAGATCTCATTGTTTACAGCACAGAAAGCCAATCACTGGAACAAAGAGTACTGCCAGGGAAGAAGGCTTTATTTGGGTGCTGCAGCTGTGGAGATGGGAGATAGTCTCAAATTGTCTCACTAACTGACTAAAATTGGAGATTTAAATACCAGGGAAAGAATGTAGAAAACAGGAATTAGGGAGGAGTAAGGAAGAGGAATCTGGTCTCTCACTGTCTGGATGCGGTGATCTGGTGAGTTTCAGTTCCTTTATACTCTCTGGGAGGCCCGAGCGTCAGTTTTCTAAGAAAGGAACTCAGATAAGATAAATATAAGTTTCAGGCTTAAGACCAAGAGGGCCAATTTCTGTTTATTTAAAAAGACCATAAACATCAGTTCTGTGAGGAAATTGGGCTGGTTTCAATTTTCTTCATAATGTCTTTGAAGTCAAAAGTTTTGATGAAGTCTAATCTTACTAATTTTTTCTTTTATGTTTTGTGTGATATCTAAAAACCTTTGGCCTAACACAAGGTAACAAGATTTTCCTCAATGTTTCTTTCTCAGACTTTCATAGCTTTGGGTTTCACATGTAGGTCTTTGATGAGTTTTGAGTTAATTTTTATGTATGACGTCAGGCAAGAGTTGAGGTGTTTTTTTTTCATAAGGCTGAATGTTCCAACCCCATTTGTTAAAGAGACTCTCCTCCCTCCACTTACCTTGGCACCTTTGTCAAAAATCAGTTGACCATGTATGTGTGAATACATGTTTCTGATTTATCAATGTAACAGAATATTCCAGAAAAATATGAATAATTTTTGTTTCTCAAATGAACTACCAGTCATTTTAACAGCATAAAATCGATTTCTTGATAACTTTACAGTGAATTTTGAAATCTGGTAGTTTGAGTCCTTCTACTTTGTTCTTATTTTTCAAAATTGAATTGGCAACATTGGTTCCTTTACCTTTCCATACAAACTTTAGAATTAAAGGTTAACATCTCCAAAAATATCTGCTGGCATTTTGATTAGATTTCATTGGAGTATAGATTAATTTGGGGAGAATTGGCATCTTAGCAATACTGAATCTTCCAATTTATGAACATGGTATACCTCCTTTGATTTAGTCCTCTTTAATTTCTCTCAATGATGTTTTATAATTTTTAACATGCAACTTTTGCACATGTTTTGTTAGCTCTGTTTTTATTTTCTGTTTTTTGATGCTATTGTATATGATACTGTTTTAAAATTTTCAGTTTCCAGTTGTTCATTCCTTGTTTCATACCCAATCAAATGTTAAACCTCATTCAAATGTCTTGGTGGGGAGAACTGTGTTGTGTTTGTTGCAAGCCCCTCCTCCTTCTTTCTGAACCTCAAGTTCTAAGCACCAAGAGACTTTAGCAGATTTCACTCTGTGTTTCATCCCACAATACCTATGGCCAGAATCACCCCCAAAATGATGGCAGGAGATTCCCCACAAGGGAGTGCCCCAAACTGTCCAGAGATAGGGCCGGTTGGGATTCCAAAAAAAGAAGGAAAGACTAAATGCCAGAGTGGTCAATCCAAAGCATTTATTGGGGAAACTTACAGAGTGCTGCAGCAGTCCTCAAAATGAACAGTAAGAGAAAACAGGTGTTCTACCTAGGTATGACTGCAGTGAGGGGGTCAGGGTATGAGAGTTTAAGGAATTTGGCTCAGGGCCAGGGCTAGTTTCTTTTTCAGTGTTGTGGGCAGCAACCTAGATACCTTTATCAGTGCCTAGGAATGTTCCAGGCCCAGGTTTGGGTTCAAGTCTGCTACGAAAAACCTGCAACTGGATAGATCACAGAGCAGTCAGGACACAGAAAGAAAGTAGTGGGGAACGGAGAACCCTACACTCTTTCTCATTCAACTTCAGAGCTCTCATGCTGTTCCACTTCTCAGAAAATCACCCATAGGGGAATCTGGCCCTCGCTTTTTAGGTTCCTGTTCGTCTTGCCAGATTTTACAACCATCACCTATTCTGTTGGTGCCTCCTCTTACCTTAAGAATCCTCTGCCTGAGCCAAGCTGGATTGTCTCCCTGTGCCTAGAATTAGCAAATGTCCCCAGAGAAAAACATGACCAGTAACTTCAACTCATTGATGAGAGGCCATTTCCCTTCTGAAATTTTAGTTCTTCTAGTCCATTGTTAAAAGAAAAACCTTAGGCCGGGCGCGGTGGCTCACGCCTGTAATCCCAGCACTTTGGGAGGCCGAGGCGGGCGGATCACGAGGTCAGGAGATCGAGACCATCCCGGCTAAAACGGTGAAACCCCGTCTCTACTAAAAATACAAAAAATTAGCCGGGCGTAGTGGCGGGCGCCTGTAGTCCCAGCTACTTGGGAGGCTGAGGCAGGAGAATGGCGTGAACCCGGGAGGCGGAGCTTGCAGTGAGCCGAGATCCCGCCACTGCACTCCAGCCTGGGCGACAGAGCGAGACTCCGTCTCAAAAAAAAAAAAAAAAAAAAGAAAAACCTTAGCCAAATTAAATTTAACAGAGTTTAATTTAATTAAAGAATGATTCATCAATCATTTCAGAGCAAAGAACAATTTGCAAATTGAGCAGCCTCTTTTTAAATAATTTTATATTTCAATCATTTTTGAGGTACAAGTGGTTTTTCGTTACATGGATGAGTTCTTTAGTGGTGAATTCTGAGATTTCAGTGTACCTGTCACCTGAGCAGTGTACACTATGCCCAATATGTAGTCTTTTATCCCTTACCCTACTTCTGACTTCCCCAAATGAGTTCCCAAATTTCATCACTCTGTATGTCTTTGCATCTCATAGCTTAGCTCCCACTTATAAGGGAGAACGTATGGTATTTGGTTTTTCACTCCTGGGTTACTTCACTTAGAATAATGGCCTCCAGCTGCATCCAAGTTGCTGCAAAAGACATTATTTTGTCACTCCTTATGGTTGAGTAGTATTCCATGGTATACACATTTTACATTTTCTTTATCCACTTGTTGATCAATGGGCACTTAGGTTGGTTCCATATCTTTGCAATTGCAAATTGTGTTGCTGTAAACATGCATGTGAATGTGTCTTTTTCATATAATGACTTCTTTTCCTTTGGGTAGATACCCAGTAGTGGGATTGCTGGATGAAATGGTAGATCTACTTTTAGTGGTTGTACTAATTTGCATTCCCACCAATAGTGTAGAAGTATTCCCTTTTCACCACATCCCAACCAACATCTATTGTTTTTTGACTTTTTAATTATGGCCATTCTTGCAAGAGTAAGGTGGTATCTCATTGTGGTTTTAATTTGCATTTCCCTGACAACTACTGATGAGCATTTTTTCATATTTGTTGGCTGTTTGTATATTTTCTTTTGAGAAATGTCTCTTCATGTTTTAGCTCACTTTTTGAAGGGATTATTTGTTTTTTTTTTTTTCTTGCTGATTTGTTTGAGCTCCTTGTAGATTCCGGATGCTAGTCCTTTGTTGGATGCATAGCTTGCAAATACTTTCTCCCACCCTGTGGGTTGTCTGTTTACTCTTCTTATTATTTCTTTTGCTTTGCAGAAGCTTTTTAGTTTAATTAGGACCCATTTATTTGTTTTTGTTTTTGTCACATTTGCGTTTAGGGTCTTAGTCCTGAATTTCTGCCTAAGCCAATGCCAGAAGAAGAGTTTTTCCAATGTTATCTTCTAGGATTTTTATGGTTTCATGTCTTAGATTTAAGTCTTTGATCCATTGGGAGTTAATGTTTTTTATAAGGTAAGAAATGGGGACCCAGTTTCATTCTTCTACATGTGGCTTGCCAGTTTTCCCAGCACCATTATTGCATAGGGTGTCCTTTCTCCAATTTATGTCTTTATATGCTTTGTCAAATATCAGTTGGCTGTAATTATTTGGCTTTATTTTTGGGTACTCTGTTCTGTTCTATTGGTCTATGTGCCCATTTTTATACCAGTACCATGCTGTTTTGGTAACTATAACCTTGTAGTATAATTTGAAGTATTGTAATGTGATGCCTCTAGATTTGTTCTTTTTGCTTAGTATTGCTTTAGCTTTGTGAGCTCTTTTTTGGTTCCATGTGAATTTTAGAATTGTTTGTTGTAGTTCTGTGAAGAATGATGTTGGTATTTTGATGGGAATCGCTTTGGGTAGTATGGTCATTTTCACAATGTTGATTCTTCCCATTCGTGAGCATAGGATGTGTATCCATTTGTTTGTGTCATCTATTATTTATTTCAGCAGTGCTTTTTAGTTTTCCGCGTAGAGGTCTTTCCCCTACTTGGTTAAGTATATTCATATGTATTTTATTTTATTTTATTTTTTTGCAGCTGTTGTAAAAGAGATTGAGCTCTTGATTTGATTCTCAGCATGGTTGTTGTTGGTGTAGAGCAGTGCTACTGATTTGTGTACATTAATTTTGTAACCTCAGACTTTACTGAATTCGTTCATCAGATCTAGGAGCCTTTTGGATGAGTCTTTAGGGTTTCCTAGGTATATAATCATATAACTGGCAAACAGTGACAGTTTGACTTCTTTTCCAATTTGGATGCCCTTTATTTTTTTCTCTTGCTGGTTGCTCTGGCTAGGACTTCCAGTATTATGTCAAATAAAAGTGGTGAAAGTGGGCATCCTTGTCTTGTTCTAGTTCTCACAGGGAAGGCTTTCAACTTTTCTGCATTCAGTATGATGTTGGCTGTGGGTTTGTCGTATATGGCTTTTATTATTTTGAGGTAAGTCCCTTCTATGCTTATTTTGTTGAGGGTTTTTACCATAAAGGGGTGCTGGATTTTTTCAAATGCTTTTTCTTCATCTACTGAGATAATCTATGGTTTTTGTTTTTAATTTTGTTTATGTGATATATCACATTTATTGACTTGTGTATATTAAACCATCCCTGCATTCCTGGGATGAAACCCACTTGATCATGATGTGTTATCCTTTTGGTGTGCTGTGGGCAGCCTCTTGAGCCAGAGTAGGCTCAGAAAGACTCCAGTGGAGCCATGTGGTAGAAGATGATTTGTGGATTGAAAAAAGAAAGTGATGTACAGAAAATAGAAATGAGGTACAAAAATAGCCAGATTAGTTACAGCTCATTGCTTGCCTTATTTGAACACGGTTTGAAAAGTTGGCCACCTTTGGCCAAAACTCAGTGATTGGCACAAGAGTAGGCTATGGTCTGTTTACAGCTTCATTTAGGTTATAGTTCACAATGTACAGAGAAACCTTTAGGCCAAACTTAAAATATGTAAGGAGGCAGCTTTAGGCTAAACTTGATTTAACACTATATTTCTTCTATACCTCTCTAATGTCTTAAAGTATATGCTTTTTGTAATTTATCTATTTTATTTTCTAATTGTTGAAGTAGATGCTATCAAATACATTCTTCTTAGAATTAGATATTCTATTCATTGAGTTTTAATTTTTATTATTTTAATTTTCATTTCTTGAATTTCTTTTCCTACAGGATGTTTTTGCTGGTTCTTGTTCAGGGTGCTTTTCCCACTCTCTTAGTATGCTTGTTTATTTTGACCAAGAGCTGCTTATTGTCCTTGGAAAATTATTTATGGGAAGTGTTTGATGACTAAAATGAAGGAGGACCTCAGAGAGGTCCTCAGAGAAGGAGGTTCATCAGAGAGGGTTTGCATTTGCCTCTGTTAGGTACCTCAGGGAACTACCTGTCCAGGCTTATTTTAAAGTAAAAATCATACTTTGAGGCTTTTGGAGCTCACAGGTGATATGAATTTGGGCTGTACATCTCTAAGAGAGTTGGCTGTGATTCTAACCTTTCAGGGTTTTTTTTTTTTTCTTTATACCTTTCTCTCTGTTAGGTGCCAAGGAATCGTCCCCTGCATTCAGCTGGGAATGGTGGGATAGGAAGGCTTTATTTTTGACCCAAACGTTGAAAGTGTACACCTTTGGAGTGGAGTCAACTATCAGTCTCCCCACCTTTGATGGGTCCTGGGTGTTGACCTTTCCTGGAAGCCCTACCAGGCAGCCACAAGCAGAGCTCAGGGTGTCCTTGTCTGGAGGATTATCTCCTACCAAATTTGTTTCAGTGCTCCACTTACCTTTCTTGGTCCCTGTTTTCAGTTAGATGTTGGCTAGATAATTCCTTATGGTCTTGTTAGCTTTTTGATGCTTTTGAGAAGCTGAAAAAATATTTTAGCCAGCATTTTTAGTTGTTTTCAGCAGGAGAGTTGGTTCAAACAAACCAGCATAACCTATATTAGAAAACAATGTATTACTTTGTAGTCTTAATTTTTAGCACAGTCATTTACATACTCCTTGTAAAAAATTAAATACCTTAGAAATGTAAACATGAAAGGCTTCTCATTACTCCACTCTCTCTCCTAGTCTGGTTCCCCAGAGGTAACTATTCTTAATAATTTTTGTATTGAATCATTTATTGAGAGCATCAGAGTAAATCTTTCGTGAAACCTGGATGTATTCGCTGTATACATGTGTGACAAAGATGGAAAAATTCAGGTTTAGCAAATGCCAGCTGAAGAATATATACATGCAGACTAGTGACTTAAATATTTTCTTTTTATGTGAAGTGTGTATTTTATTCTATATTATATCTAAAGATGTGACAATGAATGCATGTCAGAAGCTCTTAGAAAATGATACTTGTAAGTTGGTATTTCATTTTATGTCTTGTATACAAGGCCAAATTAGAGTTATTTGGGGGAAGGAATACTTCTGGCTTGTGTGTGAGAATGATTTATGCAATCACAAAGTAGAAGGAAGTTATTACCCCTTAGTAGTTATATAGTTTCACAGGCTTTAAGAATAGTTTTGAGAATGTTTCTTCACTTTAGCAGCAGAAACATTTAGAACATGAAAACGCTCATCAGGTTTGAAAGAAACTCATAGCCTGTTAGTATTGAAACCATGTTTTAATTGGTACACATTCGGGATCTGTGTAACAGATTTTTGACCCTGGATGTGTCAGCCCTCAGATTTTATGTTTATGTTAATCTTCTGGGGGATAGTGTTCATAGCCATCATCAGATTTCCAGTAGGACCTGGACCACAAAGGTTAAAGAGCACTGGTTTGGGATGAGTACATTTCAGAACGCAATGGACCGAAATACGCTGAACCACAGTTACCATCATTAAAAGTGAAACGACAACTCATTCCTGAGGGCAAACTTTTTCTTTCAAATAATTTCTTCCAAGATCTGTTTCCTCATTAACACTGCAGAAGCACTTAGCATTTGGCTGCTCTTCATACAAAATGTCGTTTGAGAGGGATGGGGGCTTGGAATAAGGCAAAAATAATTGTAGGATTATTGCTGGAAGGGTTTCAGGTGAGGAAAATTGACATATCATAAAATGCCTCTAATGCAATTTAATTTGAAAAACTGTGCAATCTTTTAATTTATTTGGATTCAAAGTGTTTTAGTTATCTGATTTTTTTAAAGGGTCATATTTATCCCTTGAGGTGGTATGGAGGAAAAGTGGACTTTTAAAAATTGTTCTGTGCTTGATAGAAAGGCTTGTTAGAAAGTATTGGTTCAAATAAACCAGCATATCCTATGTTAGATCCTATATTCTTAAAGGGGTGATATTCATCTTAATATGAATACCAAATCCTATACTAAATCCTATATTCTTAAAGTGGTGGTCTTCCTCTTAATACCAAAAAGTCAACTTGGTTGACTTTAAAGAAAAATTAGTGTGAAATGACTAGAAAAAGCAATCTCTTGTAATTTCACTGGCAATGCATAAATCTGCCCCTTATTTTTTTTTTAAAATGGCATCTTCTTGCTTTAATAAGCTATCTAAAATGTCCTGAATGTAAAGTTGCTCTAATAACATTATGATCTGACTGTATCTGTGTCTGTTTTTATTTCTTTAAACTGCTATTATGAGCCTAAGTTAAACAACTTTGCCTAATTCTATGTTCTGTACAACTATGTTGTTGATGCTCATTTTTATTATAAACAATCCACCCAAATTTGCAGCAGTGGCTTTGAAAAAATCCCTAATTAAAATAAATTTCAAGGTTAAGCTATTTTTATTGATGTCTGAAAACAATTACCAGTACTCATGGCTTTTAAAATAATGACAGTGTGGGAAGCATATTTCAAAACCAGGAAAGCAGAAATTTGTGTTTATGAAGCCAAAAGTAGTCTTGCAATGCTTTGGAATATGCCTGGTAATTAATTATAGATGATATCATATGAAACCTCAAAGATTTTGGTGGGAGATGGAAACAAAGGGGCCTTATGCATTTCATTTCTGATATAATCCTTTTGCTGCTAGAGGGAATTACGATTTAATAAAAAGCAATAACAGGAGGATGTACTCTAAGAATACTAATTAATACCTTTAGCTCTACCAGAATGAGATTCTGTAAAAAATGGTGGGTTGTCAGTTGCCAAATCATGAAATATTGCAGGGAGGGAAAAGGCAACATACTCTTTCACAATATGGCTTGTTATGTTAAAACTGTTAGTGGTAGGGAATTTTGTACTTGTTAATCATTTGCGTTTTTACATCGCTGTTTGTAATTACAATTAAACAGATGGTTCTGAAAAAGATAGTGTGTTCTTAGCAATTAAAACCATGGCAAATAGCTTTTCCTCCTCCCCAGTATACAATTAAACTGAATAGAATCACGTAACCCAGTGGGTTCTTCAGAAGAAAGGTTCTGTGTGGATTCCAGTAGATTAGTATTCTGCTCCCCAGCCCTGTCATCTTGACCTCTTGCCCAGCTGAAAGCTTTGCAGCTGGCTGAGGACTTCCAAACATGGGTTTTATGGAGTAGTTATCCCTTCTCTGTTTTCTCCCCATATCTTATTCTTACCACATTGGGATTAATAGAATATGTTTTAGAGTGGATCTTTGGAACAGTCGCTAACAACCACTGGGTGTGTTGAATCTAATACAGCTTGCTAAATTCTAGGAGCTTGGCTAGTGCATGAAATTCCTCAAGGGCACAGGAAAATTGGTCTTTTTTTTTCTTATTCAGAAAACTAATGATGAGATGTTTGTTTATGAAAAAATCATTTCAGAGTTTGTAATCAAAAGAATACAGAATTTACTTTGCGTTCTAGGGAAACCAAAGTCTCACCTTATTGACTGATCCCCTCATCCCTATTACAACAAATTCAGGAGATTTTTCAACAACGATTCAGCACCCCAAGAAATATTTCACCAGTTAATATGTGGCTTTGTGGCCAGTGGTCCCTCTCTTGGACCAGACCTCAGCAGCGTGAATGGCTCTCCCGCAAAGCAGGGATTTGGAGCTGGCTGTGATCTGTTCGCAGATGAAACCTTGGAAATGTGTTTTGTTTGCCATGAGCATAAATAGTCCCAAGTATACTTTCAATGATTTTAGGTACAGGCTTTTGTGCCCACAAGTAAGCAGTTATTTGCTGGTGCAATTAACCATCTGCACCTTATTATGAGGGTGCAGCT
Source organism: Homo sapiens (assembly GCF_000001405.40). NCBI lineage: Eukaryota > Metazoa > Chordata > Mammalia > Primates > Hominidae > Homo > Homo sapiens. The sequence goes on along the minus strand of NC_000016.10, from coordinate 71,217,634 downwards.
GGCTAATTATGCTCGGCTCCATAGGTCAGGTTCAACTTCTCATCTGCATAGGAACTGTATTTGCAGCAAAAGGACATTGACCTTTAAAAATGAGTCCTTAAATTTAACCAGTTCATTTTGAGGTCACCACTCGTGGATTTTTATTTTGTTTTGTTCAGAAGTGAAATTCTTATATGGGTAGTGTATTTCTACTTGGGCAAAGTAATTAATGCAGGACTGTAGCACAGACATTATCATGAGTCAGGGACAAATGAGATCTCTACTTAATTCAGATGATTTTGGCTCCTCATTCTGGAGAAAGGTCCATCAATGTAGAGGTACCTGTATTCATGAACTTGTCTGAACGACAACTTGGGGCATCATCGAGACTTAAAATGGGGGTAAATGTGTGCATAAGTCAGTTCAAAATCATTTTTGCCAATAGTTGTACATTATTCTTATGATCTATTGGATGGACTATTTGAGAGAAGAACAGCAGAATACTGGAAAGGAGAACCTTAAATTTTATGTAGGTTAAATTAACAGTCAATGCAAGTTTGCTGGATAGAAAGCATCATTTAACTGGAGACTTACAGGAACCTGTCCAAAAGGTACCTACTGCTATCAGTTCCTGTGCCAAACCTGTGAGCCTGCTGGCTGTAAAACTCTTTTGTAGGACAAGAGTTGAGCCCAAAGGCAAGGGATGTCTAGTCCTCACTGATACAGTGGAGAGAGCCTTGTGGTGGGGTTGGGAAGCACAGGGCAAATGCCTTAACCACCCATGGAGTCTGGACTTGGCTAAGCACTTCCCAAACTTAGGCGACCTATTTGAAAATACCGATGTCCAGGACCGACTATAGATTGACTGAATCAGAATCTCTAGGGTAGGACTAGGTGATCCTCAGTTGATGCTACCCTGGGAAAAACTGGGTTGCAGAATTTCAAAGATGCTTTCCAAATTTTAAGAAATATTTAATTTTCAAAATGAACTCTCCTTAGAATTTTAGTTGTGGAATAGAACATACACGTAAATGTATGAAACACATTGTTACCATTTAACAAATAAAGGGAACAGATGTGTAACCACCACCTGGGCAAGGATTAGGATGTGGGTATCCTGGAATCCTTCTCCATCATAGCCCTCCTCTTCCCCACCTCAGAGGTAACTGCTATCCTGACCTTTACAGTCATTCTTGGGTTCTAATATAGTTTTGCCATTTTGTATACATTCCTAGAAACGTAGTTCAGTTTTTCCTTTGTCTGTACTTTATATAAATTGAATCACACTGTATGTATTCATGTTTCATGTTGCTTTTCTGCCCTCAACTTGATGTAAAATTCATCCATATTGTTGGTCTCTGTTTAGATCATCTTTATTGATTTGTGATATTATATTATAGGAATATGGCAATTTTTTCTATATGCTATCAATAAAAACTTGGGTTGTTTCCAATATTCCACTATTATGAATAACACTGCTATGAACAGTCTTACTCATATCTCTGTAGCATGTGCATACATTTCTCTGGACTGTCTACCAGGGTAAAACTGCTGGGTCATAGAACATACGTATCTTTAAGTTTACTAGATGATGGAATATGTTTTCTGAAGTTGTTTTACGTAGTTACAGCCCGACCAGCAAGTGCTTGGCATTTCCCATTACAACACAGAGGAGCCAATATTCAGAATTATCAGACTCAGATTTTGCCTATCTAGTACATGTGTAGGGGCATCTTGTGGTTTTAATTACATTTCCCTGTTTTTTTATTAGTTTGGGCATGTTTCATATATTTATTAGCCATTTAGATATTCTCTAGTGTAAACAGCCTGTTCTTTTGCTTTTTTCCCCTATTGGATTGTCTGTTTTTTTTTTTAATATTGTTTTGTAGGAGTTCTTTAAATATTCTGGTACAGTAGTTTTGTTGGTTATGTGTCACAAGTACCTTTTCCCATTTTGAGACTTGTCCTTTTATTTTTTATATGGTGTTTCAAACTCCTGGGCTCAAGTGATCCTCTTGCCTTGGCCTCCCAAAGTGCTGGGATCACAGGCATGAGCCACCACACCTGGCTAGTATTTTTTTTTTTAATGGCATTAAGATTGATTACAGGATTTACGTGTTATCAGCCAGATTGATTGATTATAATGTTCCCCATCAAGATTTCACCCCAAAGTTTTAGCATAAGAGCTTACATCCTTTCAGTAGGAGTGGCAGTGTGATGATTTTCAAATAGTGCTATCATATTTCTTGTACATTCATTCATCAGCTAGAATTTTTCTTTAAAGAACTTTTTCTCATTTACTATTTTGCTACCATGAAATACATTTTATACAAGAAAGGCATGAATTCTCCTCCCTTCCTCTTTCCCTCCCTCCTTCCTTCCCCCTCCTTCCTCCCTTTCTTCCTCCTTTCTCCATTTCTCCCTTTCTCCCTTCCTCCCTTCTTTCCTTGCTTCTTCAGAATAGTGAATTGGTACTCTAGTGACCTCTAAAGGTGACTAATTAGTTTTATCCTGTCTTTGGCCAATGGGAGAACCCTGCAAGTTGGCCTCTATGTTATTTGATTGATGAATTGATTGTACAGTCTGTGATAGTTTCCTTGCTTTCAGGCATGACCAGGTGTTTCAGGCTCATCTTGTCTATTTCCTGCCCCAGACTTGGCTTTATAATAAGTGTTGATGTCTGATAGAGCAGATCTCTCCATTATCTTATCCTGGATCTCTGCCAAGGAGACAGAGCCTGAGTCTAGGACTTGAGTGTTGGTAGTTTATTTTTGCTAAGTGATTGCGGGGGAGGAGTGAGGGACTGAAAGAATGAGGCAGGGAAGGAAATAAAAGCAGTTTAAGGCTGTGTTCTTAAGTTGGCTATCAACATGGACAACTGAGGTTTTGTCCCACTGGGACCCTCTGAAGAGCCTTATAGGATGTACCTCAAAATTGTCTGCCCAAAGAATAGAAGAATGTAGCTTTTACGCACTAATTTCTGTCTGTCTCCCACTGGTCAAGGAATATGTCCTTCACACTTCCAGGCTGCATATGTGTGAGCACTAGGAGGTTCCTGTCAGATAAACCAAGGACAGAAAAAGTGAAATAATGCAGTGCAGCTGAGAGGGTGCTTCCAACTTACACTGTGGGAAGCTATTGGTGGGCCTAAAGGATGTGAGGTTGGGTACAAAAATCCTCCAATAATTTAATTTGTTCTTCTTCAATATAATCTTTGTTATTCTTGGCCCTTTTCATTCTCATAAAAATCTTAGACTCAGCATGTCAAGTCTCATCTAAAATTCTGTTTTTTTGAGGACTAAATTTTTTCAAGTTTTGATTTATTTGAAGTTCCATTTCCAGTTTGATCTGGAAAAATATCTTTTACAATACTGAATTTTCTAACCAATGAGTGTGGTATATCTCTTTATTACTTAGGTCATCTTGAATCTTAATAATGTATTATCATTTCATCTGTGGTATAGCCCTAGGAATTTGAACTTTTTATGGTATTGTAATTAACTGTTAGGTTGATTTTTTAAAAACTTTTTTGAGTATATAGAAATGCAATTTTAGGATATATTTATTTTATATTTAGCAATATTGCTAAACCTATTGATTCTAATAATTTATGTCAGCTTTTTGGATTTTCTAAAAATGTTATATATTCATATTATCTGCTAACAATTTGAGTTTTGTTTTGTCCTTTCCTTGAGTCTTTTTTGTCTTCCAGCATTAGATAGGACCTTAAATTTCTGTTGATTGGAATGGTGATAATGGGTATTAATAGATAAGGATCTTGTTCTTGATATCAAGTAAAATTTTTCAATGTTTATTGATTAAGCATTATGCCTGCTGTAGATTTTTATACATTGTAGATATGCATTATTAGTTTGGGGAAGTTACTTCTATTTTTAATTTGCTAATAACTTTTAAAAATCATAAATGGCTTTGAATTTTATCATATTCTTTTTCTGCATCTGTTGAGGCTATATATAATTTTTGTTGAATGTTGAACTACATTGTTTTGCTAATGTTAATATAACTTTACATTCTTGGTTAAAATTCAACATATTTCAATATGTTATTGCTGGATTAGTATTCTTTTTACTATTCAGTTTTTCCCTCTTCTAGTTTGGGCATTGTCACTCTCATTCTATTAATTTAGTACTTCCTTAAGAATCCAACATGTATGTATACTTAACTAAGTTAATAAAAACTGTCCTATTTCTCCTGGACATTAGAGAGATCTCAGAACTCTTTAACTCCGTGTACCCACCTCCTGACTTAAATGTTGATATTGTTTACGTTAAAATCTATTTAAAGCCTATTTTTACTGTTAATATTATAAACGCTATTATTATTTTTTAAATTCATGACAGCACTCATGTTCATTTTAAATCACTTCACTGTTGACCATGTTTCCCCCGCCATTTCTTCTTGCCTCTTAGATTTTTCCATTTGGGATCACTTTCGTTTTGCCTGAATTGCATCCTTTAGATTTTTCTTTATTGAGAGTCTGCCAAGGTGAATTCCCCAGGTTTGTTTGTCTTAAATTGTCTTTTATTTGCCCTTATTCTTGGGACATATTTTTCCTGGTTTTAGAATTAAAAGATGACAGTTTTTCCTTTCACTACATTTGAATGCATCATCCTACTGTCTTCTGGCTTCCAATCTATTGAGAAGTTAGCTCCCAATCTAACCATGTCTCATTTGGAGATTATTTTTTTACTGGCTCCTTTAGTAATTTTCTCCTTATTTTTGGTTTTCTTCACCCTCACTAGGATGAGTCTAGATACGACTTTTTCCCCCATTTATCTAGTTTGAGACTTTTTGAGCTTCTTGAATCTTCATTTTGGTTGTTCTCAACACTTCGGTAAATTATCAGTTGTTATTTGTTAGATGTTGCCTCTGACTCATTATCTCTCTTCTCTTACTTCACTCAAGCCTTCAGTGATATCAGATCTTTGTTCTCCATGTTTCTTAACTTGTTTACTTTTTTTGTCTTTTTGTCCCTCCATGTACTGTCCTGCATAATCCTTCTGATCTATTTTCTACTTTAGTAATTTTTCTCTTCAGCCATTTAAAATATACTATTTACTTACATGGAATATCTAAATTCCATTATTTTATCTTTTATTGCTGGATGTTATATTTGAATCCTTTTCAAATCTTCTATACAACTTACCCCTATAACATTTTGTTTAAACGATTTCATACCTAAAGAAAACTTGAAATAATAGTACAATGAAAACCCATATACCCTTTAATTAGAGTCATTCCTTGTTAACATTCTGCCACATTTGCTCGTGGTTCTCTTTCTCTTTCTTGAATCATTTGAAAGTAAGTTTATGACTTAGGTAAGGGAGATATCATGACACTTATCCCTTATATACATTAGCTGGTATCTCCTAAGACCAAGAACATTCTCTTGCATAACCACAATACTGTTATCACAGCCTACAAATTTAAAATGGAAACAGTATTATCTAATTTACAATCCATATTCATATTTTTCTGATTTTTCAATAATGTCCACTATAGTGTTTTTAACAATTTTTCAAGGATCCAGTCAAAGATCATATGCTGCATTAAGTTGTTGAATTTTTACAGTCTTTTTTGGTGTAGAACAGTTGCCCTTCGACTTTTTTTGATTGTTGTTGATTTTTGTTTTTCAGCACATTGACGTTTTTGAAGACTCCAGTTGTTTTACAGAATTGCTGTATCATTTTTTCTTAGATTCCCGTGCCTTGAAGATATCATCAAGCTTGTATGTTAGTACTTCAAACATATTAATCATGGTTTTTTTGTAATCTGTATCTAATAATTCCCCTATGTGAAGCCTTTCATGGTATTTCTGCTATCTTTAGTTTCTGCAAATTTTTGCTCATGGTGTCTTACTTTCTTGTGTTTTTGTTTATTTCTTACTATGTGTTCCTCACTGTCCTTGAAATATTATCTGTAGGTATTCTTATTCTTTGTGGTCTTGAATGATGGTGCCTTCCTCCAGGGGAGATTTTTTTTTTTTTTTTTTTGAGATGGAGTCTCACTCTGTCGCCCAGGCTGGAGTGCAGTGGCGCAATCTTGGCTCACTGCAAACTCCGCCTCCCGGGTTCAAGCCATTCTCCTGCCTCAGCCTCCCCAGTAGCTGGGACTACAGGTGCCCCTCACCACGCCCGGCTAATTTTTTTTGTATTTTTAGTAGAGACGGGGTTTCACCTTGTTAGCCAGGATGGTCTCGATCTCCTGACCTCGTGATCCGCCCGCCTTGGCCTCCCAAAGTGCTGGGATTACAGGTGTGAGTCACTGTACCCGGTCCCTCCAGGGGAGATTTATATTTACCAGGTACCTCAGCATCTTTTAGTCTGGGAATACCCCAAGCCTAGCTCATGGCTTGAAGTTCTCTGGACAGTTTAAGTGATGTGGACCTGGGCTGCAAATTTGAGTCAGAATTTACCTCAACTTTTTGGGTATTTTTCCTCTTTCTTTTTATTCTCTTTTTCTGCTCAGCACCAGGACAGGTTTTATGACTTGCTAGAGATGGTAATGGAGTGGCCAGCTTTAATTTTGGGTCCCAGTCTAAGGTAGAGAAGGTTCCTCATACTTCCCATCTTTTGCAGGCTCTGATCATTGACTTCTATCTCTCTGTGTGTGTGTGTAATATTTCTTATGTCATGTTATATGATTTTTATTAAATTGTTTTATTTTATATTTATCTCTTTTACAGATTATACCTTGGTGCTAACTGACAACATATTATTTGCTTTATCATATAATATACATAAATTTGTAAAAAATTATAATAATATGACTACTAACAATAAACTAAGAAATTTTTTTTGAAATCAATACAGTTGCATTTATTATTCTGTAGGGCCAAGTAACAAAGGTTTTACTAATAAAGATTTTTCATTTCATCTAAATGAGTGAAATTTTAGTCTAATTATAGATAGAAATTAATGACATGCTGACATACCTGGCATTCATAGACAATTTGTTTTTTTAAATATCTTAACTTTTATTTTAGGTTCAGGGGTACATGTGTGGCTTGTTATATAAGAAACTCGTGATTTGGGGGTTGAATGTACAGATTATTTCATCACCCTGGTTCTAAGCATAGTACCTGAAAGCTTTTTTTTTTCTGAACCTCTCACTCCTCCCACCCTCCTCCCTCAAGTAGGCACAATGTCTGTTGTTCCCCTCTTTCTGTCCATGTGTTCTTGTTATTTAGCTCTTATAAGTGAGAACAGACGGTATCTGGTTTTCTGTTCCTGTGTTAGTTTGCTGAGCATAATGGTCTAACGTTCCATCCATGTTCCTGCAAAGGACATGATCTCATTCTTTTTTATGGCTGCATGGTATTCCATGGTCTATATATACCACATTTTCTTTATTGAGTCTACCATTGATGAGCATTTAGGTTGATCCATGTCTTTGCTATTGTGATTAGTGCTGCAGTGAACATACGTGTGCATGTGTCTTTATGGTAGAATGATTTGTATTCCTTTGGGACCATACTCAGTAGTGGGATTGCTAGGTTGAATGGTAGTTCTCTTTTCAGTTCTTTGAGGAATTGCCACACTGATTTCTAGAATGGTTGAGCTAATTTACTCTCCCACCAGAAGTATATAAGCATTAGTTTTTTCTAGTTCCATGAAGAATGTATTAATTACCGCTAGTATGATAGGAATAGCACTGAATCTATAAATTGCTTTGGGCAGTATGGCCCCTTTAATGATATTTCTTCTTTCTACCCATGAGCATGTAATATCCTTCCATTTGTTTGTGTTGTCTCTGATTTCTTTGAACAGTGTTTTGTCATTTTCATTGTAGAGATTTTCACCTCCCTGGTTAGCTGTGCTCCTAGGTATTTTTTTGTTTTTGTGGTAATTGTTAATGGGATTGCATTCCTGATTTGGATCTTGGCTTGGATGCCGTTAGTGTATATGAATGCTACTGATTTTTGTAAATTGATTTAGTATCCCAAAACTTTGCTGAAGTTGCTTATCAGCTCAAGGAGCTTTGGGGCAGAGACCGTGGGGTTTTCTAGATACAGAATTATGTCATCTGCAAACAGGGATAGTTTGACTTCCTCTCTTCCTATTTTGATGCCTTTTATTTCTTTCTCTTGCCTGATTGCTCTGGCCAGGACTTCCAGTACTGGAAGTGGTGAGAGTGGACATCCTTTGAGTTGTTCCAGGTTTCAAGGGAATGCTTCCAGCTTTTGCCCATTCAGTATGATGTTGGCTCTGAGTTTGTCATGCACAGCTCTCATTATTTTGAGGTATGTTCCTTCAATGCCTAGTTTAGTGATGGTTTTCAACATGAAGGGATGTTGAATTTTACTGAAAGCCTTTTCTTCATCTATTGAGATAATCATGTGGTTTTTGTCTTCAGTTCTGTTTATGTGATGAATCACATTTATTGATTTGCATATGTTGAACCAACCTTGCATCATGGGGATAAAGCCTACTAGATGGTGGTGGATTAGTTTTTTGATGTGCTACTGGATTCAGTTTGCTAGTATTTTGCTGAGGATTTTTCATCTATGCTTATCAAGAATATTGGCCTGACATTTTCTTTTTTTGTTGTATCTCTGCCATGTTTTGGTATCAGGATGATGCTGGCCTCATAGAATGAGTTGGAGATGACTCCCTCCCCTTCAATTGTTTGGAATAGTTTCAGTAGGAATGGTACCCATTCTTCTTTGTACATCTGGCAGAATTTGGCTGTGAATCTGTCTGGTCCTGGGCTTTCTTTGGTTCGTAGGCTATTTTTTACTGATTCAATTTCAGAGCTTGTTATTAGTCTGTTTAGGGATTCAATTTCTCCCTGATTCAGTCTTGGGAGGATGTATGTATCCAGAAATTTATCCATTTCTTCTAGATTTTCTAATTTGTATGCATAAAGGAGTCTCTGATGGTTATTTGTATTTCTGTGGGGTCAGTGGTAATATCCCCTTTGTCATTTCTCATTGTGTTTATTTGGATCTTCTCTCTTTTCTTCTTCATTCTTCTAGCTGGTGGTCTATCTATCTTATTAATTGTTTCAAAAAATAAACCTCTGGATTTGTTGATATTTTGTATTTTTTTAATATCTCTATCTCCTTCAGTTCAGCTCTGATTTTGGTTACTTCTTGTCTCCTGCTAGCTTTGGGGTTGGTTTGCTCTTGCTTCTTTAGTTCTAATTGTGATGTTAGGTTGTTAATTTGAGATCTTTCTAACTTTTTGATGTGGGCATTTAGTGCTATAAATTTCCCTCTTAACACTGCCTTAGCTGTTTCCCAGAGATTCTGGCATGTTGTGTCTTTGTTCTCATTAGTTTCAAATAACTTCTTGATTTCATTATTTACCCAAGACTCATTTGGCAGCAGGTTGTTTAACTTTCATACAGTTGTATGGTTTTGAGTGACTTTCTTGGCTTTGATTTCTATTTATATTGTGCTGTTGTCTGAGAATGTGGTCAGTATGATTTCGTTTTTTTGTGTGTTTGCTGAGGATTGTTTTATGTCAGATTGCATGGTCAATTTTAGAATATGTACCATGTGGTGATGAAAAGAATGTATATTCTGTTGTCTTTGGGCAGAGAGTTCTGTAGCTGTGTACTAGGTCCATTTGATCTAGTGTTGAGTTTAGGTCCTGACTTTCTTTGTTAATTTTCTGCCTTATCTGTCTAATGCTGTCAGTAGGGTATTGAAATCTCCAACTATTATTGTTTGTGAAACTAAGCCTATTCATAGATCTCTAAAAACTTGCTTTATGAATCTGGGTGCACCTGTTTTGGCTGCATATAGATTTAGGGTAGTTAGGTCTTCTTGTTAAATTAAACCTTTCATCATTATGTAATGCCCTACTTTTTCCTTTTTGATCTTTGTTGGTTTAAAGTCTGTTTTGTCTGAAATTAGTATTGCAGCCTCTGCTTTTTTTTTGTTTCTATTTGCTTAGTAGATTTTTCTCCATCCCTTTACTTCAAGCCTATGGGTGTCATTGCATGTGAGATGGGTCTCTTGAAGACAGCATACCATTGGGTCTTGCTTCTTCATTCAGCTTGCCACTCTGTGCCTTTTAACTGGGGCATCAAGCCCAGTTACATTCAAGGTTAGTATTGATATGTGTGGATTTGATTCTGTTATCATATAGTTAGCTGGTTATTATGAAGACTTGTTTGTGTGGTTGCTTTATAGTCTCACTGGTTTGTGTAGCTAAGAGTGTTATTGTAATGGCTGGTAATGGTCTTTCTATATTGACTGCTTCTTTCAGGAGCTCTTGTAAGGCAGTTGTGATAGTAACAAATTCTGTCAGCATTTGCTTGTCTGAAAAGGGTCTTATTTCTCCTTTGCTTATGAAGTTTAGTTTGAGCAGATATGAAATTTTTGGTTTGAATTTCTTTTCTTTAAGAATGTTGAATATAGACCCCCAATCTCTTCTGGCTTATAGGGTTTCTGCTGAGAAATATGCTGTTAGTCTGATGGGTTTCCCCTTTGTAGGTGACCTGTCCTTTATCTCTAGCTGCCTTTAACATTTTTTCCTTCATTTCAACCTTGGAGGGCTCATGATTATGTGTCTTGGGGATGATCTTCTTGTGAAGTGTCTTTTGGAGGTTCTCTGCATTTTCTGAATTTGAATGTTGGCCTCTCTAGCTAGGTTGGGGAAGTTTTCATGGATGGTATCCTGAAACACATTTTCCAGGTTGCTTCCTTTCTCCCAGTCTCTTTCATGGACACCAGTGAGTCATAGATTTGGTCTCTTTTCATAATCCCATATTTCTTGGAGGTTTTGTTCATTCATTTTTATTCTGTTTTCTTTATTCTTATCTGACTGTTATATTTCAGAAAGTCGGTCTTCAAGCTCTGAGAGTCTTTCCTCAGCCTAGTCTGTGTTGCTGTTAATACTTGTGATTGCTTTATGAAATTGTTGTAATGTGTTTTTCAGCTCTATCGGTCAGTTACATTCTTTTCTATACTGGCTATTTTGTGTGTCAGCTCTGTATTGTTTTATTATGATTCTTAGCTTCCTTGGATTGGGTTTCAACATTCTCCTGAATCTTGATGATCTTAGTTTCTATCCATATTCTGAATTCTATTTCTGTCATTTCAGCCATCTCAGTCTGGTTAAGAACCCTTGCTGGAGAACTAGTGTGGTTGGGAGGAAAGAAGACACTCTGACTTTTTGAGTTGCTGGAGTTCTTGCGTTGGTTCTCTCTCAGCTGTGTGGGCCAATGTTCCTTCAGTCTTTGTCCTTTTGGATGGATTGTTTTGATTTTTATTTTCTTTGATGCCTTTGAATGTTTGATTATGGTATAAGGCAAGTTTGATTGACTGGCTTCGATTCTAGTCTTCTGGGTCTTAGAGGAGCCTCCTCCTATTACTGTCTCTGTGTCTGCTTTCTTTTGTTGGATATTCTGGTCTACAGGGCTCCCTCAGGCTGGGGCTGCAGTTGGCCAACAAGACATGTCCTTGCCAGGTCAGCCCTAATCTGCTGTTCATGTGCTTCCTGGGGAAACACAGGGTTGTGTCCACCCACAGAGTTCAGGTGGAAATGGGACTGCTGAGTTGGAAACTCTAGTGGGTGTGGCCCATCTGGCTATGGGCCTTTGGGGTGGGTAGGATTGCCAGCCCTACTGTCTGGGTGTTTCCAAAGCAATAGGAGGCTGCACCTCTCAGCAAATTCAGGGAGACATAGGGCTGCAGGGCTAGAAGCTCTAGCAGGTGTTGTCTGCCTGGTTATCAGTGGTTGAGGTCAGTAGGGTCACATGCTCTGCTCTCCAGGACAACAGGAGGCTGTGCTCTTTAGCTGAGTTCACACAGAAGCAAGGCTGCTGGGCTAGAAGCTCTACTTAGTTGTCCACTTGGCTACCAGTGGCAGGGGTGGGTAGGGTCTTCCTGTGACAACAGGAGGCTGTGCCCTCCAGCTGAGTTCACGCAAAAATGAAACCACTGAGCTGGAGGCTCCAGCAAGTGTTGCATAGCTGGCTATCAATGGCAGGGTAGGAGAGGTGGCCAGCCAATTTCAGGCTGGAGGTGGGCCAGAAGCTGACACTGAGCCCTGGCTGGCAAGCAGTGGCAGAACAATGTTGGTGCTCCTCGGAACTACAACTGTGGCCTCTGTTGGAGCTGTGGCACTGGTGCTGGTCTGCTCTGGGGCCCAAGGCTTGTGGGGGTCCCCTTGGACTCGGAATTACCCCTGCAAAATGCTGGGGTGGCTCTCTGCCTCATTCTATAAGTGTTGGGGATGGGTTTCAGGGGGACAGGATGATTCTCTCATTCCCAGTCTTGCACAGGCGTCTGTAGAGAGCATGAATCCCCCAGGGGTTCTCACTCACTTCCCCTTTCCCGTGTTGGAGAGCCTCTCCTGGCTCCACGCTGAGCCCAGACAGGCTGGTGCGCAGCTTTGCTCCTCTCTATTCTCTGTTTTCCCCTGTTGCCCTGATGCATCCCAATGTGGTTTCTCAGATGATCACTATGTAGGGTCTGTATTCATTGGCCTTTTTGTTCCCTCTCTGAGAGTGGCACACATGAGCTCCTTCTAGTCTGCCATTGTAGCGTCCGACTTCTATCTCATTGGCTGGTAAGGCCACCAAAACCAAGGCCCAGATTTTTCTGGATCAGCAAATGCCCTAAGGGCAAAAGTGACTATGGTGTTCTAGGGCTTTGCTTACTTCTGTGGTGCTTGATTTCTTTTATTGTTTGGTCTGGTAATCATTTACTATCTTGACAGCTCTTTAAGGAGATTAATTTTTTTTTCACCTATAGCTTTTCATTGTGTTTACATGGATGGTTGGTTCAACTGTTAGTTGCCATTACTAGAAGTGGAAGTCCTCTTCACTTTTAGAAGAATATCTTATTGTTTTCCTTGTTAGAGATATAGAGTGGAAACAGATATTTTTCATGCTGTTAATGGGAATTGATCTGGCCAAACCCTGTGAAAGCAGCACACTAAGAATTTCCTCTCAATATTTACCAACGTGATAACTAAAAGAAGAAAAATGGCCCTGTTATATGCCAGACAGCTCAAGTACAGTGTTACATTATGTAACCAATCTCTGTCATTGGTTTTCATTACTGAATTCTGTTATGACACCCATCCAATATGAATTAAAAGAATTACATTTGACATTTTAATAAAAGGTAGACATGCAGCATTTAACAAGTATCTGCTAGTAAGGATGTATAAGAGCCAGTGATCAATGTTGAAAGCACTCAATCGAGAACGGTCAAACTAGCTTGCTGTTCACTTGCTTCTGGAAATTGCCACATCCCTAATGGCTGGTGGAGATTGATGAAAGCACTGGTCCCTTTCTCTATTGATTTCAGTTGGAGCCATGGAAGTGTCAATGAGTAAATCCAAGTTTGCTCTTCTGTGTATAGCTGGCTTTATTAAAAGAATTCTAAGCATTTTTCTGTGAAGGGAAATCTGATTCCCAGGTGTTACTTTTTTGTCAGAATTTGGTTAACAAACAAGATCAATTTTTAATAATGTTTGCAAACTATTAATATGTTTAATAATGTTTGCAAAAATAACTCACATTGTTAGCACTTGGAGAAAATGCATGTAAAATGTGTCAGTTTTCCAATCTTTAGAACCTGATAATGAAATATTTTCTTTACTTTTTTGAGACAGAGTCTGACTCTGTCACCCAGGCTGGAGTGCATTGGCAAGATCCCAGCTCACTGCAACCTCTGCTTCTCAGGCTCAAGCCATCCTCCCACTTCAGTCTCCCAAGTAGCCGGGACTAAAGGTGTGCACCACCATGCACAGCTAATCTTGGTATTTTTTGTAGAGATGGGGTTTCACCATATTTCACAGGCTGGTCTTAAACTCCTGAGCTCAAGTGATCTGCCCACCTCGGCCTCCCAATGTGCTGGGGAACTATTTTCTGTTATCTGTTCTGGACTCACACATTCTGGATGACTGGAATTCTTTGGACCCATATGAGCCTCTGCAAAGACATTGGTATGTGCTGGTCATATTCAAATGTGAGATTCATAAGAATAGAATAATTTGTGTATGGAATTACCTGTCCTGGGTTACCTAATCCAGAGATCCAGCAATTTTTCTTAATTCCTGAATTTCCAGGCATTGTAAAGCATACTTCACTGTGCTTGGCACAGATTAATTAGTCTATATATTATATATAGGTACAAAAAGTATAAGCTTATTCTCTCCTATTCTAATAGAAATGAGGCATTTTTAACTTGCTTGGAAATAGCAATTCATACCATTGCATAGTGGTTATTTGCAAATCTTCCTAATAAACTCCAGGAATAAATTTTAGGTAAATGTATGATGCCTACAAATATAGTAATTGTCATAGAGAATGCTAGATTTCAAGTGACAGAAACTTTTACTTCAATACAGCTTAATCAAAATAATAAATTTATTAGTCCGTTTAGTTAGGACACTAGGATGGTTCACAGGATCAAAAGATGAACCACAGACATCAGGGTCTCAAAGTTTGGAACTGCTCTCAATGTCTGCTATGATTCACTTGTATTCATCTTTCTTACCTCCTTCCATCCATCTATGCATCTATCCACCCTGCTCACATCTCTGCTTTTATATACTTGGCTTTGCTCTACAGAAGGACTTCTCCATGTGATGAGGCTACCAATACCTTTAAATTCATTTTTGGCCCAGCAAGCCCAAAGAAATAACTTCTCTTTCCCAAAATCTGGCCATCATTCAAGGGAAGGATTATGACAGGCATTGTTAGGGTCACATGTACACCCCCAAGACCAATCAGAGCAGAAGAGTATAGGATACTATGATTGGCTATGTCTGCCTACCTCTCTGGAGAGGGCAGTGGGTTCTTACCAGAAGGAGAATAGGGGAGGGACAAGGGAGAGGGAATTACACTGGATAGCCAAAAGAAATATTTTAATAGATTGTTTAAAAGGGTTAGGAGCAGTTAAAGAGTATTTTTAATTGAAAACACAAACTTGAATCCAAGCAAGATGAATAGGTTTGAGAAAATGATCTACTAAATTCATTATATATGCATATGAGAAGACATTTTCTCATGTTAGAAAATTCTATAGATTAGAAAAACTGGTACAACAACTGGATGAAAGGATGGATTGTTGCAGGTGTTAGGAAAAGAAATTAATATGCTCAGGATTTCTGTTGCTTAGATTTCTTTCATAAAGAAGTCACTAAGAAATGGTAGACTGCAGCTTATTTATTTATTGTTAAACAAGCAAAAGAGGGCCATTACATCTCTTGTTTACATTAAAATATGAATAAGCCTTCATTGATTTGATGGTTGCATCCAAAGTAAGGAATTTTAGTTATCAATAAATGGTAATTTCAATACCTGTTCTTCATTGTAGCAAATGTGTAAACAAATGTGTATTTGTTTAAGAATTTGCTGCAATGAAAATAATATGAATTGCATAGCATTCATAAGAATCTTATAAAATAGATTAGCTTAAGTGGTGTGTATACACATGCACATACCATGCATGTGTCTGTAATAGTTGAAGCAAATTCTCCAAATGAACATTCGTCATGTGTGATGGCTGTAGTAACAAAAGGTGTTCTCACTTTGTGCTCCTGAAATCCTACCAGTCTTTCAGACTCTGGTGTTGACAGAATCAAAGGCATATAAGATAGAAGTTATTATATTTTAGTAAGGCAAACATGGCTTTAAAATAGCTTGTCTGCCATGTTTAAATTAGCATATTTGACAAATTGAGAAAGACCATCAAAAACTGCTTTTGCAAGTTACAGTCTAGATGGTTATTCAAGTTATTCATGCAATGATACATTACAAATAATAGATGGACTGCAATTATTTATAAGGAATTCACTTTGTCAAGATACTATGGTCACAGCATACAGCTCAGATGACACTTGTGTCAAAAAACATTGACTGGCTCAGATGACTCAGAAGTTCGTGGCTGGATCTAAGAATTCAAATGATGGCCTAAGAAGTCAGTCTGTTGGCACTGCTGTCATTTGTGTGGCTTTGTTCTCAGACAGCCTCTCCCCTCCTAGGGGCAAAATGGCTGCCAGCAGCTTCAGGCTCAAATCCCGATTTCAGCACCTCAATACAAAGAAAGCATTGCCTCTCTTGCAGCAGTTCACCCCAAAATCAGAATTAAGCCTCATTGGCTTTGGTGGGCTTGGCTTGGGTCATGTGCTGTGTTCTGAACCATATAGCTAGGGAGGTGCAATACTGGGATAGGCCACTCCTGGATTGGAGTGAGGGGTTTCCTTAGGGAAACCCATGACATTGTTTCCAGCAAGAGGTTGGGGGGATGGATGCAGGATAGTAAAAACCAATAAATATCTGCGAAATTATTCTTTTTTTAAATGAAGATATCTTTGAGAAGGAAAATGTAATGAACAGATCAGTGATTCAGCTGTCAATCCAGTCATTCAACAAATATTTATTGACTCTATGCCAATCACTATGCAAGGCATGTATAACAGCAATGAACAAGCTGGTTGAGATCTCTGACCTCCTGAAGCTTGCTCTCTGGTAGGGAAGGAAGACATAAAAATTTAGTTACATATTTATATCTTATGTGAAAAGTGCATTGCTGTGAGGACATATAAGAAGGGGATGTCAGAGAGGTCAAGGGTCTAGGAAGCCTTCAGAGAAAGGATTTCTAGATTAAGTGCTGTTTCAGCTGAGATCTGTGGGATGAGTCTAAGCATGGACAAGGGAACAGGGTGGAAGAAGAAAGTTCCAGGCATTTTACCCTTAAACAGTTTGATCAAAGGAAACAGGGAGAGCCCAGACAGAGGAGGGAGAGAGTGTACCAATTGGGTTAATGGACTTAGAATGAGAGGCTGGATGTTTCAGAGATAAGTACTTTGCCTTTCCCCAGGGTGTCTGAGGGTGTTCATGATAGTGAGTTTCCCAGTCTAGATCCATGCATGGATCAAGACTCTTTCTGAAAGAAGATCAGTAGCCCAGGCTTGAATTTGATAAAGTTCAGAGAACCTCAATTTTAATGTATTTTCAAAAACATGTATTGTTCTTTTGTGTTCTTCAAGTGAGAAGGGTCTGGAAAATGTGCCCTTTCTTGCTTGGTAGATAAATAAAAAATTCACTTTTGGCCACTGTAATTCAGCCATTCAGTGTTGATATACTAAATGTCCATCTCAGGTAACAGGAATTGTATCTCAGCCTGATACCTAAAATGAAGCAATCAAGATGGCAAGACTTCAGCTGTACAAGTCTTGGATTAGGTGGCATGAATGGATGATCCAGGTTAATTTCAGAAACCTAAGCCATGCTCTCAGTAGACTTTTACTAGTCCTGGGCACTTCCTGTGTTACTGGAAAGGGGTCCCGATCCAGACCCCAAGAGAGGGTTCTGGGATCTTGTGCAAGAAGGAATTCAGGGCAAGTCCATAGAGTAAACTGAAAGCAAGTTTATTAGGAAAGTAAAGGAATAAAAGAATGGCTACTCCATAGACAGAGCAGCCCCGAGGGCTGCTGGTTGCCCATTTTTATGGGTTATTTCTTTGATGATTTGCTAAACAAGGGGCAGATTATTCATGCCTCCCCTTTTTAGACCATATACGGTAACTTCCTGATGTTGTCATGGCATTTTTAAACTGTCATGGCGCTGTTGGGAGTGTAGCAGTGAAGACGACCAGAGGTCATTCTCGTGGCCATCTTGGTTTTGGTGGGCTTTAGCCGGCTTCTTTACTGCAAACTGTTTTATTAGCAAGGTCTTTATGACCTGTATCTTGTGCTGACCTCCTGTCTCATCCTGTGACTTAGACTGCCTTAACTGTCTGAGAATGCAGCCCAGTAGGTCTCAGCCTCATTTTACCCAGCTCCTACTCAAGATGGAGTTGCTCTGGTTCACACGCCTCTGACACTTGTATTGTGCTTCATACAATTTGCCATTTTGTCTTCAAATTTTTTTAAAAAAATTCCTTTTCTGAATTGGAAAGTTCTTTAGGCATAGATTAATATCTGTCCCTGTATACCATCTTCACGTTATGAATGAGAGATTTCTGCTTCTGATAATGGTAGGCTAGGTAATTCAGGCCCACCCCTCTCCTGAAGGTGACTAGAAAGGCTGGACAGATTATAAACCAAAGCTTGCTTCAAGGCTTTAGAAGGCTTACAAGATGGTGAAGGATTACCAGGCCAAGTCTAGGGGAGGGTAGAGGCCCAGGGAGGTGAACCCCAAAATTGGAGCCCCTTCTTTCCCTGAGAGCACATGAAAATTTCAAGGAAGAGCTGTGAGACTTAAGTGGATGGGCAGCCTTTTGGGGATAATGCAACAGGGATTGATGACCAGAGCCTGCCAAGGATAGAGGGAGCCTAGTGAACCCCCATCTCTTTGGGTTTCTATTTCAAAGGGCTGCTTCAAAGGAGTAGGGATAAACTGGAAGTAGGCCCATGAAGCCATTTGAAATGCAAAAACAAGCTGTAGAGTGGGAAAAGATATTTGTAAAAACATTTAACTGACAAAGGGCTTCTATTTAAAATATTTAAAGGACTTCTGCACATCAGTAAGAAAAAGATAACCTAATAGAAAAAAGCCAAGAGACTTGAACACTTCACAAGGCTTTTCACAAAAGAGGAGATCCAAATGACCAACAAATGTATGAAAAGATACGCCGTCTCATTAGTAATCAGGGAAATGCAAATTAAAACCACAATGAGCTATCATGACACATCCACCAGATAGCTAAAATTAAGATTGTCAATAACAAGTGCTTGCAAGTTTGGATGGCAACCAGATCTCTCATATACTGCTGATGGGAGTATAAATAGGTACAACCACTTTGGAAAACTATTCAGTCTCAACTACTATAGCTTAAGATATGCATACTATGAAGGAGATTCACTGTGCACCGATTACCAACTTGTCTGAGTTTGTTAAGACAGAACACTCACATACAACAGATCACATGAAGTGAGTTTATTACAAGGGACAGCAGAAACCCAGGAACCCAGAAACCCAGGATTCATTGCAATCCAGTCCCCCAAGTTTCAGGAAATATCATCTCCATCCCAAGGCAGATGGAGTCTCACTTTGCACCACAGCTGAGGGACCCTGGAAAGTAGCCCTCCCTGGTTTTTATACCCTGGAATAATATGACTCACTGGGCTAAAGCATTGAAAGACATCCTGTTCTGGCGGGGGGCTAGTAGAACAGAGCCCAGACAGTTCCAGCCATTCCCTTTCCATCTCAGGATGTTGCATTCCTAGCATATTCTACAGTTATTCTTCACAACTACAAGCAAGAGATGGGGGAGGACAGAGTCAGTCCAAGACCACACAGAGAGCCTATCCTGCACATACTCTATGATCTAGCAGTTTCTTTCCTAGATATAGACTCTGATTACCTTTGTGCATGGAAAGACATTTGCAAAAATGTTCATAGCATCATAGAATAATAGGAAACAACCTCAAGTTGGAAACAACCCAAATGTTAATTGGTGGTAGAATGGATAAATAAATTGCAGTAAATTCAAATGGTGGATTATTATACACAAAATGGACTACAGCTGTATATAATAAAATAGATACATTAGAGTTAAATAATCTAGACACAAAACGTACATAATATGTGATTCCATTCATCTAGATATTAAAAGCCAGGCAAAAGTATAATGTTAAGGGATGCATGCTTAAGTCATAAAAGAGAATTAAGGGGCCGGGCTCTGTGGCTCACGCCTGTAATCCCAGCACTTTGGGAGACTGAGGCGGGCAGATCACTTGAGGTCAGGAGTTTGAGACCAGCTGGCCAACATGGTGAAACCCCATCTCCACTAAAAATACAAAAATTAGCTAGGTATGGTGGCAGATGCCTGTAATCCCAGCTAGTCGGGAGGCTGAGGCATGAGAATTGCGTGAACCTGGGAGGTGGAGGTTGCAGTGAGCCAAGATGGCACCACTGCACTCCAGCCGGGGTGGGTAAGACTCTGTCTCAAACAAACAAACAAACAAACAAAGAGAATCAAATCAAGGAAAGTGATTTCTACAAAAAGTGAGGATAGTGGTTACCTTTAATGGGGAGAGAGCGTCTACGGGTGAGAGGGGTCTTCTGGGGTGTTGGCAGTGCTCTGTTTCTTAACCTCGGTGATTATTATACAGGTGTTCACTTTGTAATAATTCTTTATGTGAGGCACTTTTCTGTATGCACATTATATTTCACAATAAAATCTTTTAAAAGGTGATATCACTTTATCTCTTATCTACCTCATTGAAACTGAAATTAAAATTTATCACCTGCTCAATCAAACTGTAACAATGCTTTTCACTTAGAGATGTGAACCAAGCCTGAATGTTGGCAGATATGCAGAGTCAAGGTCAAAATTCTGTTGGATTTCTAGGTGCTTATTACCATATGCTAGTAACCGTATCACTGAGTTTCATCTTTACTCCTCAAAAACAATATGTTTTTATTTAGAATTAATTAACATAGTTCTTTGCATATAGTAGATACTGTACTATTTTAAGTCAGGGTTTTCTAGGGAAACAGAACAAATAGCATATCCATATCTGTGTTTATATCTATATCTAGGAAGACATTTACGATAAGGTATTGATTTGTGGGATTATGGAGGCTGAGAAGTCCCACAATATGTTTTTGGAAAGGGGTCCCAATCCAGACCCCAAGAGAGGGTTCTTGGATTTCACACAAGAAAGAATTCAGGTCAAGTCCACAGAATAAAGTGAAAGCAAGCTTATTAGGAAAGTAAAGGGATAAAGAATGGCTACCCCATAGGCAGAGCACCCCTGAGGGCTGCTGGTTACCCATTTTTATGTTTATTTATTGATTATATGCTAAACAAGGGGTGGATTATTCATGCCTCCCCTTTTTAGACCATATAGGGTAACTTCCTGACATTGACATGGCATTTGTAAACTTTCATGGCACTGGTGGAAGTGTAGCAGTGAGGACAACCAGAGGTCACTCTCATCACCATCTTGGTTTTGGTGGGTTTTAGCTGGCTTTATTTACTGCAGCCTGTTTTATCAGCAAGGTCTTTATGACCTGTATCTTGTGCTGACCTTCTATCTCGTCCTGTGACTTAGAATGCCTAACTGGCTGGGAATGAAGCCTAGGAGGTCTCAGCCTCATTTTACCTAGCCCCTATTCAGCATGGAGTTACCCTGGTTCAAACTCCCCTAACAAATATACTATCTGCAAGGTGAAGATCCAGGAAAGCTGATGGTGTGGTTTGAAGGCCTGAGAGCTGGAGAGCCAATGGTGTAGATTCCAGTTTGCATCTGTAGGCCTGAGAACCATGAGCACTGAGGGCAAGAGATTGATATCTCAGCTCAAGCAGTCAGGCAGGGAGGGTAAATCCTCCCTTCCTCCAACTTTTTGTTCTATTGAGGCACTCAGTTAATTGGATGCTGCTCACTCATATTGGGGATGGCAATGAACTTTACACAGCCCATTGATTCAAATGCTAATCTCTTCCAGAAACATCTAGATAGACATGCCCAGAAATAATGTTTAGCTGGATATCTGGGCATCTCGTGTCCCAGTCAAGTTGACACATAAAATTGCCTTTCACATCTACTACTTATTAAATTGAAAAATAAGATAATTGAATTTCCTTGTGACAAAAGTAGTCTGTTTTGAAACTATAATACTTGTAGATTCTTGGTATGAGTCATGAAAATGATGTAAATTGGGGCTCACAAATAATAAGCACTTTTTGCAACCATACCTTTCTCTGTTTCTGTTTTTTCCTTCTTCCTACATGGTCCTTAGTTGGCTATTTGATTTTTTTCTTTGCCTGTGTCTGACCTGGAAACTTCTACAGTTTGAACAAGTTTCCAGTACCTGATACTTTCCCATGGAGAAGCAGTTCATTTTGTAATTTGAGGCTTTGGAAAAACTCCTTTTCATTATACATCTGCATTTTCCTTTTCTTTAACATGGGTCAAATAAGTGAATTCTTAATGGAATCTGTCTTTCTTTTATCTACCTAAGATATAAGAAGGCACATATCCTGCAGAGACAGATTGTTTTTAAGAAGCTTTTCAAGGGGAAGAGAGCAGAGGCCAATGTGAAACCTATAAAACCTGAAATAATCCAGTTTTAAAAAGATCAAATAAATAGAAAACCATAGCACACAACAGCTTTAGAGACAGTAGAAAGCTAGAAGATGAAGCAGGATTAAAAAGTGAAAATTAATCCTTATACTCAGTGAATGCCTAGAAAACCCCCCACTGACAACCAAAGTCATACGGTATTTGAGTATTTTCCTTGTTTTTAATTTGATATTTTCTTGTGAAAATGGTGTTTGGGGGTAAAAATAATATTTATCAACATTCCAGAGTATAGTAGCCCTTGCCCTCACTGTAGCAGAAGCCAAAGTTGAAGACATGTGAACAGTTTTATGCATTCACATTTACTTCCAGAAAGCAAAGTTAATTGCATAGAATTCCTTTCGCTTTAGTTTTTTCTTTTCTTTTTTTTTTTTTTAAACCAAACTTTCTGCTAACAATAACACCAGTAACAATTACGTGCCAGGCACTGTGCAAAGTGAAGTCTTTTACAAACATTATCTCATTTAATCTTCTTAATAAATGCATGAGATGGATGTGATAGATGGATTCCAAGATGGCTCCAAGTTATTATCACTTTCTGGTATTTACATTCATGTAAATGTGTGGCCTATTTCACATTGAATAGGGCTGATCTGTGTGACTAATAGATGTTGTGCAAGTGACAGTGTGTGACTTCTGGGTCAAAAAGAACACTGTAGCTTCTCCCATCGTCTCTTGGCTTGCTTACCCTGGAGGTAGCCAGTCATCATGCTTTGAGGACACTCAAGCAGCCATGTTAAAGGACTTGTGAGAGGAGGAACTGAGTCCTTCCACCAACAGTCAGAACCAATTTGCTGGTCATAAGCCATCTTGGAAGTGGATTCTCCAACCTTAGTCAACCCTTCAGATGACTGTAGACCTGGCTGTATCTTTGACTACAATCTCATGAGAGACTCCAAGCCAGAATCACGTAGCCAAACTTCTTTTGAATTCTTGAATCATGGAAACTATGATAAATAAGTAGTGTTTATTATTGTTGTTTTTAACATTAAGTTTTGGGGCAATTTGTTAGATGCCAATAGGTAATTGTTAGAGTAGGCTCACTCTTTTTATTGTTATCTCCATTATTTAGTGAGGAAACTGAGGCTAAAAAAGATTTAAACCTAGGTCTGATGACCCCAAGCCTTTGGTCTTAATGGAAATAAGTTTCTCAGAGTTTTGGTTTATTACTGCTAACAGCTCTTTCTGAGAGGAAAACAAAAATTATTTTATTTTATTTTTGGGACGGAGTCTCACTCTGTTGCTGGGCTGGAGTGCAGTGGTGCGATCTTGGCTCACTGCAACCTCCGCCTCCCTGGTTCAAGCGATTCTCCTGCCTCAGCCCCCTGAGTAGCTGGGATTACAGGCCCGTGCCACCACGCCCAGCTAATTTTTGTATTTTTAGTAGAGATGGGGTTTAACCACATTTGCCACAATGGTCTCGATCTCCTGACCTTGTGATCTACCTGCCTCAGCCTCCCAAAGTGCTGGGATTACAGGCGCGAGCCACTGCACCCGGCCCAAAAATTATTTTTTTAAAACTGGGGGAAAACATTTTTATCAAGCAATGTTTATATTTATTTAAGTGTGTTAAAGGATCTGGGCTACTGTAACGCATGTGTAAATAGAAGAGGCAGTGTTTGACATTAAAGTTCTTTGAGATTTGTTTACATTTTACATGTTGTGTATTGGGTAGAAAGGATTTTAACTTGTTCAAAGATTTAACTGGGAGCAAAAAAATTTTTGCTGGCTTTTCTGCAAAGAAGGGAGGGGCTTGGGAATAGAAGATGGCAGAAAAAAAGTATAGGAAATGAGTTTTTTGAGACATTTAAGATAAAGAAAAAGCAAAGAGAGATGATAGAGATGGGGGTGAGGGTATGATTATGGTGATCATGATAGTTATTAATGTGACACGTACACGTCCCTGCAGCATCTGGAAGCATTCACTAATTTAATAATATACATTATGAGATTCTGCTTTACAAGGCTGCAGTCTACTCTAAATTTGAACTCTTTTAGACTCAGCTCCTTATGAGTTCCTAGAGGTGAACAGAACTCAATTCCCTACAGAAAAGGAATTTTGTGCCTAAGGATGTCTACTCTAAAACGTTTCTTTTTTTTTCTGTCTTTTAGAATTCAATGGTGCAAATCTATAAAGACAGAGCTTTAATGGCAAACCCTATTCTGTCTGGTTCTCCTTCCTAAGAGTTAGCTGAGAATATATTTGTCTAACTTTTCTTTTTAATATTCTCTGAAAGAAGACATTACATCACACATACTGAACTCTTACTTAACCTGGACTCTGTTAAGTAGAAACATTGGAAGGAGCCAAAGACTGACATTTTAAATTAAGAAAAACAAACCAAATGAGCGAAATAGTTCCTCTGAGAAGTGTTTTGGCCTAGTGAAAATTCTCTTTTAATAAATGCAATTTAATATTCCTTCAACAATTATTTACTGAGCTCCTTGTATGTGCCAATTACACATGATCCCTATAGGCAAGAAGCTTACATTCTGGAGTTAGAAACAGGCTTGTAAGCAAATAATTACAATGCACTGTATTTGATGCATTTAATTAGAGGGGCATATGCAAAGGACAGAGTTATGGCACTCCTCGAGTGCACTAGAGAAAGCCTTCCTTCTGCAGATTCTTGAGATGGGTTTTGTAGGATGAACAGAAGTTTGCTAGGCAGATGGGGATCAGGATGTGAGAGGAAAGGATGAGCCTGTTAGAGGTATGAAATAGGCTGGCATATTTGGAGATTTGGGAAAAGTCATTATGATGGATGGATTAATTAATTAATTAACCACATTTATTAGATTAGTATATGTATGAGGCCCTGTACAGGGTGCTGGGAATACAGTGATTAAAAAGACAAAGTTCCTGTCCTCAAAAAACTTAAGAGTCCGGTGAGGGAGAGAGATAGATCAATAACCATGATAGGAGTGAGCACGAGGACCTGTGAGATCATAAGGAAGGGGCAGCCTTGGGAGTCATTCACAGCTTTCTGAAAGAGGTGACAGCTGAATCTGGAAAGACAAATGGGAATTAGCTGCCATGGGGTGGGAGAGCAAGAAAGGCATTCCTGGTGTTACATGTGAGTCTGTGGTGTGTGAGCACAGGACACATTCTGAACTGCTGGTAGAGCATCAAGTGTAAGATAGGCAAATTCCAGGGATGAACAGCATGCTAAGGAGTGTGGAGAGTGTTCCGGACGAAACGATTTTAGGCAGAGAAATGGCATGACCAAATTTTCCCTTTGGAAAGGTCACTGTGGCTGCAGCGTGGAGAATGGCTGGGGTATGGGAAAGGCATGATTCTGGAGTTGGATAGGTCAGTTAAGTGTTGCAGTTACCCAGGCAAGATGTGGTAGTGACATTAACGAAGGAGGGGCAGCAGGGATGGAAAAGAGTGGTGAATTTGTGAGATACTAAGGAGGTAGAGTCACAAGCAAGGTGAGGGCAGAATCATGTCATGATCAAAAGTGTGGACTCTGGGACCATAATGACTGGTTCTATTCCGGGCTCTATGCTTTGCTACTGTGTGAACTGGGGCAGGTTACTTACCTCCTCTGTGCCTCAGTTTCCTTATCTGTGATATGGGAAGGGTAATAATACCTTCATCTAGGGTTGCTGTGGGGATTAAAGTAACTAAAACATATAATGCTTGGAACATTGTCAGGCACATAGTAAGTAGTCCACAAGTATGTGTTATATGGTTAATTTGAGGAAAGAGAAGTCATAGGTGATGCCTACACTTGGGATATGGGCAATTGTGTGAATGATAATTCATTCACAGAGGGAATATAGGAGAAAGCAGAGCTGGGGGAACATGCTGAGCTTGAGGTGCCTGTGGACACCCTAAGTGGAAGCATCTTGTAGGCAGCTGGGTCGGTGGAGCTGGAAATCAGAAGAGATCTGAGTGGGATAAACCCTCTAGAATGGCAGGAAGAGAAATAGCTGCCGGGAAGAGAGCTAATAAAGGAAACAGATGAGGTGGTCTAAGGGGCCCAGCAGAGGCTGCAGACACTGAATTTGCAAGGTTGTGAGTCTAGGCTGCTGTGTGGTTTTCTCTGGCAGTCCTAACAGCCTGGGTGTAGTAGAGGACTGGAACAGCTGGATTGACCAGTGTTAGGGTTTTGCTGGTTATAACAGCCTTTTCTTAAATTTTTCAATTTTTTTTTTAAGTTCTGGGGTACATGTCCAGGATACACAGGTTTGTTACCTAGGTAAACGCAAACACGCGCATTTTTTCCTGTAGTATTTTAAAGTATATCTCAGACAATATTTATTTTTACCTGTAAATAATTCACTAAATATCAGATAATAACTTTTACAAAAAATCAGACCCATAATGCTGTTATCCTTCTCAACAAAACAAACGATGATTTTAAAAACTATTTTATGTTTATTGACATACTTAGCAAATAACAACAACAATAGCAACACTAATTTTTTGGAATGGGTATAGTTTGATAGGAGTATTAGTTAATGAATTTAAAATAAAAATGTTTAATCTGATGAGCAGTAATTATTTTATATCATCCATTATTCAGTTTTTAAAATCATAATCCAAACAAGGTCTACTCTTGTATTTGGTTGGTGTAAGACTCTTTTAATTCGTAACTTCTCTCTCTCCTTCCCTTCTTTTCTCCTTCTCACCCTTCTCTCCTGCTCCTCTCTCTTTCATGCTATGTTTATTGTGAATAAACTGAGTCATTTTCCTATAACATTTTTCACATCCTGGATTTAGATTAATTGTATTCTTACAGAACATACATGTTCCTCTTTCCCTCTATCTCCTGCAATTGGGCTGGTAGGTCGGAGGCTTAGATTTCTGTCAATAACACTACATAAGTGGTGCTGTGTACTGCGTCACATCAGGAGGCACATAATGCCTGTGTTTTACTCTTTTAGTGTTAAGATTAATTTAGAGGACTCCGGTGTTGTCAGCCTGATTGAGCCATTGTCAGGTTCTTCAGCAACATCTTACCTAATTATTTTAGCACTGAAGATCCTTCATTTCATTAGGGGCTGCAAAATGGTAATTATTTTTCTGTGATTTTTCTGCATTTATTAGTTGGAATTCTTTTATAAAGAGTAATTTTCTTTCATCAACTATTTGGTTAACCAACAATGCAATTTATACTAAAATAGTGCAAAATAAATGGTTCTTTCCTTTTATTATTTCCAAAATAATTAGTTTGGTGCTTTAGCAACTTCCAAAGGTGACCAATTATTTTTTTAAAGTATCATTTAAATTTAGATTTAAAAGAACGGATCTATTGCCGACTTTTTTTTTTTTATGCTCAAATTGTCTCATCTTTGGTTAATGGGAATGCTTTCAAGTTGCTCTGGATCCCTGACAACCCTGGTAGCTCTTGATAACGTTCTTGTTTTATGGTATGAGACAATGTGCCAAGTTCACTGTATACATTTTGTACCCTTGTCCTCAAATTACCCATTTCTCCAAGGAGTTGTGATTTCTGTTAGTGGTAAATGGTGTTTGAATACTACAATCCAGGTCTCTGCGCTGTCATTGCCACCGGACTTTCATTGCTTATGGGCTTTTTCAGTGGGCAGATTATTTAAAAAGAGAAAATCATCGCAAGCTTGTATTTATTTTCAATTTAAATGTTAAGATTATAGGGTTTCTTAATATAAAAACTTTTCTTCGTTTATACTTTTAAAAATACTGAAATGCTTGGTTCCTAACTATATTGATGTAGCTACTTATTTGTTTTAAAAATATTATTACTAATATCATGACCAACAGCAAGACTACTGGATAAATGATAAGATTTCTCGGCTCTTCTCTGTGTTTTGACAGCATATCTCATTGAGAATACAGTCAAAATATTGTTGTTTGTTTTTTTTTTTTTTTTGAGGCAGAGTCTTGCTGTGTTGCCCAGGCTAGAGTGTAGTGGCGCCATCACGGCTCACTGCAACCTCCACTCCTCAGGTTCAAGTGATTCTCCTGCCTCAGCCTCCTGAGTAATTGGGACTACAGGCACGTGCCACTATGCCTAGCTAATTTTTTGTATTTTTAGTAGAGGCAGGGTTTCACTGTGTTAGCCAGGATGGTCTCAATCTCCTGACCGCGTGATCCGCCTGCCTCGGCCTCCCAAAGTGCTGAGATTACGGGTGTGAGCCACTACGCCCAGCCAAAAATATTATGTTTTAAGGTTGGTTGGAATAATTGTTTTCTCTCTGTGGTTATGACACCAGCTGGATGTACAGCAAGGTTCATTTGTTTCAGTTTCTTTTTTATTTTTAAGAATTGATTTTCCCGTTTCTTTTTTCATTTTTGATATGTAAAACACTTACATGGTTCAAAATCAACACTGTATAGTGAGGTACATTCAGAGAAATCTCTCTTTCATTCCTATCTCCTCTACCCTGTTCCTTTACTCCTTCTGTAGGTAACCACTGTTACTGGTTTATGTATCGTTTCATATTTTAGCTAGTGTATCATTTGGATAGATTCCTAGAATAGGGATTGCTGAGTCAGATGTACATGCATATGTAACTTTGCTAGATATTTTATAACACCATATTTTTAGCTCTTTGTAACTGTAATCATATAATCAAAAAGGATAATGTAGTTTCTTCCTTTCATGAATTTTTACTTTGTTGTCCTTTAATAGAAGACTTTAAAATTTCCAGGAGAATGGACCTTCCTGTTTCTTTGTTTTGTTTTTAAGTTTCTAGCTTTGTTGTATTATGATCAGACTGTTGCTTCTAATATTTCTAGATTATAGAACCACTGGTATTTTCTTTGGTATTATACTTTTAATATATAACCAAATTTTTGTCACCATTCTATTTGCTATTGAGGAGGCATATTTTCTATTACTAGGATGTAGTGTTTGATACATATTCCTAAACCTATTTAATGTGTTATGTCATTCAAATCTTTTATGGTCTTACTTATTTTTTGTCCACCTAACAGGTCTTACTAAGAGTAGTTTATTAAAATCTCCTGTTATTTGTGTATTTGTTTTTCCTTGCATCTCCCATAATTTCTGCTTTATATGGATGGTTTTTGTGCTATTTTGGTGCATAGATAATAATAACTGTTACATCATCATTTTGAATTATGGTGTTTCACACTCTAAAATATTCTTCTTTGTGTTGTTAATGATTTTTTAAAAATCTGTCTTAAAATCAAGACCACAATCTTTGCTTTTTTATTGCTTCTGTTGTTGTCACTACCCAGCTGTGATAGAATGGGCTCCCCAACCAAAATTTGGTTTGGATGTCAAGATTGGTGATGCCACTCATGCGCCTAGAAGATATGAAAAGGTTATGGTTCACATAATGAGGCTTTCTGTGAGAGCAGGGCAGGCTCCCAAACAGGTTCAAAAATAGCTTGAATCCAGTAGTGCCAGCTGCTTGGGAGGCCTAGGTTGGAGGATTGCTTGAGCCTAGGTGTTCAAGACCAGCCTGGTCAACATAGCAAAAACCTAGGGCGGGGGGAAAAAGATAGAAATCCTCTTCTTGGGAAGAAGTATTTAAAAAAAATAAATAACTTGAGAATAGGGAAAAGATACTGGTTTGGCTTTTATTGTGGTTAAGGGTGGGGCTATAATAATAGTTCTTACGCAGTCTGGGCCTTGTGTTGTTTGAACTTTCCACTGGAACCAAAGGAAGGAACACCTGAGCTTTCTTATCAGCTTGTCCAAAGGTAGGGCAATATTAGTTTCATTCCATTACTTTATTCTCTTCTTAAGGAGCTCCAATTATAGCATGGTGGATCTTCCTTGACTGTCTTCTGTTTCATTGATTGCCATCTTAGAGGCTTTCTGCCATAATGACCCCTTTTTCCTTTTTTAAAATTTCATATTCATTTCCTTGGGTGTTTTACTGCTTTATTTCAGTGTGCCTTATTACATTTTCCTTCAAATCTACTTTCCTTTATATAGCTCTTCTTCCTATGTCTTGGTCTGGTACTTCCTTACTGTCTTGTGAGGTTTTTGTTTGTTTGTTTGTTTGTTTGTTTTTAATGGTTTTAGGGTTTTTAATTTGATATTTTATCAATAATTTTTAGTTCTCTTTTTTAGCACAATGATTGGATAACCTAGCCTGCTATCAATAAAAATAGAAATCCCTACCTAGTCATAGATGGTTTTCTGAAGTTGCAAGTGTTCTACCAGAAGTCTGAGCAAGAATATGCAAAAGGGAGATGCCATATTTCTTTGATTCAGAGATATTGGGTGGCTATTCACTGGCTTATTTATGACTATAAGCTTTAAAACTTTTCCCAGAACTTTCCTTTGCCTGTCTTATCTCATGCTATTTCGAATCTCTGTCCAGCTGTGAAGCCCTGTAACCTTGTATTTATTCTGTTTGAAGGGTCGATTCTCCTAAGAGAGCGCTTTCAAATATGTAGATAAATTATCAAACTATTTAGTATGTTTATTGGGCAGTGTTTGTTTTTCTCATTGGGAAGATAAAAGGGGCAAAATGTAGAAGTAACTTGTACTTCCATGTCTTCCTGAGCTTAGTCTAGAATCCCTTATTTTGTCTAAAATAGATTCTAGATCTTGGGAGAAGGATAAATCTAGTTATATGGAATAGAATCCTTTGTTGAGATATTTGTTCCAAGCATTTGGATTTCGGAAGATCAGTATTTTCTAAACCTTCCTGTATTTGAAAAAGCTTAAAAAAAATTATGACCTGTATTCAGGAATTAACTGTATTTGTTCTAAGACATTTTTGTTTCACTCTTAGGTGAGAAAAAAAAATTACTAAAAATGACAAGTAGAAGACTTGAGGAGTCCATGGGGGCTGTTCAGATGGGATTGGTCAATATGTTCAAAGGATTTCAAAGCAAGGTTTTGCCACCCCTGAGTCCAAAGGTGGTTACAGAAGAAGAAGTAAACCGAATGGTAATGTATCCGGGAATTAATATGTAAAATACTTAATGCAATCTCCTTAGGAGAATGACAGTTGCTACTTGGCATTCTCAGAATGCCAAACAGAATTACTGACTGATTAATATCAATTTAGTTATAATGGTAGCTTTCTGCAGAGTGTAGATACCTTTTAAAGCCTGAGAAGTTTTGAAATTGCATACATACTTCAAAGTAGAGGCTTGATTTGCTTAAACTAATCAGTTGAAGTGAGACTTTACAAATGAACTATTAAGATTTTCTAAATATTAGGTAGCACCATGACAAACTGTCATTTGTTTAGTTCAAAAACAGTCAAATATCAGAATTTCATAGGATTCAACCTAATTATTTACTACCTACCGATTGGCAAGAGTAATTTTTGTTTGTATATTTATAGAACACAGAGCATTAAAATAATGACTAAGTGGTATTTAAGAAAAATAGGTATTTTTCCTGTTCTTTAAAATAAAACATATTTATAGCTTTAATTATTTATAATGATTGGTGATAATTTATGAACCACATGCTGTAGAAAATATTAGTAAAAATGTATAGTGCCAGGGATAGTATTCACTACATTTTAAAAACTAATCTTAAGTTACATTCCAATTAGAGAAATAAAATCAATCATTATTCTCTTTTGTGATGGTTGTTGGTACATATTTAAAGAAACTCCTGGCATTTTGCTTTTAAGACCTAATTATTTTAATTTAAATCACAATATAGCTGACACCTCTTAACATTTTATTGTCCTTATCTGGGTTCCAATCAAAAAGATCTTAACCAAGTTGAAAGCTGTATTAGAAATATACCTTCATTTAAATGGATTAAATCACAGAAATAAAATTTGTAGAAAAATAAGCATTTTTAAAGTACATTGTGTTTAACCCAAGGCAACATAAAGCAGCTAAGTTATATACCCTCAAATGTTTTGTAAAAATCTTGGCATATACTTGAGCATTGTGTAGCTGCCAATGATCATAATCTCCCTGCACATATAGTAGGAACATTCTAGAACCACAATAACATTGGTTCTGGGTAACTAATCCCTTGTTGGGTTAGTTTTATTTAAATGCTAGGTTACTTTTTTTTTCTCATAACATTGGAAAGGGTAAAAGCATTTTGTGTTCTTACTGGGGTGTGTGAATGTGACTGGCTGTGGGATCTGCTGATTAGCTCAGAGCTCTTTCAAAGCGAGGTCTAAATGCACCCTTGTGATGTCTCTAAAGTTCAAACTCATTCCTAAGTGATGTAGTCACACTTCCTAGATCTTTGCAATTTTATAAGATTTCTCTCTAACATCATATCATAGTTAAACACCCAAAAGCTTTGTTTGCATATTGTAATGTTAGTTGAGAAATAGAGGTATTTCAAACTCCTGGTTTTTGAAGCCCTTGAGTGACTTTACAAACTGAGAGTTTTATGCACAGATGCCTCTTCTGAGCATAAATGTTAAGCTCTTTGGACATGTTCCTGTGCAATTTCTTGACTTTTTTCTCTCAGGTTCTTTTGTGTGATTCCTTCAAAATCATAAGGAAACAGCAAACACATGTCATTTTCAATTACCGTGCAAAGACCTCAAAAGTGCGTGGGTACTTCTCTTATATAATTTACTTATTTTAAATATTTTATAAGGGAACTTAGTGGCATTCCAGAATTATCCTGAAAGCTGCAAACACAAATTATTCATTACTGGTACTTATGAAAACACTTTTTCAGTACATCCACTTAAGAATCTTTGGTTCTTATTGTTTTACATTCTAGCTTACACCCTCAGAGTTCCTGAAGGAAATGTCCCTGACCACCGAGCAGAGACTGGCAAAAACACGTTTGATGTGCCGACCACAGATCATCGAACTCTTAGATATGGGGGAAACAACACATCAGAAGGTAGCTGCTCTCTGTCGTACTTACATATAAAGTGGGCCCTGGCACAACACCAAAATTCCAGAACAATAAGTAAAATTTGTTTCTTGGCTACCTAATCCTTTATTGGGTTTGTTTTCAATCCTCCTTTTCTGCCTCTGAATGTCTTCATATCTGTGATTTGGTATGGTGAAGACTGCAAGTGCAAACCTCTTTTAAAATAACTTTTGACTAGTTATACTTCTTTCTTAGCTACTTCTGAATACTATTTGACGCTATAGTTTACACAGGTTAGGAGTAATTCTAAGAATTATATTAGTCAAGCCCAATTAAGTTATTGTCTTAGTGTAACAAGTAATCTCTCCTTATCTGAGCTGCCCACTAGAAAAGAAGGAGTTGGAATTGTTAATTAAAGTAGGCATTCGTTGTCTATTCTGGCTCATTTCCAGTAACAGACATATCCTTTTGTCTCTAAAGAATAGTGATTTTATCATGTTTCTATATTCGAATGTAAACCATACCTTCCAGGCTTTAGGAGCATGTGATTATAGAAGGTCTGGTTTCCTATTTTTTAATTAATTTCTTAAATTATATCCTTTACTTTTAATGCACAAATTATGGTATGAACCTCCAATAGTTGGGCTGCTGGGGAGATTAACCTCTTCTCAAAGAGTTCCTCAGAATTTTCCTCTGAAAATTCCTGAGAGTTTTTCAATGTTATGTTCCTCATGAAGAATGAGTCTTTGAGGCTTGTCTGCTGTTACTGCTACACCATTGCTTCCTTTGTCTAGGATATGCATAAGCTTCACTGTTCTGAGCATTGCTAGCTTTTTATTGTTTTGTCTGTTTCCCACAACCACCCTCCAAATTTGAGTGGAGGGAACATGGTCTTTTCCAAGACATTTCTTCTAATTAAGGACCATTTCCTCTTTTCTGAAAGCATAACACATAACAGGCTATGAGGAGTTTTTCATGTGTACTACTAGTGTATTTTAATGTGTTTTGACTCTGCTATAAAGGATGAGGAAATCAGATACTTTACACTTTCTCTCCTCTCCTCTTTAATTCAGTTGGTTATTTTTAATTTATATGCTGAGATTTAATCATTTATCTCTTAGATGGGTGGCAGTCATCTACTAATTTCTTCAATAAGAGCTTATGAAGACTGTATTTCTTTGTTTTATGTGTTTGATAATATTTGTGTCTTGCCTTTATACTGAACTGCAGATTTGTTACTTATGAAATTCTTGGGCCACAAATTTTCATAACAGCTTTGCAGGCATTTTCCCTATGACCTTCTGACTTTAAATGATGGTATGTAGAAGTCGGAAGCCAGCCTGATTTCTCCCTCATAAGTTAATCTTTTAGCCCATGTGCCCAAAGATTGTTTGTTATTATTTAAAGTTCAGTATTAGGATACACTACATTTTTCCTGAGGTACTGTGCGCCTTTATTTTATTTTTAGAAAGTTTTTCTTGAATTATCAAGTATTTTTTTCATATCATTTTTCAATGATGAATATGTTGGACCTTCTTTGTCTGCCCTTCTACAGCTTGCATTTCCTCTCTCATTCATTTTTAACTTTCTGTTCATTTCCATTGCATTGTCATTACATTCATTAGGCTATCCTCTGTGTCCCTTACTTTGAGTTATGTATATATTTCTTTTATGCTTCATTTTTTACCAGACCAGACCTGGTTCAACAGACCTCTTTAATCATCCCGCTTCTCACCACTTCCTCCACCACCATTCCAGTTTAAGCCACCATTATCTAGAATACTGACATAGCCTTCCTATTTCCATCTCATTCTCCCTCTGCCCCCATTATCACAAAGCAGTAAAAGTAATCTTTAAAATGTAAATCAGAACATATTGCTTCCATGTTGTCTCATAGCATTTGATACAGTGAGCATCTCTTTTTTGTACCCTTTTATTCACTTGTATCTGACATGGCATACTCATTTGATTTTCTTTCTACTTTTCACTGGTTGATTTTTGCTTATTTTATTTGTTGGATTATTCACTCATTTCTGATCACTAAATATTAGAGCTCCCAGTACTTGGTACTTGAACTTCTTTCTCTTGTGAACTCACAACTTAGGTGACTTCTTCTAGGAAAAAAGGCTTTAAATTCTACTTTTTGTTGTTTACTTTTATATTTATATCTCCTGCCACTGTCTATCCCCTGAACTCTGGATCATATAGTCAGCTTAATGTATGGTTGGCAGCTCAAACTTAATATATTTAAGATCTAATTGTAGCTTTACATTCCATCTCTAAAAGCCTGATCTTTCCTCTTTGTCTCTTTCTTCCTGCTTTTCATACCCCCACTTATATGTTTTCCTAGACCAAACACTTTGGAGTTGTATTCCTGATGCCTCTCTATTTTACATCTTATGATCCAATGATAAGTGCTATGAATTCTGCCTTCACAAATGTGTCTTTAATCATACTGCTTCTCACCATGTTCTCCACCACCATTCCAGTTTAAGCCACCATTATCTAGAATATCAAAATTGCCTCCCTGCTTCCATCTCGTTCTCCCCCTGCCCCCATTATCACAAAGCAGTAAGAATGTTTTTTTAAAATGTAAATCAGAACATGTTACTTCCATGTTTAAAACCATCCAGTGACTTCCCATTACTCATATAATAAAATCTAAACTCAGTGCCAAAACCTCCAAGGTCCTGTACCATCTAGTCCTGCCTTCCTCACGGACCTCTTTGCCTTCTACTCTTCTCCCTCTCAGTCTCTTCTCAGTGAATTTTCCCTATGCTGCTCTTCAGACACTCAAAGGTAATTTCCACCTGAAGGACTTTGCACTTGCTTTCCCTTCTAACTGGAGTGCTATTCTAAAATCTTAGTGTGACTTGCTTCAGACCTCTACTTAGAAGTCATCTCAGAGAGGCCTTCTCTTGACTGCCTATCTAAAAGAGCAGCCACCTCCCAGTCTGCCATCTCCTTGTCCTGCTTTAGCTTTTTTTCACAGCCTTTTCACTACCTGACTTTATGTTCTGTATTTCTATATTTTTTGTATGATCGCTTGAGCTTCAAGAATGTCAACTTCATGAGGTTAGGGCTTTTTTTGGCTTTGTTCACTATGTTCAGCATACAAAAAAGAACGTGGCACATGTTGGAAACTCAATATTTATTGAATGAAGACATGAATTTTTAATCTCTCCTAACTGCTCACTTCTTTACATTCTTAAATATTTGCTTTGTGCTCTTTGACTTTTTTTTCCATTATGCTCTTTGAGCTTATGGTGAAATGATGTAGTTAAGACTGATTGCTTAATGGCAGAAATTCAATTAGCCAGAAATTAAAGAGTATATACTGTATTATTCCACTTATATAATCAAGAAAACTAACCTAAGATGTGAGAAGTAGATTAGCTGTGTTACCTTTGTCATAAATCAAGTGACCATATATTTAATAATTGGTTTGGGGGCTTTCTAATCTGGTACATTTATTTTTCTGATAAATCTTGTGCTAATATCTCATTATCATTACTGTGGTAAGTAACAGTATATGATATGTAATAATATAATTATCATGTTGTGCTACCTGATATAGCAAATCCTCCTATCTTGTTCTTCGAATGTATCTTGTCTATTCTTGGTCCTTTGCATTTCCGTATAAATTCAGTCAGCTTTTTTGTTTCAAAAAAAAAACTGCTGGGATTTTTTTTTTTAATGTATTGCATTGAATTTTCAGATAAATTTGGGGAGTATTTGACATCCTGAAAAAATTTCTTTTAATTTATGAAAATAGTGTATTCCTGCATTCAGTTAGGTCTTCCTTAATTTCAGTTAAGGTCTTCCTTAATTCCTTAAAACAATAATGTTTTTAGTTTCTGGATAAAGGTCTTATACATCTTTCATTGGATTTGTTTCTATGTGTTTTACATTTTAGGATACTATTTTAAGTAATATTGTTTATAAATTTCATTTCCTAAATGTTCATTGCTAGTACCTAAAAATAGAATTGGTTTTGATATGTTGACCTTGTACTCAATGACCTTGATAAATCACTTATTAATTCTAATAAAAGAATTATTAGAATGATTTATTTGTAGGTTATTTTGAATTTTTGAAATAAGCAATTACTTTGCCTGGGGAAAATGACAGTTTTGTTTCTTCTTGTTTGATTTCTAGTATTAAAACAACCTTGAATTTCTGAGATGAACCCAACTTGGTCATGATGTGTTATCGTTTTTATATAGTGCCAGTTTCAGTTTCAGTTTGCAAATTTTTTTTCTCTTTCTTTCATCTATCTGTCTATCTGTCTATGGTTTATGAATGAGACTGGCCTATAGTTTTCTTTTCCCTTAGTGTCTTTCTCAGATATATAAAGGAGGTTATGCTAACGTTATAGACTGAGTTGGGAAACATTTCATTTTTTTGTTTTTCTTTTCTTTGGGACAGTTTCTATAATACTTGAGTTGTTTCTTTTATGTTTGGTAGAATTTGCTTGTAAAGCTATCTGGGTTTGGAATTTTCTCTGTAAAAGGGTTTGTTTACAGATATAATTTCTGTAACAGTTTTAGAACTATTCAGATGTTCTGTTTCTTCTTGTGCCAGTTTTGATACATTTTTATTGTATTTTTCTAGGAATTTGTATTTTTATCTATATTTTCACATTTATTGACATAATATTTATTATTTTTTTACTGAATTTGGGTTCTATTGTAATATTCCCATTTCCATTCTTTCTATTTGTTCTTTGTGCCTTCTGTCATATTTTCTTGATCAAACTCATGAGGTATTTTGTCAATTTTATTAATCTTTTTAAAGACCTGAATTTCACTTTGTTGTTTTTATAGTATAGTTACTTTTATTTCATTAATTTCCTCTCCTGTTTTTGTCATGTCAATTTTTTTCTTTATTTGGATTTATTTTGCTATTTATTCTAACTTATTAAGATGGATACTTACAGCTGCAGTTTTCAAACTGTGTGCCAAGGTGCCCCAGGGCGCAACCGTGAACTCACAGGGCATCATTGGATAGTCTGAATTTTCAAGGGAAACCTGGCACTACCCAAAATCTACTGGATGCTAAACAGGCTACTAGCTTGGGGTAATTCGTAGTTTCAGCATTGGATGATGCTATATTCACTTTGATGATGTCATACTTTACAAACCTGGCTTCTCAGTGGTTGGTTAAATAAAAAGCAAGTACTTTGTTAAAATCAAAATAGAACAGGAAATGAGGGGTCCAAGTCCAATTTGGTTCTGTTGTGCAGTGCCCAACCAGGGCACACATCCCATTAGTAAGCTAGTTATTTGTATTATTGTTTTGTATGATGAGAATTCATTTAGAGTAACCACATATTTACCCCTTTATTATTCTCCTTTCCTTCCTGCATCTCTGAACTTCTAAGAGAAATTCTCTTCTCCATAAAGAATACCCTTTGGTATTTCCTTTAGAAGTTGGTGACAACATTTTTCAATTTTTATTTCTCTGAAAATGTGTTTATTCAAACTTCGTTTTTGAAGGGACTTTCCCCAGGTAAAAAATACTATGCCTGCAGAGGTTTGTTTTTTTTTTTTCAGGATTTAAAAAATTTTATTCCTCTGCCTTCTGACTTGTGATGTTGAAAAGTAGGCATGTGTTTTTGCTCCTTGAAAGTTAAATATTCTATTTTTCCCTCCAGTTTCTTTTACACATTCTTTTGTCCTGTGTTTTAGTGCTTTTACAATGATGTACTTGGGTATGGATTTCTTTTTGAATATTTCCCATGTTTAGTTTTAATATCCACAGGTCTACGTAGTATTTTCTTATCTTCCCCAGTCATTTTTGTCAATGTGTGACTATAACAATAATTTACTCTTTCAACTGAAGTTTTCAGGAATTGACCTGGATCAGGCATTATTCCAGCCCTTTCCATCAGAAATTATATTTCAGAACTACACTCCCTGTGAAGTCTATGAAGTTCCACTGATTTTGAGGAACAATGACAAAGTGAGTATGTTCACTGGGGTGGGTGAACTGTTCCAGGATATATGAGAATGGGTTAAAGTAAAATGAGATCTTGAGGGATCTTTGATAAGTTCTTTAATTTGATAGACTTAGGAAAATAGTATGAAAACATCTTCTTTGATTGTAAACTTAATGACGACAAGGCTGTGTCTGTTTGTTGCTATATGTTGAGTCCTAACCAGTGCCTAACACGTAGTGAACTCCCAACGTGTGCACTAACTTTTGTTGATTAAAGGATTGACCAGATGAATGTCACGGGGTTCTTATGTATGACAAATTGGGCTAGGTTTTTATTTAAGATAGGGAAATTACTATTAATGTTTATGTAGTCTTCCTTAGAGACATCATTTCCCCAATTCAAGATATAAACCCTACTCATGAGAATTGCAATTGTTGAGCATATATATATGTATGTCTGTATATATATATATGTATGTGTGTGTGTATATATATATACATATATATATATATATATTTTTTTTTTTTTTTTGAGACAGAGTTTCACTCTTGTTTCCCAGGCTGGAGTGCAATGGTACGATCTCGGCTCACTGCAACCTCCGCCTCCTGGGTTCAAGCGATTCTCCTGCCTCAGCCTCCCCAGTAGCTGGGACTACAGGCATGCGCCACCACACGCAACTAATTTTGTATTTTTAGTAGAAACAGGGTTTCTCCATGTTGGTCAGGCTGCTCTCAAGCTCCTGAACTCAGGTGATCCACCCACTTCGGTCTCCCAAAGTGCTGGGATTATAGGCGTGAGCCACCGTGCCTGGCCGAGCATTTATATTTGTATTTTACAATGCATTTATAGTCTGCAAATTGTACCTTTTTAAAAGCCTTCTTTTCACTTCTAAAAAATGTAGGTCCCTTTCCTTTTTTTCTGTCTTCTTCTTTCTGTAGAAGATAGCCTTCAAAGTTTGTCTACAGTCAGTTTTGAAGGCTTCTCTCACTGTCTATGTCTTGTCTCTTTGCAATTGTAATGGAAGATTTCTTTTTCAGCCTTATGACTTTTTCTTTAGAGATAAATTAGGGTTTATTTCAAGAAAAGATATTAAATGCCTGAAGAGTTTCTTGACACTTAACAATAATGAAAGAAAGTAATGCAGAAGTTCAGCATGAAGCATACTTGAGTGTGAAAAGTAATCAGATGGGGAGGAAGGCATTGGAGAGATGGGAAATCTGGGTATAAAGACAAGGAGGAATACTTTCAGGGGTCTAAGAATGTGGAGACAAAAAATTCTAGCTATAAGACAAAATAGAAATTAAGTAAAGACTATGCAAGAATCCAAAGCAAATGGACTTGCAGTTATATTTGGTACAGCAGCTCATTAAGGGAATCAGCGATGCCTTGCAGAGATCAGTGGGGTGATTTAGTGACAGCAAAGCCAGACTCTGGAGAAAATGGTCTGTTTCATTCTTTTCTGCAGTAGCATTAGTAAGAGAAGCTCATGGGTCAGAAATGAAAGGGAAGGAAAAGAACTGGAG
Source organism: Homo sapiens (assembly GCF_000001405.40). Taxonomy (NCBI): domain Eukaryota; kingdom Metazoa; phylum Chordata; class Mammalia; order Primates; family Hominidae; genus Homo; species Homo sapiens. Next base: position 71,177,427 of record NC_000016.10, on the reverse strand, counting down.
GTACACAAGATTGTGTTCCTAGACCTCAAGAAGAGGTGCATTGCACAGACATTAGGGCTCTATCTTTTCATGCAGTTCAGTTCTCACTTCTGACTCTCTTTTCCCTTTCTATATTACTTTTTGACTCTTGCTGAGGTATTTTTAGCCTACTAAAGTGGTACAGTCCAAAGCATCCTCTCTGACCTTAAACAAGAAATGGTCATCAGTGGTTGTTTAATAGCAAGTCGGGGTAAAGGGCACGTGTGAGTTTTGTCTGCCAGACACTCAGTTCTCATGGATAACCAACATCTCTTGATAAGATGCAGCCAGAGTGCTGGCCACATGGAAAGAGGGTCCCATCCTAGGAACGCCCAGCTACCAAGAGGCAGACAGTTCTCTCCAGGCGAGGCAGGCTTGTCCTCTGGTGACTCCAGGACCCTCATGCCAGGTGGCTGATGTGACCCTGCTCCTCTGCTTCTTTAGTTCACAGTTTCATAAAGAACCATGGGGAGAGATTTGGGGCCCCGAGAAATGCTTTCACCTTTTATTTGCTTCCTCACTGTCGTGGGGTACAAAAGATAGAGCCTGTCAGGTTATTACTTTTGTGTCTCCGTCCCTCACACACAGAGGATGAGAATAAGCCAGAACACTTGTGATTTTAATTGGGTTAAAATGATAAGGACCCACACTCCAGAGTCAGACTAATCTGGGTTCAGATTCCAGCAGAAGAATAAGACTTTAAAAGAATGGAGCTGTTGGGAGCTGCTCTGAGACTGCTCTGGGGGATCTCCTGCTGCTCTTTGCTCTTGCTTTGTGGTGTTTACTCAGGACCATCCCATGGAGAGGTGGGGTGGAGTTTGGCTGGGACTTGACTCCCAGCACCTTTGCTTGGTGGAGCTGTACTACTGTAGACAAGTGTCTGTAGCATGGGAGTCAAAATGAAGCTCAAAGATTATGGTGAGGATGAGGTGGCATATAATGTGCTATAGATGGGCCATTGAAGGGGTGCAGGAAGTGTGACTTCTCTCAGAGCAGTTCTCAAATGCTCAAATGTTGGGAAATCCAGCTTAACTCCATTATGTGGGTGAGGTTTTAGCTGATTAAAGAGCCCTTGAAGATAGTCACTTTTTTTTTTTTTTTTTTGAGACAGAGTCTTGCTCTTTGCTCCCAGGCTGGAGTGCAGTGGCCCGATCTCGGCTCACTGGAACCTCTGCCTCCTGGGTTCAAGTGATTCTCCTGCCTCAGCCTCCCCAGTAGCTGGGACTACAGGCACATGCTACCACACCCGGCTAATTTTTTGTATTTTTAGTAGAGATGAGGTTTCACTGTATTAGTCAGGATGGTCTTGATCTCCTGACCTCGTGATCCTCCTGCCTCGGCCTCCCAAAATGCTGGGATAACGGGTGAGCCACTGCGCCTGGCTGATAGTCACTTTTAAATGATTTAATTTTAAAATGAACAAAGACTTGTAATAATAATAAAAATAACTAAGAATAATAATGTTAATAAAAATGAAAGCTAGAAGGTATTGGGTGCTTACTTTGTATGGGATAAAGATAAGTACTATCATCTCCTTTTATAGTTGAGAAGACTGAAGTTCAGACCTGACCAAGGTCACACGTCTAGTAAGTAGTTGATGGATTTCAGTCTGTGTTTAACTCTGCTTTTTCACATGCACGATGTTCATCATCATGTGTTTCCCTGCAGATTCCAAGGTTGGTGAAAGTTGTGGAAGAAAGTTCGCCTTACTTTAAAGTAATCAGCCCCAAAGATATTGGCCACAAAGTGGCTCCTGGAGTGCCTTCCATATTCCGAATCCTCTTTACTCCAGAGGAGAACAAGGTAATACCAGGAATGGCAAGAAATTGGACACTTGTACTGGCAGATTGCAGTTCAATTCTGAATATTTACAGAGGCGGTAGTGCTGGTGGTGGTGGTGGTGGTGGTGGTGGTATTGATGGTGGTCTTGGTATTGACATTTGTGTTGTTGTTGTTGGTGGTATTGGTGGTAGTGCTGGAGGGTGGTGGGTAGTGGTGGTAGTGTTGGTGTTGGTAGTATAGATGGTGGTGATATTGTTGTCATTGATGGTGGTGATGGTATAGATGGTAGTGGTAGTGTTATTGATGTTGGTACTGGTGTTGTTACTATTAGTAGTGTTGGTGGGTAGTGGTGGGTGATGGTGCTGGTGTGTGTAGATGGTATTGGTATTAGTAGTATGGTAGTGTAGTTGGTGGTAATATTGTTGTCATTGATAGTGGTAGTGGTGGTGGTGGTGTAGATGGTGGTGGTATTGTTGTCACTGATGGTGGTGGTAGTGGTGATGTTAGTATTTGTAGAGTTGGTGGGTGGTGGTGGTGTAGATGGTGGTGGTGATGGTGGTGTAGATGGTGGTGGTGCTGTCATTGATGGTGGTATAGGCGGTGGTAGTCACGAGAGGAATGCTGAGACAAAGGATAAAGATTTTGGCTTCTAGGAAGTTTGGGGCCTTAATTGGTTATGACTTTCTTCCCCAGATTCTAACTAGTTTGCAAAAGAGATCCAAGACTCAAACATAGAGATAATATCATAGTTTCAGCCTCAGTAATGGTAAAGCTAGAGCTGAGAGCAGAGGCCTGCCTGGCCTGCTCACCCCCATCAGCTCACAGGCAGTCTAAGAAGAGCCTGCAGTCAAAAAGGAGGCCATTTTCTCTCAGTACCACTGCAGTGGTGGGGAGGGGAATGGAGCCCAATCTCACTCTCCTCAGTCATGGAAATTCCAGTTCCTTCTAGGAGAGAAGGAGCAGGTATGGGGGCCTGAGGGTGGAGGCTTCCTCCCCACCCCTTCTCCAGGGAGTAGAATTGTTGGTCAGGTTTTGTTCTCTGTGGGCCTAAATGGGGACTTAGGAGGAGGAGAAGAGTTTTACCAGCATGATTGAAGGAGTGAGGACAGAGAACAAGTCTTAAATATGCAGAACAAAATGCAGGCTGTGTATCATGTTAATAGCAGGCATGCTTATCTGTGTTGCACTCTTATGGTTGGAGTCAGTAGAGCACAGTGGAGTCAGACAGAACTAGCTTGGAGTCCTTGCTTCTCCACCGCTAGTACCTATCGGCTGCTGTCAATATCATTACCAGTATTCCCTCTACTATTGCTGTTGTTACTACTTTTCTGGAGAGCAAGGATAGAGAATTTAATGTGGTTTGTTAAGTATGTACTCCTTGTGGTGAGTGGTTAAAAATTCCGTTATAATAATACCATTGCTATAATTTTGCCACTTTGTAGTATTACCATTTATATGTTAGGTTGTGTTTAGGAAACTACAATTTTGTTTGAGGTTCTACTGAAATAAATAAAAAGATAAATAACTGCAGATGTAGGGCTTTTTGTTGCATATTGTTGAAGTCCTCATTTTTTCTGGAGGCTCTATATCTGAATATTGTCTGTGGGGAGAACAGGGTCTGGATTTACTGTGGGTGTGAGATTCCTACACCCTCATTTTTGTAGGAAGCTGATTATAATCCTTTGTGCAGCTTGAAATACAAAGCATGCTGGATTTGAGGAGGTGGCTTTCCTTAGTTTTTTTCTGTGCTGGAGAAAATAGGTCTTCTGTTGGATAAGTATCGTTGTATCTGTACCTCATCTGACTGAAAAAGGGATACACAAGACTTTCTGGAGATGGAATGTTCTATATTGGCATGAGGATTATGTGGCTGAATTCATTTGTCAAAACATTTATATTTGTGCTTTTCAGTATATACATAAATTTTAGCTAAAAAAACCTGTATAACAATAGAAGGGGGAGGGAGTGGATAGAGGTATAGAGGGAACCAGAATGATAGAATGTTAAGAGTTTTTGAATTTGAGTGATGGGTACATTGGGGGTTTGTCATGCTAGTCTGTCTTCTTTGTGCATGTTTTAAATTTTCCATAATCAAAAGCTAGAAGAAGAGAGAGATTTTATTACTGTTTATCCTGCAAAGAAATAGTTGAAATGTATTTAAAATATGTTGCTATGTAGTTTATAAATATGAAATGCTAACATTTCTGGTGAGGATTATTGCTTCACTGTGTTTTGTAGCTGCTTATCTTACTCTCAGCTCTTTTATTCCTTCTTACCGTTCCACTTATCCAGCATTGCATGTTTATTGGGAAACCCCTAATTTAAAAAATTAACTGAGTTAAATGTTGTTATACTGTTACTTCTAAATGTTTGAAAGTTATCAAAAGCTGAATGCATGTTTGAGGAGACATAGTGAGGATAATGTTTACCTATGAGAAATTCAGCTGTCCAATTTTGGAGACATTAAGATCTTGTGTTGGACTTGGCTCTAAACTATATAATTTATTTCAAAAGACAGAGTTGTTTTCTCATTTTGCTGGCTAGCTAGCACTGATGATGGCGTAGTCAGTTATCTACATTCGCTTTCACTGTTGGAAAGTCTTCCTTAGAGACATCATTTCCCCAGGGCAGTGCGCAGAATGACCTGCTAGGGTTAGGCATGCTGTCTTTCGGGCTGCTCCAGAATGCAGCCAATGAGTGACTAGAGCCAGATTTATTTTAGGAAAAATAAAAGTCATTCATTTCACCAAGTGTCACTGTTTCTTCACTTGGCCAAATTGATAGCCAAAGTACATGCTTTTTTCTTTCTTATCCCCTGCTGATGTGAACACTCTCCATTCTCATTTACTCTCCTCACATCTGGATGGTAAGATATGTAAATTGCAGCATGCCACAGTTAAGCCAGCCCTCTTTCAATTGGATTTTCAGTACCCATGTATATTAGCATGTCGAAGATGATAATGCAATTTACATTTCCCTCCCGCCCATCATCTATTAATCTGGCTGCCTAGGGATGGAACTTGTTAAGAATGCCAAATGCCCAGATAACAGGTGCAGCAAATTTACTTTGGCTTTCCTTCTCTCTCCTCACTCAGACTTTTTAAAAAAAATGATTGGATATGTTATTAATCTAATAATCCTAGTGTACCTATCATATACTGTAGAAATGTGATAGCCAGTGTCATCATAAAATAACACTATAAAATTCTAGAGCCTGACATTTTTCTTGACCTCTTAAATTTGTATCTTTACCATTAAAATGAGAAAGAAAAATATTAGGCTTTTGTGGGAAAGCAAAACAAAGTACTTCCTTGGACTTAAGAAAGCATCTGTTTGCAATGTGTTGTCATACGGAAAAGGCAGCAAGCTTTGAAGAAAGCATGCAGTGGTGCAACTGGGTGGCTCAGTTATGGTTTAAGAAAATGTCTAATTTGTTGTCAAAATGGTTTTTCCAGTTTGTCACTATGAAATTTAAAAACCATAGCCCAAAAAGAGTAGAAAATGTTAACATGTTCTATGTTATCTATGTATACAATAATAATAAAACTATATTGCCAGCAATTTGAATTTAAATGTCAGTATCATAAAATTGTCCACAATCAATGACTTTTGTTGGCAAAAATAATGATCAGGATTTTGTTTTCCTCCTGCCTGAAATTCGCCCTCCCCAGTTCTATCTGGATCACCCCTGTAGCCCCAGTACCTGGCACAGGGCCTGATACATAGAAAGGGTGCAGTAAATATTTGTGGAGTGAGATAAGTAAGTAAAAGTTAATCTAAGAAAATATAAAGAAGTTTCTTTGACTTGAGGTTAGCCTACAGATGAGAAGAGCATGTAAAAAGGGCTCAATTATCTTTTTGTGTCATGAATATATTAGATATTAACTTTCTTCTTTGTCACTTCAATTAACAGTAAGATGTCTAGGAAGTCTTCTCTAAAAAGAGTTTCTCTTTATTTTGTTTCATATTTCCAGATAGTCACATCCATGCTTTTTAGCTTTATGGACCTCATAAATGTAATTTGATAATAAGGCTAACAAGGATTTTAGGAAATTTCTTTATAAAAACTCCTGATAGTGTAGTACCCAGAAAAGATTACAAATGAATAATATTATTTCATTTACTCAGTGCCAGGCCCAGTTTTCTGAGCCAGATCCAATGGAGAATAGAACAAGCTTTAGCCTTCATGGAGCTTACATTTCACAATGAATAAACAAACAAACAAATATATACAATTTAATGTCAGAAATTGACATAGTAGGGGGTAGGGAATGATAAGGGCTCTGCTTTCTTTCAAAAGTAAGGTCAAGGAAGACTTCTCTGATAGGAAAGTCAAGGGAAGGCTCTCCTGTTGAGGTGACATTTGGGCTAACTTAAGATAACTAATTTAAGCCGTGCAAATATCTGAGGGAAGGGCTGTCTAGGAGCGGGAACAGCAAGTGCAAAGGCCTTGTGGCAGAAACACGCTTGGCAGCCAGCTCGGGAAAGTACGAGAAGGCCAGTGGGGCTGGAGCAGAGGAAGCTGTTGGAAACATGGTAGGAAATGAGATTCCAGCAGGTGAGCTCATGAAGGATCTTAGAAGCCATGCAAAGTGGGATAGGAAGCCACCATAAAGTACTTCAAATATTTTTATTATGGAAGGCTTTCTTTTCCTCATATGCAAAAGTAGAAAGAACAGCAGAGTGTCTTTCTACTTTCTGCTGTCATCACCCACCTTTTCAAATCTCAGCGCATGACCAGTCTGGCTTCATCTGTCCTGCCCCTTCCCCCAGTAGATTTTGAAGCAAGTCCCATACAGCATGTAATTTCATCTGTAAATATTTTGTGATTTTTCTCTTAAAGATAAGGGCCTTTTTAAAAGTTAGCATAACCACAGTACCATGATTGTGCCTAAAAAACCACAGTCACTCCTTAATATCATTACATATCCAGTCAGTAGTTTGGATCTTGATTTAAGAAAACCAACTTTAAGAAGTTGGTTTTTAAAAAAACCATTGCATACCAAGTGCAACAATGGTTCACAATTAAGAAAAAGTTTGTTTTTTTTTAAAGTTGGTTTTCTTAAATCAAGATCCAGACAAGGTTTGCTGATTGCATTCCTATCACGTTGTTTAGAATGGCCCCTTGCTGCCTGTTGCCTGTAACTGATAGTTAGATCTATAGCCTTGATTAGATTCAATTTTTTCTTTTTGATCAAGAATCCTTCACAGGTGATGTGGTACTTCCTAGTGCATTATATCAAGAGGCACAAAATGTCTGTTATGTTTTATTTTGTTTTTGTAATGATCCAATAAAGATCATTCCCTACATCACTGAGGGTTAAGTTTCTAATTCCATAATTTATTTTGCACTTACTGGTTGGAATTATTCTAAAAACAATAACAACAACAAAACCAAAACTTTCCCTCACCAGCTTTTCAGCTCCCCTGAGGTATAGTCCATTCAGGAAAGATAGGAGAAATGCTTGATCCTCTCCTTTTATCCAGCCTGATGGGTTGTGATTAGGGATGACACAATCTGACTTACATTTTAGGACCACTCTGGCTACCAAGTAGAGAATAGGCTGAAGCAGGGCCACGTGAGGCATCACCGCTAGTAGCCTCCCCTTGACATTCATTTTCTCTTTCCTCATTGGTAAGAGAACCACAATTTAAAAAAATAATTATTTGTAATTGACAAAAATTGTATATATTTGTGGTGTTCAACATGAGGTTTTAATATATATACACATTGGAATGGCTAAATAAAGCTAATTAATATATACATTATCTAATTAATATATACATTACCTCACATACTTATAATTTTTTTTGTAGTGAGAACATTTAAAATCTGCTTTCTTAGCAATTTTCAATTTTACAATACATGGTTATTAACCATGTTGTATAATAGGTCTCCTGAACTTCTCCTTGTCTAACTGAAATTTTGTACCCTCTGACCAGCATCCCCCAATTCTCCAACCCCAGTCCCTGGGAATCACTGTTCTACTCTCTGCTTCTATGCATTTGACTGTTTTAGATTCCACATATAAGTCAGATCACGTAGTATTTGTACCTCTTATGCCTGGCTTATTTTACTTAGCATAATTGCCTCAGTTTCATCCATGTTGTCACAAATGATGGAATTTCCTTCTTTTTTAAGATTACATAGTATTCCATTGTATATATATGCCACATTTTCTTTTCTTTTTCTTTTTAACAGAGTCTCACTCTGTTGCCCAGGCTGGAGTGCTGTGGGGCAATCTCAGCTCACTGCAGCCTCTACCTCCCAGGCTCAAACAATCCTCCCACCTCAGCCTCCCTAGTAGCTGGGATTATAGGCACCCGCCACCATGCCCAGCTAATTTTTTTAAATTTTATTTTTGGTAGAGATGGGGTTTCTCCACGTTGTCCAGGCTGGTCTCGAACTCCTGAGCTCAAGTGATCTGCCCATCTTAGCCTCCCAAAGTACTAGGATTACAGGCATGAGCCGCTGTGCCCAGCCTACATTTTCTTTGTATGTTCATCCATTGATGGACACTTGGGTTGATTCAACATGTTGGCTATCGTGAATAATGCTGCAGTGAACATGGGGGTTCAGGTAGCTCTTCCACATACTGATTTCATTTCCTTTGGATATATACCCAGAAGTGGAATTGCTAGATCATATGGTAGTTCTATTTTTAATTTTTTGATGAACTGCCATACTGTCTTCCATAATGGCTGTACTAATTTACATTCCCATCATCAGTGTACAGGGAGAACCACAAATTTTGATTGGACATTTCTGCCTGAAATAAGAAATTACATTTCCCAGCCTCCTTTACAGCTGCATGTAAGTGTCGGCCAATGAGATGTGAGTAGGACTCCAAGGCACCTGGTTGAAGAGAGCTGACAACAGCAGGAGGTGACCTGTCCCTTCTGCCCTCCTCCTTCTGCCCTGCAGCTTGGCTGTGAAAGAGTTGGGTCCCAGGAATTACTCTGCCCCACAGGGTGACATCGAGGATGGGAACTGCATGCTAGAATGGTAGAGCAGGAATTTAGGAATTTGAGTCTCTGATGACACTGTTGAGCCACCCTACCGACCTGGCCTACCTACCTCTGGACTTCTTTGTATAAGATAAATAAACTTCTGCCTAGTGTAAACTGCTCTGATTTTGCTCTTTTTCCTTTTATAACGTAGCTGACTGATCCCTGATGCATACAGGGGGCAGAGGCTACTATAGTAGTTCAGGTAAAAGATAAGGAAGTTTGGATGAGGGTGGTGACAGTGAAGGTGATGAGAAGTAGGAGGAGTAAGGATGTATACTTTTTTTTTTTTTTTTTTTTGAAGCAGGGTTTTGCTCTTGTTGCCTAGACTGGAGTGCAATGGTGTGATCTCTGCTCACTGCAACCTCCGCCTCCTGGGTTCAAGCTATTCTCCTGTCTCAGCCTCCCAAGTAGCTGGCATTATAGGCACCTGCCACCACGCCCAACTAATTTTTTGTATTTTTAGTAGAGATGGGGTTTCACTATGTTGGCCAGGCTGGTCCCGAACTCCTGACCTCAGGCGATCCACCCACCTCAGCCTCCCAAAGCGCTGAGATTACAGGCATGAGCCACTGTGCCCAGCCGGATGTATACTTTTATTGTACAGCTGCCAGGATTTACTGATGGATCGATGATACGAGAAAGAAATGCACCTAGTTTGAACTGTAGGATTTTGGCTAACAACTGGTCAAATGGTGGTGTCATTTACAGAGATAGGGAACAGAGGAGGAAAAGCAGGTTTGTGAGGCTGGGTGTTCAGTTCATCAACTGAAGTGATTGCTTAAGCCTGCAGGCCATCGGAGCCTCCCTAGTCATAACATCTGAATTAATTGTAAGCCAGCAGAGCAATATATAATGATGTATGATCTAATATAGTCATATTAAGTGCATAACTTCAGAGATTGGAATACATTTTAAGGGACTTGTTTAAAGAACCTTATATTCTTTTATGGGTGTGTGAATTGATTATGAAAAAATTTATAATGCAAATCAAACTTCAAACCTTCCTTATTTGGGAACTTGAAAAGGTCTGAAAACATCTCTCTCAGTATTTCAATTAGCCTCCTAAACTATTTACAGCTGCCTTTAATTCCTTCTAGAACAAGGCAGCGGATATGTGAGTACAGAATAAAATGAGACAAACACTTCAGGATCTCCTCTTATCCTGGATTCAGCAGCATCTTTTGTTCTAGCTCTCAACGCCTCAGTTAATGCTCAGTCTCCACATGTGCCAGGGGCTTTTCAGTTTATAATTCCCAAAAAAACATATGCTGGCTGGATTTGATCGCCTAAGAAAAAGCGAAAATAGTACTTATCTCTTTAGGATTCTGTAGTAATCAGACTAGGCTGTTGCATTGTTGAATTATGTGGGGTTTTCTAAGATCAAGTGTGCTTAGTGCAATTTGTGCTTCCTCATGTCTAGATAGCATAAGTTTTGAGTCTGGCATTACCATCTGGAAACCAGAATCATTTGCAGAGCTAACAGTCTAACAACTCAATTTTTAAAATTTTATTTTTATTTTTGTTTTTATTTTATTTATTTATTAATTTTTTTGAGACAGAGTCTCACTCTGTCGCCCAGGCTGGGGTGCAGTGGTGCGATCTCGGCTCACTGCAGCCTCCATCTCCCGGGTTCAAGCAGTTCTCTGCCTCAGCTTACTGAGTAGCTGAGACTACAGGTGTGAGCCACCATGCCCAGCTAATTTTTATAGAGGCTGGGTTTTGCCATGTTGGCCAGGCTGGTCTTGAACTCCTGGCCTGAAGTGATCCACCTGCCTCAGCCTCTCAAAATGCTGGGATTATAGACTTGAGCCACCACGCCCAGCCATTTTAAAAGATATATTTTAAATAAAAAGTATTTTTGTGGGTACACAGTAGATATATATATTTATGGGGTACATGAGATGTTTTGATGTAAGCATGCAATGTGAAATAAGCACCTCATGGAGAATGGGGTTTCATCCCCTCAAGCATTTATCCTTTGAGTTACACACAATCCAGTTACATTCTTTATTTAAAAATATACTAGCAACCCAGTTTTAATCAATTTCTTGAATCCTATTTATTCCTTTTTATGACTCACTCCTGCCTTAGGACTTGTATGTTTGCAGTTCCCCTTGGCAGGAGCACTCTGTTCCTAGATCTCACCCAACTGGCTCCTTTTGCTGTTCAGGTCCCCATCCGAAGGTCACCTCCTCAGGAAGACCTCTTTAGTTATTCTAACCTAAATCAACCCCATCCGATATTATCACTTTCCTGTGCTTTATTTTCTTCAAAGCCCTCATCACTTTCTGAAATTATCTTGTTCTATTATTATTATCCTTATCAGTATATAGATGGCTAGATGGCTCACTACCAACGAGAGTAAACATATGTTGAATTTTTCCTATATGCCTTACACAAATTGTACTTAATACAAAAGTCTGATAAGGACAGTTAACATTTATTGAGTACTTACTACTTGCTAAATGCTGGGCTAAGTACTTGCCCACACAAGTCCACATCTGTGTCATCTCATGCCTGGACTATAGCAGTGGCTTCCTAACTGGCCTCCCTCTTCCCGCTGCAGTCCGTGGCCCACATAGCAGCCAGCGCTTTTTCTAAAACGTTACTCAGGTTACATCAAGATCAGCTTTCAGCCTTGGGAATGCCTTCAGCCCTCTCACGTCCTAACAATGGCTTACAAGATCTCTGGGATCTGGCCGCCACAACCTGTTGGCCATGTGTCTAACCACACTCCTTCCCTTGCTCCCCTCTGGCCACAGGTTCCAAATCACACTTCCCCCAGACAGCCATCCATCCACATGGCTTCATTTGTCACTCATGTCTCTGCTGAAGTGTCACCTCCTCATAGAGGCCTTTCCTGACCGCCCCCCTCCCCCTCACGCCATGTAAAAGAGCTCTCCAGTCTCTCTGTCCCCATATCATGATTTATTTCCCGTCACTCATCACTACCAAATGTTCTGTTACCGACTTTCCTTCCTTTGGGAAGTATTTGTTGAGTAGTTGCTAGATACTAGGCTCTGTTCTAGGTACTGGGTATACAGAAGGCAAGAAGATGGGCAAATCCCTCTTGACATGGAAATACGGGGGAGACATGCACTACACTCACTGGGGAGGTAGAATATACGATATACTAGATGGCTCTGGGCAAGACTAAAGCTGGACAGAAGGTAAGGGAGTGATGGGGCAGGAGAGGGAGAGTTCCATTGAAAATAGGGCAGTCAGGGGAGGCCTCGGGGAGACAGTGGATCGCCGTGCCAAGTGCTGAAGAGGTGAGGGGGTGAGCACCATGAATAAGTAGAGGGAAGGAGAGAACATCATGTGCAAAGGCTCTGAAGGGGAAACCTGTGGCTGCAGGGGGAACCAGGGGAGAGGAGGAGATGTGGCCAGAGAAACGATGGGGGCACCAGACCACGGGACCTTCGCAAGTGCGCCAGCCTCAGCCTAGGTACTTTTCAGCGGAGAAGCAGCCTGAGCTGACTTACATTTTTACTGGGTCCCTCTGACCCTTGGGTGGAAAATAGACTTTAGGAGAGCAACGGTTGAAATAGAAAGTCCTGTTAGCCTGGGAAAGATCGGAGTGGCTAGGACCAGGGTGGCGGGGGTGGAGGTGGTGAAGAGTGATTACAGTTTGGATATATTTTGAAGGTAGATCCTATGGATTGTATCAAGAAATTGAGAAACAGAGCATGAAAGGATGCCTCATTTCAGGGTTCTAAAGCCAGACCGCTGGAGAGATGCTGCAGTTGGAGAGAGGGTCAGACCTTAGCTGTCTTTGTGGAGCCTTTGTGGGTACTAGAAAAAGGTTCCCCCTTTGGGCTGAAGCTGTTTTGCCTCCATTCCTGGCCCTCAGCAGAAATCTTTATGCACAGTAGCAGGCAGTGACATTCATCAGGAGCTTTGGTTTGGGACATAAGTTTATATCCAATGAGATGCTGACTGGGCAGCTGGTTATGAGTTTGGAGCCCAAGGGGACAGATAGAACTACAGGCGTAAAGGCTATTTGTGAGCATTCCTGGCAGTTTTAGCTTTATATTTATTTATATGTGAGTTGCACTGTACATTACATATCCTTTATTCATCTGTTCATTGTCTCCTCCATCCTGATGTGAGCTGGAGGAGGACCGTGACCATGTCTGCATTTCCTAATTGGTTGTATTCCTAGACCTAGCACAGTGCTGTGCTGGCACCTGGGCACTTAATGAACATAGTTGAATGAATAAACTGGGGATGCCACTGCTTTATGCTTGTCCTGTGGCTTCATGAGGTTGAGTATGTGGCCAGCCCTGTATGCCAATTTGTATGCCAGATGGTCCCATTCTTATTCTATGTCCAAAGCCCAAAAAGAGCTTTTTTTAAAACCTCCACCACTTACTACCGTTTATCACATGGTTACCAAAAGGAAATTTCTGTTCAAAATGACTTTTCATTAATCAAGACTCCTTGCAGCTAAAACACACAATAAAAGGATGAGAAAATGAAGGAAAACAAAGCTTTTTTTAGATATCAGATACCTTTTATGGTGACTTCTTTTAACTTTTTCTTTGCTACATTGCAGGCAAATATGCTATTTCTATCTTATGAGATGGCATAAAGAGTGACTTTATTCAGCATTTCTGTTGCATTTAAACTCATGACTGGAGAAGAGAGATGCCTAGGGCCTCAGCATTTTTATTTGGAATGGTCAGAAATGGCTTTGTGCAAGAAGTGAGGTTTCAACTGACTTACGCATCAGTTAGCTAGTTCTGTATGATTACAAACAATCCCACATTTAGTGGCTTAAAATAATAAGCACTTATTATTGCTCACAAGACTGTGGTTCAGCTGGGTGGTTTTTCTGGTGTTGCCTGGGCCCTCTCATCAGGTAGGGAACTCTGCTTATTGTGGCTAGGCTCACATATCTGGGGATCAGCTGGCTCTAGGCTGGTCTAGCATGGTCTTGGTTGGAGCATCCAGGTGCACATCCTGCAGTAGGCTGGACCAGGCTTGTTCACATGCCATTGGCAGGGTTCCAAGAACAAGACTGGGTAGACCCAAAGCTTCTTGAGGTCTCAGCTTGAAACTGGCATAGCATAACTTCGGCCACCTTGTATTGCTGAAAGCAAGTGGAGTGGAGACTCATTACTTGATGGAGGAGCTGCAAAGTCACATTGCAAAGAGTATAGGCAGAAAGAGGCCATTAGTTAGAAACATCGGCCGGGCGCGGTGGCTCACGCCTGTAATCCCAGCACTTTGGGAGGCCGAGGCAGGCGGATCACGAGGTCAGGATATCAAGACCCATCCTGGCTAACATGGTGAAACCCCGTCTCTACTAAAAATACAAAAAATTAGCCGGGCGTGGTGGCGGGTGCCTCTAGTCCCAGCTACTCGGGAGGCCGAGGCAGGAGAATGGCGTGAACCCGGGAGGCGGAGCTTGTAGTGAGCAGAGATTGCGCCACTGCACTCCAGCCTGGGCGACAGAGCGAGACTCTGTCTCAAAAAAAAAAAAAAAAAAAAAGAAACATCATTCTAATACATGGGCTTGAAGGAGAACTAGGGTTTGGAAGGAGGACCTGAGGGAACTGTTGTGAATCTTCTTGGATCTACAGGAGAAATGGGCCTGGCCTTCCACTGACCTTCATCCTACCTCCCTATTGCCTGACAGACACATGAAGCATAGCTTCTCTACCAGCTGTAGGTTTTAACACTAGATCTGTTCTCTCTCTCTCTCTCTCTCTCAGAAAAGACAATCTCATTTGAAAGTACTTCTGTAATTGTTTTAAGATGTTTTCATAGAACTATACTAAAAGTTGTTTTGCAAAATGCCTCTCATCGACCCTTTTCTTGAACAGTTATCGTGATCATGTTGCTTTTTCCACAAATAATGATCATACCCTTCCCTTGTAGGATTACGCCCATACGTTGACCTGTGTTACTGAAAGAGAAAAGTTTATTGTACCCATCAAAGCTAGAGGGGCACGAGCCATTCTCGATTTTCCTGACAAGCTGAATTTTTCCACTTGTCCTGTCAAATACAGCACCCAGAAGATTCTGCTGGTACGAAACATTGGCAACAAAAATGCTGTATTTCACATCAAAACTTGTAGGTATGCATGCCTTTAGCTCTTGTCTTTGATTGATTATAGCTAAATCTAGTCAGCTCAAGTAATTTGCTACCATAACATTGGGGGGTGGAATTGCTTGTTACAGTCTTCAGTTGCAAAGCTGGGAGACCTCACTGATGTAGGGTAGACTTCCTCTTCATCCTCAGAGGAAACAAAAATTCAAGGTTTAATATCTTATATCCATATTATACTAAATCCTCTTTTTGGTTCTTCAAAATGCTGGATAAAAGTCCTTCTTTTAGTACAGAGAATGGCCCATGAGAATATAGAAATAAATTTGTCTTGACTGAGAATTTTTATAACTGGCTTGATTAGTTTTCTGTTGCCATTGTAACAAATTGTCACAAACTCAGTAGCTTAAAACAACACAAATTTATTATCTTACTTTTCAGTGGGTCAGAAGTTGCACTGGGCTAAAATCAAAGTGAGAGCAGGGCTGCATTCCCTTCTGGAGGCTTGAGGGGAGAGTACATTTCTTTGCCTTTTCCAGTTTCTAGGGGCCACCCACATTCCTTGGCTCATGGCCCTCAGTTTTCTTCTCTGAAAAATGGGGAAAAGTATACCAGCCACTTCATAAGGTTGTTGGGATAATCAACAGAAACTGCTGGTATATATCAAGTGCTGTATAATCGGTGTTTGCTCTTTTCTTTTTCCTTCAAATGAGCTATGGCCAGTGTGGTAGACAGAATGATGGCTCTCCAGACATGTCCATATCCTAATCCCCAGAACCTGTGACTGTATCATGTTGTATGGCAAAGGGGAATTAATATTGCAGATATAATTAAATTTGCTGATCAGCTAATGTTAAAATTGGGAGATAATCCTGGATTCACTGGATGAGCCCAGTGTAACCAACAAGGGCTTTTAAAAATAGAAGAAGGAAGCAGAAGAGTTCAGCGTGGTGAGCTGTGAGAGGGACTCAATCTGCTGTTGCTGGCTTTGGAGGATGAGAAAACCGAGGGATAGAGAGGTCACATCATTTCCTGAAGAGCACAGAGCTAGTAAGTGATAGAGCTGGATTTTAATCTGAGTATTTGTGGACTAACCACAGTGTAGACACCATGGGACAGTATAAAGCAGGTGTCCCCAACCCCCGGGCCATGAACTGGTACCGGTCCAGTCCGTGGCCTTTTAGGAATCAGGCTGCACAGCAGGAGGTGAGTGGTGGACAAGAGAGCAAAGCTTTATCTGTATTTACAGCTGCTCCCCATCACTAGCATTACCGCCTGAGCTCCGCCTCCTGTCAGATCAGCCGCGGCATTAGATTCTCATAGGAGCACACACCCTATTGTGAACTGTGCGTGTAAGAGATCTAGGTTGCATGCTCCTAATGCCCAGTGATCTGTCACTGTCTCCCATCACCCCCAGATGGGAACGTCTAGTTGCAGGAAAACAAGCTCAGGGCTTCCACTGATCTACATTATGGTGAGTTGTGTAATCATTTCATTATATATTACAATGTAATAAGATAGAAATAATGTGTGCAATAAATGTAATGTGCTTGAATCATCCTGAAAATATCCACCCCACCCCCAATCTGTGGAAAAATTGCCTTCCATGAAACTAGTCTCTGGTGCCAAAAAGGTTGGGGACTGCTGGTATAAGAATGATGAAACAACCCCATCTCTCAAGGACCTCTCTTATAAGATGGGAAAGAAGGATTTGTTTTGGGGCATGAGAGCAAGTGGCTGACCAGTGGGGTCTTAAAAAGAACAACCAGCTTGGGAAGACAGGAAGCAGGGGTTCAAGTTCTTTTCTATAAAAAGTGGTATGTATATACTGGATTTAAGTTCTGTTTTTAAAAAGTAGTGTGTATATACTGGATTTAAGTTCTCTTTCAGAAGGGCATTATCTGTGGCATCCTTTGCTGACTTAATGACTCATTTGTCCAAAAGGGATTAGAATTTGCTTCTACTTGATTCCCAAAAGTTAGGCTACCATGGAGTACTCTTTTGGTAATTTCCTACCTTAGGAGTTCCTGGACTGATAGCTCATATGCAAATCCCACACCTTCATAAGACACAAGTTCAAGTTATGAATGTCCTAGAGAAACTTTGTTCCTTTAATTAAAAACTCAGATACACACTTTTTCTTTTGCTGATGGGAGTGTGTTTGGGGAGTCCTTCACATTTCTCAGGTTTATACGGGGATCTGGTACCAGTCCCCTAACTTGACCATTGTGAGGCCTTGTCTCCGGCTCCAGCAGGGCTATTAAAAACCCAGGCTTCTGGGCTACTGGGAACCCAGGGCAGACCTATCATTAGCTCAGTGGCTTACTGCTGTGGTTCTTAGGTTCCTCTTTGTTTTGGAATGGTATGAGTTTTTCTTATTTTTGTGCATGCTCATTTATGCATTTATTTACATTATCTTTTATCCAGTCTTTCTAGGTATTTTCTGGTGGGAGGGTTTTCAAGTGACCCACTTTGCCATACTGTGGGTAGCAGCACTGCCATATTGCCAGTTGAGGGCACATCCTTTGGGAGGGAATTTGTGTTTATTTCTCCAAGTACTCTAGGTGAATCACTCTCTCTGAACTATTTCGTGTAGATCCACATTTCTGTCTGATATCCTATTTCTCCTGGCTTAAAACTACCTTTAATATTTCTTGTAGCACAAGTCTACTGTAAATTCCCTGTTTTTGTTTATCTGGAAAAAAGTGTTTATTTTTCCTTCATTTTTGGAAGATATTTTTTTTCACCATATAGAATTCTGGGCCAACAATTATATATATATTTTTTTCCTCAGTACTTTAAATATGTCACTCAATTGTCCTTTGACTTACATTTTTCTAATGAGAAGTCTGCTGTGATTCTTATCTTTGTTCCTCTGTATGTAATTGTCTCTTTTTCTTGGGCTACTTGCTGATTTATTTGGTTTTTGCAGTTTGGAAATGATGTGTCTAGGTGTAAGTTTTGTTTATGTTTTGCTTTTTGTTTTAAAGATTTTGTTTTGCTTTTGCTTGGTTTGGGTTTTAATTTTGCTTGAGGTTCTCTGAGCTTCCTGAATCTTTCATTAATTTTGGAAAATCTCAGCTATTATCTCTCCAAATTTTTTTTTTGTTCTATCCTCTTTCACTTTTTCTTCTGCTTGCAGGAAAGTTCTGCCTGCCACAGGCGAAAGCCACAGTCTAAACCGTATGTGCATATCCCATCCCCCTCGGGGGAAATGGGTTGGTCTGTCTTTAGATTTCAGGCTATTTGATGTGCTACCTCTGCTCTCTGACAGGCACAAGAAAGGTTGTGATTTTGTTATTTATTTCACTTTTTCTTATGGTTAGGGTAAAAGAAACATTCTTTCCAGCTTTCTGCATTCTAGGTAGAAGCAAGATTCTAAACCACCTTAAATAAATCAACCACTAAAGGCAAAGGAAAAGTTCTTTTGGAACTCAGTGTCTCCAGACATTGGTCATAAATTCTCTACAGGCCTTGTTTGTCGTCTCATGGCAAACCTCACATATTTTGATGGAGGAGAAGGAAACAGGTTGTTCAGCTGGCTTCCCATGAATTAGAAATAACCCATCTTGGCCTGGCATGGTGGCTTATGCCTGTAATTTCAGCACTTTGGGAGGCCAAGGCGAGTGGAGCACTTGAGCCCAGGAGTTTGAGACCAGCTTGGGCAACATGGTAAAACCCCGTCTCTACAAAAAATACAAAAAACAAAAAAATAAGCTGGGTGTAGTGGTCCATACCTGCAGTTCCAGCTACTTGGGAGGCCAAGGTAAGAGGATTGGTTGAGCCCAGGAGCTCGAGGTTGCAGTGAGCCATGATCATGCCACTGCACTCCAGCCTGGGTGACAGAGAAAAACCATGTCTCAAAAAAAAAAAAAAAAAAAACCATCTTTTTCAATTGAAAAAATGGTCTCCCACAACCACCATTCACAATACCCATTAAAAACTGTTACAATGGTATTTTTTTTTTTCTATGAAAAAAAGAATCTACCTAAGGTGGATATGCAAGTGCGGGAACATATCTTCCTGCGCTGTTTGGCTGAATTTGAAAAAAACCATGCCAAAATGGCAATTTCGTATATTTTAGATTCATGTAAATGTGAAGCAAAAATCACTTCACAGATTTAATAGTGTGAAGTTGCAAAAAAAAATATAAAATCTTTCTATCTATCTACCTATGAATATGAATTATGTTTTCCTAATATAGAAACAATTCTAAGGTAAAATGGGAGGCAACTCAGGGACTGGCCAGGATTTGTCAACAGTAGACATGCTGGCCCAGCATTGCCATTTTACTGTGAAGGGAGTAAAGCCTGAGGAGTTAAATGACTTACCCAAACTCCCCCAGTAAGTTAACATCAAAACCTGGATTCGTGCAAACATGGGCTAGCTCTGGGCTTGTTTGCCCTCAGGTACATGTCTCACCATTCCCCTGCGCTGCTCAGTGTCCCTGTGGGGCTTCCTGAGCCTTCCTAGCCTCCTGGCTCAGCCAGATTCCAGCTAGGTTTGACCAGTCAGGGACACTAGCAGGAGACTGGAGAGTAGGAAGAAGGAAGAAGCCTCTTCCCTCTTTGTCTTCAGCAGAGTCCCCAGCCACCACTGCACCTCCTCCATGGTTCTAGCCACTGTCAGGCTGGCCTGCCACGGTTCTAACTTCTGCCAGGTGACCCTGGTCCCCAGGATCTGATAACACTTCCTCCTCTCCTTTTGCTTCCAGTCCAGGGGTGGAAAAAGCTTACCGCTGTTATGAATCTCGGAGCTGTCTCACCTTCTTCAGTTGGAGTTCTCACCTCTCCCATCTTCTGTGTAACCAAGTCTCTCAAATTCCCTGTTTGCAAATATTTTTGTTTTCCTGTTTAGACTCTTCATGAAATAATGGCTTTATGTTTTCTCCACAAAATGCATGTTTTTCAACTATCATTGATTCTGTGAGTTGCCTCAAGTCCTACCAGTCAGTCCCTTTTCTGTTTAAATTAGCCACAGCTGGCTTCTGTTGTTTGCAACTGAGAACGCTGATGGCTTCAATGAGAAAGAATGTGGTTGAATTTGTGGTCACATCATATTGAGTTAGAATCTCTAAGGAGATCCCCTGACAAGGATCCGTTCTAAAAACCACACAGATGTTTCTGTTCCTAGACAGTGTTCTTCAGTTAATATGGTTGTTAATAGACATGGTAGAGCAGTGGATATAGTCTGAGAATTTGGAGTCAAAAGCCCATGGTCCTCCCACTTTTAGTGTCAATATACAGCTAGAAATAATGTCCCACAGGAAATTGTTTAAAAAAACAGATCATCCTTTTCTCGTTGAAATAATGATTTTATTAGTGGTTAAGTTTATAAAATGCTTAGGTTCTTATAAATCACAAAAACTAAAACTTTCTTTGCATGTCTGTTACCCTTATTCGAATGTGAGCTTCTCAAATGGAAGGATTGTATCTAACTCTTTTCATTTGTATGTCCCCAGCATCTGTCTAGAATAAATAAACACCCAATAAATGTTTATAAGATGCCTAACCAACAGTATATCACAAAGGCAAAACTACAACTATAAACCTCTACAATAAAATAAAATAAAACACATTCTCCAACTGCTATAAAATAAGCATAATAATTTTACACTAACAAAAGAGGCTGCAATGGGCTGTAAAATGTACAGAGAACATAAGCAATTATTGTTAAATTTGACCTAAAACTCTAGTAGGTATCAGAATAACTTTGATGATTAAAGTAGGATTAACATTGGAAGGTGAAATAGAGAGTATTAAGAAGCAATTTCAAAATCTAAAAACTCAAGTAAGGAATTAAACAAGAAAGATCATCTGAAGAATAAATACTAATATTATATTCAATATTTAATATTGTAGGATCCATATTTAGTCTTCTGCTAAAATATTGAATCATTTGGATGGTTTTAGTTCTTAAGAAGAGCTCATAATTGATGGAACAAAAACTCAAATCTTTCTCATGGCTCATGATTTTTCACAAAACCAAACTCCCTCCATAATTATTTGATATTAATCAAGATATGATATCAAAACCAAATATTTTGATAGACTGAACCATCCTTATACCCTTGAAGAACAACACCTTTTACTTCTTTGTAAGAGCATTTTCTGATACTTGATATTTTCTAGCCCGTTCAGCCTGTCTGCATTTTAGTAAAATGAAGTACAAAATCAAATTATAGACAATGTGTAACCACCAGAACTTGACACACTCTACCCAATTAACATCTGTTAGGCAGCTGTAAGTAGCAATGGCAATCCCAGGTGATTATAACTACTGAAGAAGTTTGTGTAACCTAAACCCAACGATTAGCACAAAGGCAAAGTAACCCTTACCACTCCGTGGAACTTGGATTCCTGGAGGTCGTACAGATGGGATACTAGTATCACTTTTTCTGTAAAAATTATTAATAGTTTAGGTACTGCAATATAATAATATCCAATTCATTTTAAAACTATTCTTTTGCTACCAAGAAATATTTGAAAATAAAATGAAAGTACAATGCAGGAAGAAAAATATTAGGAAGTAGGGAGGCAAAGGATAGAAGTAAATATGGTGGTGTTGTTCCTAAAGCCGGGAAACTGGGCCCAGTTCTCACTTCTTCCGATTCTCACTGAGGCCGTAAGGAAGGAAGAAACTTTGAGACTGGGAGACTCACCGTCACTTCCCACAAGGCACAGATTCTACTGAAGGTTTGCTCCTTCTCATTCCACCACGATGTCATAAACACTGATAGTTGATTACAAATATTTTTATTTACCTTTAAGAGTTTATTGTAATTCAATTAAGAACCTCTTCTGAGAGGCTCCTGAGTAAAGAACCATGTATGGGGTGATGAGTGACACAAAGATGACTCGTGATTGTGTTTTCCCTTCCCTCTCTTCTCAAGAGTTTCTAGCTATTGAGAGAGGCAGGCATGAAAACCAACTCAAGTACAAAGTAAACCACTGTATAAACTAAAAGGGAAGTTATAGTCTCTGAGAGGAAAGAGATACTATTCACAAAAGGGAGAATCAGGAAAGATTCTATTTAAGAGGTGACTTTGAGTCTGGGCTGTGAGAGGTGGCTTCAGAAGGAGTATGGCATGTGGGAAATGGCAAGTCACCTGATGTGATCCTAGCAGTTCCGATTGTCTATGTGGGGGCCACAATCTGGTGGGAAGAGAAAGCAGGTGCAGTGCTGGGGGAGGTTGTGGGTGAAGAGACTAAAGCCTGCCTCCCATCCCACCCCAGCACTGCCTTGGAACATGACAGGTGTATAGGATATTTGGACAGATGTATGTGTGTAATGAAAATGCAAAAACCTACTGGGAGCAGATTGTGTGGGACCTGAAATGCCTAGGAGTTTGAACTTGATTGCACAGGTGATGAGGACCGCTGAAGGTGTTTGAACAAGAGATTGATGTGTTATGACCTGTGTGTGTTTTTTACACTCTCTCTAGAGCAGTGTGAAGGAGTGAGGGGGGAATGATAAAAGCTTGAACTCATCGAAACACCCAAACACATCCACAGATTCATCACACAGCATCTAGAGGCTGCCAGTGAGGGAGATAAAAATAGCCATAACAAAAAGAATAATAAACACTTGTATAGCATTTCCTTTGTGCCAGGCATTATTCTAAGCACTTGACCTATATCAACCCCTTTAATCCTCACTATAACCGTATGAAGTAGGTGCTATCATTACCCTCCTTTTACAGATAAGGAAACTGAAGGTTAGGTGACTTGCCCAAGGTTGTGGCAGAGCTGGGTTTTGAACTCATTCGGTTGGCTCCAGAGGTCAGGCTAGTAACCACTGCCCCAGAGTGCCTCTGCAGCAATGCCTGGGGTTCACTGGTGGATCAGTGCTACAGGTATGGGGACAGGAAAAAGGAAAGGAAGCAGGAAAATCAGGAAGTGAAAGGAGAGGAGATCCACTTATTCATGGGATCTAAAAATCAAAACAATTGAACTCACGGACATAGAGAGTAGAATGGTTACTGGAGGTGGGAAGGGTAGTGGGGGTTGGGTGGGGAGTTGGGGAAGGTTAATGGGTATTAAAAAATAGTTAGAAAAAATGAATAAGACTATTTGATAGCACAACAAGGTTACTATAGTCAATAACTTAATTGTACATTTTAAAATAGCTAAAAGAGTGTAATTGGATTGTTTGTAACACAAAGGACAAATGCTTGAGGGGATGGATATGCATTCTCCATGATGGGATTACTTCACAGTGCATGCCTGTATCAAAACATCTCACGTACCCCATAAATATATATACCTACTGTGTACCCACAAAAAGTAAATTTTTTTTTAAAACTTAAAAAAAGAAAAGAGAGGAGATCAAGTAGAAAGTACCAGAGAAAATAACCAATTGCTCACAGTAGGGAGCACCTGAGGTCCTGTAGTAATACTCTCAGATGCCACCCAGTGCTACCCCTGACATAAACTCTGTATCCTTATAGCAGAAAGCTTAGATTTTCTGAAACTGAGTTCATCATCTAAGGGAAGATTTAAGGAATGACAGCTCTAAGAACTGTTGTGATCGAAGTAAATAATCAGAAACAGCTCGGTCTGCCAGATGCATTACACAACACATTACTTTGAAAAACTAGCAATTTAAAGAAGTGAAATGGACCATGAAAATAATTAAATGGGCTGGGTTTCCTATTTAGGAAGAACTCTCTAAGTTACTTAAGGTATTTCACCATCAGATCCAGCTTCCCTCTTACTATTCTCTTCCAAAACAATTAAACTATTTCCTGTTTCCAAATCAACCCTCACTCCCCACAATGTCTGCATCCCAAATTATATTTTCAAGACACAGAATTTGTCCTCAGTTTGCCTTTTCAAATGCACTCTCCACCCTTCTTCAGTTTGCTCTAGCCCCGGAGGCTGGCTTCTACAGCCTGGGTCAACAGCCCTCGACTCGCATTTCTGGCTCTGGTTGTGTTCACCCAGTGAGGGTCTGGTAGACAATGAGATGGGAGGGGATGTGAGGTCAGGATATTTTTTCCCCATTGTCTTCCCTGGGAGACCACCTGGGCTGCTGTCTCCCTTGGCTACGTCTCCTTGCTCCCCATAAGGCAGCCTTCTCTTAGGCCTCTCCTTGCGGTTTTAAAAACCATGCCTTCTCTCCATGGCTCTTTTGTGGCAGCGCTACTGTTACCACCTGGGCTATTGCATCATCTCCTGTAGTTCCTCTACACCCCTCCCACCCTTTTAATATAGACCCTCTGTTCATCTGTCCTGAATTATCCTAAGGCGAGTGAGGGTGCTATCCCTTTCCTTTTGGGGCTCAGATATATTTTTCCACTATGATGCCCTCTCTCCTGTGAACTCTCACAAAACTCGATTTTTATCCCTTTGAAGGCACTGTTCTTTTGAAAATGACAATATTTGCATACATATTTTAAGTCTGTTCCTTACAGCAATCTCAGTGTTTGAGGACAAAGGCTGGATTTTATTCATTTGCAGTCACCCTAACTTGAGTGCCTGAGCCCAGCAGGGATACTCAATGAATGTTAAAAGCAGGGCTGAATGGCAAGGACACAAACAAGAATATTGTTGCATTGTTTAAGTTGCCCTTACGCTTGCTAATCTAATGCTGTCATTTTAACATTAAAACTAAAGTTCTTTCACATTAGGTAGCAAAAGTCTACTTCACTTCTAGATCATGAAATTGCAGTGCTGGGTCTGAGCTGTCTGCAGAACTAGAACTCCTGTCTCCTTTCCTCCCCGTCTCACACTAGTCAGAAATATGCTCTGATGATGTGCCTCTCTGTGTGTTGCAGGCCTTTCTCTATAGAACCAGCTATTGGAACTCTTAATGTGGGAGAGTCCATGCAACTGGAAGTGGAGTTTGAGCCACAGAGTGTGGGCGATCACAGTGGAAGACTTATCGTGTGTTATGACACAGGTATGCAGTATTCTTTGTTAAAAGTTCTACATATTAAGAAAGGTCAGATGAGAATGTTCTCACTCATAAGTGGGAACCAAGCTACGAGGATGCAAAGGCATAAGAATGATACAATGGATTTTGTGGACTTGGGGGAGAGGGCAGGAGGAGGGTGAGGGATAAAAGACTACACACTGAGTACAGTGTACACTGCTTAGGAGATGGGTGCACCAAAATCTCAGAAATCACTACGAAAGAACTTATTCATGTAACTAAACACCACCTGTTCCTCCAAAAAACCACTGAAATTAAAAATAAATAAATAATAATAAAATCAATTTTAAAAAATTTAAAAAGGTCAGATGGGAAATATGATAAAGCTGAATAGGAAATGGTTATTTTGGCTGCATTCGAGTAAGCTAAGATCCACAAGATAAAAAAAAAAAAATGAATGCCTCCAGTAGAAATGATGTGGAGTCAGAAATCCCCCTAACTGGTGTCCCCAGTGCTTGAAAGCCTGAGGAATACAGGACTCAGGAAGGAGCCCATCCCCAGGAGCCACACTGGTGGATTGAGGTTGTCTGTATATTAAAATTTGCAGGTAATTTAATGCCCCATGGGTTTTCCATTTGACTTATTGTGATATTTGTCTAACATTTTAAAAATGTAAACCCCAATTCAGAATGTTCTTATATGTGCCCACTAGTCTATTAAGATCCAGTTACTTTAATCCTTAGAACATGCAAATATCCTACATAACATCTTACAGGAATATAGGACTGTATCTGTTGCCACTAGTATTTTCTTGAAGGCCACACCCTCCATAATCACGAAAATTACACATTGTTGCAAATATTTAATTTATGGTCATGTAGATGGCATGTACATTATGCAGTCTCCAAAGTTGGCTTCCAAATTAATATTTTACATTGCCATTTATTATTTTATGCTTTTTCTCATTTCCTTCTCACTTCTGCTTCACCCATTCATGTTGATTGACCCAGATTATCTGCAGAAGGGCGTTGTAGGGAGAAAACAGAGGCGCACAGCCGGGGAAAGAGTAAGCTAAGATCCACAAGATGAAGAACCCACAGAAATGATGTGGAGTCAGATGGAAATCCAACCTAACTGGTGTCATTGATGCTTGAAAACTTGAGGAATGCAGGGCTCAGGAAAGAACCCATCCCTGGAAGTCACACTGGTAGATTGGGGTGATCTGTGTGTAGATAGAAACTTGAAGGTACACCCAGAGAAGGAGCAGCACAAGGCATCTAGAGTGTAGTTCAGAGTTGCTGGCTTTGTGGACGTGTATTTGAGGAGGACGACTCAAGCCCTTGTCTTAGGTCCCATGGTTAAGTGGCCCTAGCTCCACATTGCTCAGCAGAACAATGCCACAGACCAGCCAGTGATGTGGTCTATCTGTTTTGTCTATTAGTTTTAGCCACACTCGTTGGCTGCTAGCAAGAGAAACTAGCTTAAGAAAAGGGGGAATGTTTGACCCATATAACCAAAGGGTAGAAGGCTGAAAGCACAGCTCATAACACATTGGGGCATCAGTTTTCCAAGATAGTTGTGTCATTTTACATTCCCACCAGCAAGGCATGAGAGTTCTAGTTGCTTCACATCCTCACCAACATGTAGTGCTGTTTTGTCAATTTTAGACATACTAGTGGTGTAAAGCGATGTCTATCAGTGGTTTTAATTTTCATGTCCCTAATGATTAATGATGTTGCCTGCCTTCTCAGGTGCTTACTGGCCATTCATTTATCTTTTTAAGTGTCTGTTCAAGACCTTTCTTTGCTTATTCTTTTGTTATTAATTTGTAAGTACCTTTTATTACTCAGTATTCTAAATACTAGTCATTTGTCAGATGTATGTATTATTAATATTTTCTCCAAGTCTGTAGCTTGCCTTTTCATTTCCTTGATAATATTTCTTAATAAGCAGCGAGTTTGAATTTTGACAAAATCCATGTTACCAGTTTTCTTTTCTTACAAGATTAACACTTTTTGCCTCCATGCTAGGAAATCTTTGCCTTCTGCAAGATCATGAATATAATCTCCCATGTTTACTTCTGGAAGGGTTATAGTTTTAGCTCCTGTCTTTAGGTTAATGCCTCATCTTTTATTTAATTTTTGTGTATGTGTGATGTAGAGGCCGTGTGTCATTGTTTCCCCATATGCATTATTTGCTGTTTTCCGTCTTGTTCTGGAATATGGAATACTCTATTATTCCAATACTTAATCTATTATTGCACTGTTATTCATTCATTTTTACCTCTATATTTTCCATTTCTTTTCCTCTGTAGACTGATCTGGATACTTTCTTTTTATTCATTATTCCATTCAATAATCCCCTCTTCAGTGAAGTCTCACCTGCTGAGTTTTAACTTTTTAATTATTATTATTGTTTTTATTTCTGGAAGTTTTATTTAGTTCTTATCAAATCTGACTGCTCTCCCCTCTTTTATTTTTCAAGTTTCCCTTTGATTTCTTAAATATATTAAATGTGGTTTTTTTATATTTTGTATCTGATAATTCAAATTAAGTCTACTTATTTAGTTTGCTGTTTATTGTTTCTGCTGGTTTTCAACCAGGGTATCTTATGTCTTTTTGTGTTTTGTGATTTTTGGATTTGAAATTCCAACTCTGGGCAGGCCCTGAACTTTATCTGCTGTCCTCGGCACATAATGCAATCTTTAAAGCAGAAATCCGAAGGTTCACAAAAGCCATTAGGGCAAAGGCTAGCCTTGGCACTAGACTATTTCTTGGTATGCTTGTCTTCACATTGATGTCCTTATTGTCCTATCAGGTTAGTGATCAATTTAAAAGTATTTGTAAAAATATTTTCTCAGCCGACTGCGGTGGCTCACACCTGTAATTCCAACATTTTAAGAGGCTACAGCAGGAGCATTGCTTGAGCTCAGGAGTTTGAGACCAGCCTGGGCAACATGGTGAAACCATGTCTGTACTAAAATACAAAAAAATTAGGCAGGCATGGCGGCATGTGCCTGTGGTCCCAGCCACTCAGGAGGCTGAGGCAGGAGAATTGCTTGAACCCGGGAGGCGGAGGTTATAGTGAGCAGAGATTGCACTACTGCACTCCAGCCTGGGCAACAGAGCAAGACTCCATCTCCAAAAATAAAAAATAAAAAATAAAAAATAAAATAACCATTCTTGTACACATCGTGTGTGTGTGCGTGTATGTGTGTGTGTGCAGATATACATATGTTTTTATTTCTCTTGGGTAAATATTTAAAAGTAGAATTGCTGAGTGATATAGTCATCATATGCTTAACTTTGTAAGAAACTTCCAAATGGTTTTCTAAAGTGGTTGAACCATTTTATTTATATTCCCACCAGCAATGAAGGTATGAAATTCCACATTCTCATCAACTCTTGGTCATGTCAGTCTTTTAATTTTAGCCATTCTACTCGGTATAAAGTGGTACCTTATTTTGGTTTTAATTTGCATTTTTCTAATAATGAATGATGTTGAGTGTCTTTTCATGTGCTTTTGCCCATTTTGATGTCTTTTTTTCTGAAGTACATGTTTAAGTCTTTTGCCCATTCTTTATGGGGTAGTTTATCATTTTGTTGTTGACTTGTAGTTTTAAAAAATATATTCTTGGCCGGGCATGGTGGCCTGTAATCCCAGCACTTTGGGAGGCCAAGGTGAATGGATCACGAGGTCAGGAGTTCAAGACCAGCCTGGCCAACATAGTGAAATCCCATCTCTACTAAAACTACAAAAATTAGCCGGGTGTGGTGGCATGCACCTGTAGTCCCAGCTAATCAGGAAGCTGAGGCGGGAGAATAGCTTGAACCCGGGAGGCAGAGGTTGCAGTGAGCTGAGACCAAGCCATTGCACTCCAGCCTGGGTGACAGAGTGAGACTCCATCTTAAAAAAGAAAAAGAAATATATATATATATATTCTTTATATAAGTCTTCCAGAAATAATTATTGTGAATATTTTCTCACAGTGAGAAATTAATTTTCTTAATGTCTTTTTATTAGCAGAACAATTTAATTTTGATGAAGTACAGTTTATCTATTTTAATTTTATAGCTAGTGTGGTATTTTTTCCCAAGCTTATTTTCTAAATTTATGTGGCTTTATTAAACTACAGTTAAGTTTTGTATATTGAGCTTTTATCTGCAGACTTTGCTAAATTTACTTCTGACTTATCTGTAGATGATTTTGGATTTTGTATATACACAAACAGGTCATCTGCAGATAATAATAGTTTTTATTTTGTTCAATCCTTATGCTCTTCATTTCTTATTCTTTCTTCCACAGGCTAGACATTAGTATGCTGTGCATTGGAAGTAATGACAGCAAATATCTTTCTCTTGTTCTCAGTCTCAGAAGAGAAGTGCTCAGTATTTCATCATTTAGTATGACGTTTGCTATAGGTTTTTATTGGAGACTCTATCAGGTTAAAAAAATTTCCTTCTATCTCTAGGTTTCTAAGACTTTTAATCTTGAATAGATGTTTAATTTTGTCAAATACTCTGCATTTGTTGACATGATTGTACATTATTTCACCTTTATTCTTCTAATGCGATGGTTGATTTTGAAATGCTAGATTCCTGCTGTGTTCTGGGATAAACTCAAGTTTGTATATTATCATTTTAATACATCATTGGATTATATTTGCTAATATTTTGTTCAAGAATTTGGCATCCAAATTAATGAGAAAGATTGGCCTGTAATTTTCTGTTCATGTAATGCCCTTGTCAGAACAAAACAAATTGGTCTCATAAAACAAGTTGGGAATTGTTCTCTCTTCTTAATTCTCTAGAGAAATTGTTTTAGAGAGTCATGTTATTTCTTCCTTAAATAATTGAAAATTTTATTCTTTAAGCCATTTGTTTAACCTCACTTTTTAAAAGGGGGGCAGCTTTTTAATGATTGATTCTGTTAAACTTTTTCAATAAACTTTTCCATTTAATCTAAAATCTTAAAATTTTGGCATAAAGTTGTTCAGAACCCTTCTTAATCATTGTTTGCTATAGGATCCTTGGTGATATCTCCTCTTTTCTTATTGGTAATTTGTATCCTCCTCTTTTTTTTTTCTTGAACTATATTGTTAGGGGTTTATCAGTTTTTTTTAGTTTATTCAAAGAACCAACTCTTAGTTGATTATTTTTATTGTTCACTTCTCAATTTCATTGATTTCACCTCTTCATTTTTTCAGGCCTTCTACTTTCTTTAGGTTTGATTTGTTATGATTTTTCTAGATCTTAACAGGGATGCTCAGAATATTGATGTTCAGCCTTTCTTCTTTTATAATACATGCATTTAAGACAATACATTTTCCTCTAAAATTGACTCAATCTTCAGCCCATATGTTTTTACATATTTTGTTTTTAACACTTGATTGAAAATATTTTAGAATTTACATTTTTATTTCTTTTTTGACACATGGGCTATTTAGCAATGCGTTGATTAATATTCAAACATTAGGGAATTTTCTAGGTCTCTTTTTGTTATTGATTTCTTGTTTAATCCTACCAGTGACAGAAAGCAAGTTCTATACGATTTCAGGCCTTGAAATTAGTTGAGACTTACATTATGACCCAAAATATGTTCCATTTTGGTAAATGTTCCCTGTACGCTTCAAAAGGGTACACCTTCCATAAATGTCAATTAGGTCAAATTTGTTAATAATGATGCCATTCAATCTATATCTTTACTAACGTTTTGTCTCCTTGTTTTATCAGTTATTGGAAGATGTCATTAAAATCCACAACTACAACTTAGGTGTTCCTCTTTTTTGGTGCTAATAATTTTCATTTTATATATTTCGAGGCCATGATACTTGACGTATACACATGTAGGATTATTATAACTTCCTGTTGAATTAACCATTTTATTATAAAATGTCTCAATCTTTAGTAAGATTTATGACACTAAAGTCTACTCGATCTGATATTTATACAACATAGAAGCTTTCTTTTGATTAGTGTGGACATAGTACAATCTGTTTATCCTTTCACTTTCAACCTTCCTCACATTTAAAGTATGACATTTGGAAGCATCACCAATGAGGCTGATTATTAAATCCGGTCTGAAAATCTTTGTCTTTTAATTGTACTATTCAGTCATTTTATGTTAAATGCAATTATAGATATATTTGAACCTCCTGTTTGACTATTAAGTAATTGTTCCCATTATGGTAAAATTATTAGCTGAATTTCAGCCAAAACCATTGTGTTACTGGTACTGATAGTGGATGAAACTGAAGAAACATATGCCTGCTAATAAATATGGTCAGTGATACATTTTTTTTCTCTCTGGATCTCCGTATTTTTGTTGATTTTGCATACATCTTATGTCTTACATCCTTGTTGATTTTGCTTATGTTAGTTGCTGAAACGAAGTGTCAGAATAAATGTGGCCTTAGAATTAGATTTGGGTCACTGTATCACAAGATTTTAAATCAGGAGTTTGAAAAAGAATGAAGCATAGTCAACCCTTTTACTCTTGTTAAAATAATTGTTGGTAAAAATAGTAAATACATTATCTTTAAAATAATTGTTTATTTCATCTTTATCTCATTCTTTTAAACATTTGGGGGTATTTTTAATACATTTGACACATGAGCAATCTAGCATATGGGTATAATTTATAAATAAACAACTCTACATATGTTGGGGTATAATTTCAAAAAACGCTATTTGTTGAGTTTTGAGTTCAGCTGATTTAGAGTGCTTATAGCTCGATAGAATCAAAACTTGAGTGACGACTTCACTGATAACCTCATCTAACCCTTAGATTTTACAGATAGAGAAACTAAAGCCCTAAGAAATTAAGTGGCTCACCCAAGGTCACAGAACTAATCAGAAGCCCAAATAGAAGCCCAGTTAGAAGCCAGACTCAGCCTCTTACCTCCTGGGCAGTGTTCTTTCACTATAGCAGATCGTCTCATCTCCCATATAACTCTTTGTGCATTTGTGCTCTCTTGATGTGCTGCCTTTGAAATGCGGCTGCATTTTGCCAGCCTCCCTGGATATCAATTTTACTTTTATGTAAGCATTTGGAATGACACCCATACTTACATATATACTGCTGTGCTAAAGGAAAGATAGGTTGAACCACAATAAATATTTGTGTATTAAAATTTAATCATTCAGCCAGGGGTGGTGACTCACGCCTGTAATCGGGAGGCCAAGGCAGGCAGATCACAAGGTCAGAAGATCGAGACCATCCTGGCCAATATGGTGAAACCCCATCTCTACTAAAAATACAAAAATTAGCTGGGTGTGATGGCGTGTGCCTGTAATCCCAGCTACTTGGGAGGCTGAGGCAAGAGAATTTCTTGAACCAGGGAGTCGGAGGTTACAGTGAGGCAAGATCGTGCCACTACACTCCAGCCTGGCGACAGAGCTAGACTCCATCTCAAAAAAAAAAAAAAAATTAATCATTCATAGAAAAGTTGGTTTCTACCTCCTGAGGTTCTGATGTTACCTTTGGTGAATGAATAAAGTCATATTCTGAAGATTGCAGAGGTAAACTGTCTTATAGCATTTTTCCTTACATGAAATGAACTGCTGCTAAGAATATGCTTTCAATCTTTATTGTGGGTTGTTAATGACCAGAATCCATAACCTTTCATTAGTGAAAAATGCTAATAACTGCCTAAACACAATTAATCATGAAGCTTTTCCAAGCAGCCATGATCATTGGCTTTTCATTTCATTAAATAAGCATCCGATTGAACTTTCTGCAGCTGTTTGAAATATGAATTTATTTGGGGAAGGAAATTTAACATGGGCTGTTGATGAGTCTTTTCTTTATAATTCCTAAAACAATGTTCCAGAAGGAGCAGCATTGACACTCCTCAGCAGGAAGTACTCAATCACGTTCCTAACAGTGGCATTTGTTCCTTCCGTTTCTGGCCCTCCGCTGAATATATTCTTGATTAAATGAAGTTAGGAGATTTCTTTGCTTTTTCTGACAACCAGAGTTTGAACCAGTGCTCTAGCAATTAAGGAGGTTGAGCATAAAAAAGTTTCAGCAATATCTAATATTTTACCCATTAATGTTTTTCTGAACCAGAATTCTCCCCTCCCTTCTCTTTTCCTCTTTCTTCCTGTGGGTGCCTGCGTATAGTAAAATCAAGTTTGTTTAAGCAGTTGATTTTACCTGAGAAATGATTTAATTATCTTTTTTATTATAGTCTAAAATTGAGAAAGAACTGATGCAAGGTGATACCTTTTATAAACTCATCCCTCCAGAAGAGATTAAAAATACAATTACTCAAGGCTACATTGATAACAACAAAACCAAACCAAAACCAAATCCAAAACCAAACAAATAACTGGAAGTATCATTTGCCTCTGAAGAGACAAACAAATGGTTAATTGCTGAAGTTTTGCACTTTTCAACTGAGTCTTGAGAAATTAATATAATCACAGGATTCAAGGAGATATTACTATTCAGAACAGCATTTCAAAAAAGACATTTGAACAAAATAAAAAAAAGAAAAAGAAAAAAGATATTTGTATTGAAACTTTGGTTACTAGAATGAGTACCAGAAATAGTAGTGTAGGGGGTTTCTTCTTCAATGCCTGATGAGGTTACTCTTCTCACCTTAGAAGTGACATTAACCATTGGCATACTCAGGAAATAGAGTTGATGCACGTATTCAGCGTTTTTTAAAGTATTATGTCTCTTACTGAAGAGGAGATACTTTAGGAGTCAGCAGTTGGCAAGTAACCTTTTTCCCCAAAGGTGTGATGGTGTGTTATTATTAAATATACACACAGTCATAATATTAGTGCTTCACACGGCAGCTTTATAGTAATTTACATATTTTACTCTAGTAAGCTTTCTAAAACCATAAAGAATTTTTCTTTTTTTCCTCATAAAGGCCAATAGAGGCATACCAAAATATAATATAGTCAGTAATTGACTGTAATGTTGCTGCTTTGCAGTTGAAAATGCTAAATAATATCTATCTGAATCTATTAATATCTATGCAGACTTACCCGCATCAACTTTGTTTCAATGGTGGGATTATTATTAATTATAAATGTGTGCTGTTATAACTAGAAAATCTAGCCAAACAGAGGTATTGTAAAAGAAGCAAATGTTTTAACATGGCTTTAGAAGCAATGGAAACATTACTTGACCTTGTTTTCTTTTCTTTGTTTCTTATTCCATAGCTTAGAATAGGAAGTAGCAGAAGTTAAGACACTCTGATTGTCAGGGCTTTAAATGTTTAGGGAAGTGAGATAAGGTTTCTATAAGTTCATAGCAAGTGAAGACTTGCAAATTAGCAGGTGTTAGTATTTAAAGGGACGTTTCTTTAACTCCCTTCATTTTAGTGATAAGTAAACTGAAGCCCAGAGACGTTAAATGACTTTACAGCTCAGTAAAGCTGGAATTTGAACCCAGGTCTTTGGGACCCCCTGAGGCCAGTACACTTTCTGCATTTCACACTGCCTTCTGTGCAGACTGAGAATACCGGTTTTGGCATTGCCACTGACATGCCAGGTGAGCCATCAAGTTGCTTAAGTTTCCTGAACAAAGAGCACTTCCAAAGAAGTTCGGTTCAGTAATGCACTACCGTAGTGAATTTGACCCTGTTGTCACCAAGTGATGAAAAACTTTCCATCAACTTGTTAGTTCCCTGGAAAATCTATGGCTCCACCCATAAATTTAACTTAGTGTCCTCTGTTGTCTGAGAGTACTGAAACCATAGTATGAAGCGTATTATATATATAGTTACCTTCACATTCATTTTTGTAAAATTAGTTTTGTTCATATTTGTTTTTACTTGATTGATGGTAGCAAACCTGGCAAGAGATAGTGAGACCTTCCACAAAATATGTCTGTATTGGGATGTAGTAAAAGATTGTTCCTAAGCCTATCTACAATGATTGCAGCATGCAACTCCGGAAACCAAAAAGGCACCAGTGCGGGAACAGGTCCTCCAAGGACACAAAGAATGCTAATGTTGAGGAACAGCTTCCCCATCCATTCCTGGAGACATGACACCACTTCCAACCACTTCAAAGTAGCTAAGGGTTGGGGAACCTTTTTCAGGTTGTCTCTATAAAAGTAGGTATTATAAAAACCAAATACTTCAACAGCTTTGGGGATAAGAGAAGAGTTATTGCTTCCTTCACTTTGTGGAGCTGATGAGTTTTGGAAGATAGTGGTGAAAAAAATCAATACTGGATGGTTCTTGAAAAAAAATAGCTTTTGCTATATTTCTGGGAAGGAAGACTTTTGCAGTGAGCAGCTCAAATTAATGACATTAGTCTCTCTGACCCCTAGGTTGCGTGAAATAAGCCCTTGGATCTCTTATTCCCTTTGATTATTTTTTTAAACAATGACATATTTCAGATAACCACAAAAACACAGAGAATAATATAATCAACACCTGTTATATGTAACACATCTCAACCTTTTGCCGTACACATTTCTTTCTAGAGGTTTTATTTTTTTTGGATAATCAAACCGATTACAGACCTGAAGCCACTTTGTTACCCTTTTCTGATCTAATTCCCATATCTTGCTCCTCAGAGGAGCTTTACTGGGTGCATTTTAATGCTATTCCTACATATTTACTTATCCATAAACAATATATAGTATTGTCTTGAGCAGTTTTAAAGTTCACATAAATGGTATCATACTGTACATAAAATTCTCCAACTTGCTTTTTTCATTCAATGTTGTTTTAAATATTTAAACACGTAGATACACATTACTCTGATTCATTTTAATGAATGTGCCACATTCCAGTATGTGAAAATTGAATATTTACTTCTTTGCTTCTAAAAACAGTGTTGCATTGAGCAGCTTCGTACAGTGTCTTCTTGGGCAGCTGTGTGAGATTTTCCTTTAGGATAAATACCTACAAGTGCAATTGCTGGGGTGTAGGGCAAAATTATCCTGAGCTTTACTGGATACTAAATTGGCTTGTCAAGTTGTGGCAATTTATACTTTCATCAGAAGTATACAAAAATTCTTTTTCCATATTCTTGCCAATATATTGCTGAAACGATATTATAAAACTGTTTGATTTTTGTTTGTTAATTTGATGGTCATGAAATGATATTTTATATTTCTTTTATTACTAGTGCTATCTTGCAGCTGTACATGTTTCTTAGAGGTCCTGTATCCCTTTTACAGTCAAGTTTTTGGATGGGTCATGTATTTATTTCTTTTGAATGAGTTTCTTTTTCATTTTTAGGTAATCAAATTTCTTAGTTTTTTAGAGGGATCTGGATTTTGAGTCATAGGAAACTTTTCCCTCTCTAAAGTTATGAAGAAATTCTCATTTATATTGTTTTATATATATGGCTTCATATTGAACATTTAAATATTTGACTCACTTGACATTTATTCTGATATAAGATATGAGATATGTTTTTTCATATGGCTATGAAGTTGTCCTAACAATACTTTTTTTTTTTTTACAAATATGTCTTTATACCAATGATTTGAGATACTGCCTTTATAATATACTAAATTCCAGTGTGCATTTGGGTCTGTTTTGACTTCATTCTATTCCACTGATCTGTCTCTTCATGCACTGCTACCATGCTATTAATATTTTAATTACCGAGACTTTACTATATTTTAATTCTATCAATTTCTATTTTATAGATGTTTTTAAAATGCGTTTTGAGTTTTGTCAAATTCTTTTTCAGCATCAGTGAGGATCATACCATTTTTTTTCCTTAGATCTATTGCTACATAAACAGATTTCTAGTAGTGGGACATTATTGCATTTCTGGAATAAATTCCACTTGGTTATGAAGTATCATTCCTTTAATGTGCTGATATATAATGATTAGCTATTTTTATTCAGAAATTTTACATTGTTATTCAGAAGTGCAATTGGCCTATAGATTGGCCTATATCGTTGTTATATCTTTATCAGATTTTAATAACAATGTTATACTGAAAAATACAGTGTTGGAAATTAAGAACTAATGGTATGACTTTAGCAGCAAAATGGATACTGCAAAAGATAGGATTAGTGAACCTGAAGACAGGTCAATAGAAAATACCCAAACGGAAGCACAGAGAGAAATAGAAAAGAATGGGGAAAAAATAGAACAGCCAAGTGGGACACAGTCAGAAGGTCAACATACATGTAACTGGAGTCTCAAAAGTGGAGGAGGAAGAATGGAGTAGAAAATATTTTAAGCAATAATGGCTGAGAATTTTCCAGAAATGATACATGACCTTAATCCAGAGGTTTATAAACACTGAGCAAGCCTGTGGTGGTACAAGTACAAAGAAAACCAAACTTAGGCATATTATGGTTAAATGGCTGAAATCTAAAGCAAAGAGCACATTATAAAAGTACCCAGAGAAAAAAGATACATTACCTTAACAGGAACACTAAGAATACTGATGGCAAAATTTTCTGCTGAAATTATGGAAGCTGGAAGACAGTCAAATGGCACTGTTGAAGCACTGAAAGAAAACAATGCAAATTTATACCACTTTTAAAGTATTCTTTAAAAGTGAAGACAAAAGAAAGATATTTGCAGACAAAAAAAAGCTGGAAAATTTGTGTAGAACTCTTGAATGGCATTGTTTTCACCTTTGTCATATTGAAGATATCATTCCATTATTTTTTAGTTTCCATTGTTTCAGTTCAAAAGTTAGGTGTAATTCCAAGTGTGGAAACTTTAAAAATAATGTTTTTTTCCTCAGGCTGCTTTCAGGATTTTTTCTTTGTCTTTGGTTTTCTTCAGTTTCACTGCAATATATTCAGGTCTGATTTTTAAAAAATTTATCCAATTTGACTTTCACTGGCCTTTTGAACTGTGAACTGATGTCTTTAATTCCAAACAAAATTCTTAGCCATCATCTTTTGAAATACTGTCTTTGCTTCATTATCTCTTTCCTCTCCTTCTGAGAGTTTCCAATTCAATACTTTTAGACCTTCTAACTTTATCTTCCTTGTATCTTATCCACTGTATTTTTCATATATTTTTATTTCTTCATATTGCCTTTTGTGTTTTCTGAACTACCTCCCATTTCACTAATTTGTCATGAAAAATAATAAAATTATTTTATTAAATATTTATTTTGAATTTTTTCTAATTTAGACTATTTTATTTCTGTAGGTCCTAGAGTGTGGCTTTTTTCAAAATTTTTAAAGATCTTATTGATTTTCTATTTCCTACATATGGCTTCAGCAATCCATTTGTTTCTTTAAACATAGTATGTATAATTGGTTCATAGTTTCTATCTGATGATTCCTAGTGTCTGATATTTTTGTGGGCCTATTTCCATTTTTCTTGTACCTGCTGGTTCCAACACATGGAGTTTTATTTCCTTGCATTGCATCATTATGTTTTGGTTATGTGCTTTTTAAACAACATTGAAAATTTTGAAACTTTGGATGCAAGTACCTTTCCCCCCCCAAAAAATTGAGTTTCTTTCACCAAGTGTCTAACCAGTCAATAATTATCAAATTCAAGGTTTGAAGTTATTTGCAAGACATAGGCAATTCCAGCATGGTATTCAACTCTGTACTAAGGCTAATCTACTTCCAGTTCACCCTCATCTTGAAAGCATAGTTCTTTTTTTTTTTTTTTTTTTTTTCTTCTTTATTTGAGACAGAGTTTTGCTCTTGTTGCCCAGGGTAGAGTGCAATGGGACGATCTTGGCTCACCACAACCTCCGCCTCCCGGGTTCAAGTGATTCTCCTGCCTCAGCTGCCTGAGTAGCTGGGACTACAGGCATGCGCCACCATGCCCAGCTAATTTTGTATTTTTTAGTAGAGATGGGGTTTCTCCATGTGGATGAGGCTGGTCTTGAACTCCCGACCTCGGGTGATCTGCCTGCCTCGGCCTCCCGAAGTGCTGGGATTACATGCATGAGCCACCACAACCAGCAGAAGGCATAGTTCTTTGAGTATTAACTTATTTGGAGGAGGGGTTTTCTCTTTGGTTTAAGCCAATTAATTTATGAAAAGGTGTTCAACACCATCCATAATTAAGGATATTCCAATTAAAGTAACAATGAGTTTTCACTTATCAGATTGTTACATTTCACTCAAAGAAAGTTTAAAAGTTGACAAGAGTGCATACCTTTTTTTTGGAAAGGATGTGCATGAAAATATTGACAGTTCTTACCTCTAAAAATCAGACTTGGAGTTAGGTGAAGGGGAGAAATATATTTTTTAGTTTCATTGTATTTGCTTTTATAGTACTTGAAATTTTGACTCTCTATATAAGTTTTTGAAATAAAAATTTTAAAGTCAAATGCCTAGATGCTTACTTTTTCTTTCTTTGGGGAAAGTTTTTTCTGCATCCAAAGTTATTGAGCCTAAAGAACATTTAAAATGTATAAAGGGTTGTTGATTTCCTGAATGACTGGTTCATACAACAGTGAATGGAGCAGAAATGTTTGCTAAAAAATAAGATACAAGTAATGATGCTTTAAAACTTTAGCAACATAAATCAACAAAACATTCATGGTATTTCGATATTTATTTTTTCTATATGATGTCAGAGTAATGCACCTGCTGTGACATTGCAGAGATCAAATCAAATATAGTTTATAGGTTTGTGTCTTCTTGAAAACTCACTTATATACTAAGAATCAAGGTAATTGGTGCATCCTGAATAAAGTCAGGGGCTTAAATTGCTATACTGAATAAAGATATTCCTAATATTTAAAATTTTTAAATTTTTAATACAATTTTTGTCTTCTTTTTATGTGGCCACTATCCAGACATGTCAGGGGTGTGTGTGTGTGTGTGTATGTGTGTGTGTGTTTCTTTTGTTTTGTTTTGTTTTGTTTTGTTTTAATTGCTGTTTAGGGATGTGGTTTCTTTTAAGTAGTCAGTTTTCTATTTTTGAAGTTACTGAATTTTCCCTCCTGATCACTGTTCTCAAATGGACTTAAATTCTCTCATATTGAGCAGCTCTTCTTAAGTATAGTTGGTACAAGCATTTTTAAGAATGACAAATCAAGCTCATGCATGAGCTAAAGATGAGGCATAGAGTAAAATTCTATAACTCGATTGCTCTCCTGGTCAGGCTGTAGGATTGAAAGCTATTTACAAAAAAGAAAAAGTTTTGGAGTGCCCACAACAACAATACATATTTTATATATTTCTTACAATGACCAGGCAAGATAGCTTGATTTTTCTATAACTGCACCAAGCATAATATTTGTTTTCTGATCATATCTTATCTCTGAACTGATGGGGGTACAGTGGAAAGAATGAAATCCTGATGCTTATGCTATTTTGCCTAACTTCAGCTTGAAAAAAAGATAGCCTAGGTGTGTAATTTTAGAATAAATCTTGAAGTGTGTTTGTACTTTGTTAATTCCTAGGTGAAAAGGTGTTTGTATCTCTCTATGGAGCTGCCATAGACATGAATATAAGGCTGGATAAGAATTCCTTGACCATCGAGAAAACCTACATATCTCTGGCCAATCAGCGAACTATAACCATTCACAATCGCAGTAATATCATTGCCCATTTCCTGTGGAAGGTATTTGCTACCCAGCAAGAAGAGGACAGAGAAAAATATAGGTCTGTAACAAAAATCACCTATATGCAGTAATTTGGAGGGGGGGAATGTAAAACTCAGTTATTATGAAAAATTAGTGAATTTTGTACTACATTTTTAGCCAACTCAACCAATGTCACATTTTTCTAACTTGGTTCTGGTTTAAGATCCTCTTTTGAAGCTGCTCATTTGAACGATCTGAGCTGAGCTATGTGGAACAGAATGTCCATCCTGAGTTGATGTAACCTGTTTATAGTTTAGCAGTAATGGAATGCCTAGATTTTGAAGACAAAACCTATCATTCTTCACTATTCTTTCAAAACAAGTCTACCTGTCTCTATTACTTTTCATAACCCTAACTAGGTTGATCAGGTTTTTTTTTTGTTTTTTTTGTTTTTTTTTTTTTTGAGATGGAGTCTCGTACTGTCGCCAGGGCTGGTGTGCAGTGGCGCGATCTCAGCTCACTACAACCTCTGCCTCCTGGGTTCAAGCAATTCTCCTGCCTCAGCCTCCTGAGTAGCTAGGATTACAGGCACCCACCACCACGCCCGGCTAATTTTTTGTACTTTTAGTAGAGACATGGGGTTTCAATATGTTGGCCAGGCTGGTCTCAAGCTCCTTGACCTCATGATCTGCCTGCCTCACCCTCCCAAAGTGTTGGGATTACAAGCGTGAGCCACCATGCCCGGCCAGGTTGATCAGCTTTTATAAAGCGTTCCTAAAAATAATCTATTTTGGATTGGCATCAATGTGGAATTTTTTTCAGTGAAAAGATACTTGTAGAAAATATGAAGATTGAGGAAAAAGAAGGGCTTAGATATAATGGCTTTTATATTCTTGGTTTTAGTAGCATTGCTCCAGTCCCTGCAAGCTATATAAGTTAATAATGATTTCTTATTGGTATCTTTAATATTATGGTTTTAAAAATGGCACTTCAGGCAGTGGAGAAAATTAATAAAATGTAAAACCAAACTGTTGTAGCTAATCTCATCACTGTTAAATTTTGAAGATTTCTTTTTACTGAATCCATGCTTGCCTCTTTTAAGCTCCATTTTCATTTTTATCTCCTTCCAACCTCCCTGAATTAACACTTTTGCTGCTTTCATTGGAATTTATTTCAGCCTTTTTTATTTGCCTTTCCATTTTCATTAAAGATTAGCCCTGGGAAGCTTCAAACTTTGTTTAAAACCAAGTTCGTATGTGATAAAAATAAAAGTCTTAGGTCCGTGGAAACCAGGAAGAACCCCCCCAGTGTGCAGTCCCTAATTGAATCAGAAGCCACGACAATGACAGGACACAGTGGGCCAGAAGCTTTGTCATTCAGACAATGAGCTTTAATCACTGAATTGCCACTGTGCCATCTTTTAAAAAATGAGGAAAGAAAAACCACTTATGCCTAAAATCTTCCTCTGGCTTTATGGCATAGAAATATCTGTGGTTTTAAAAGGCACAAGGAAAAGGATCCAGTACTGCTTCCTTTGCCCTGGTTCCCCGACTCACATGTGCTCACCAGCGATCAAAATGGCCCAACATGCTTGAAGGGAAAGTTGGAAAGGAGATCCAAGTAAAGAAAGTAAAATAGCAAAGTAGTGTTTCAGTATCATTCTTGTCCTGTGGGCATAACCCTTTGTGGAGAGTGAGTACCCATTGTAAGAGGGAAAGCCAGCTTTAATTTCAGCCATGTCTGTGTGTTTGGCTATATGGATAATATGTGATTGATGCCATGCCAATACCAAAAACTATGTAAGGACGTTAATTTCAGCAGTTAAACTCTAAAAAAATTTAAACCAATGGTTATCAGAGATGCTAAACTATAGAGAATATAATTCAGCCACAGTGGATGGGCATTGATTTTAGTTTTTTCCCCACTTCACCTCCCCTGACACTCACACCCCTATCTCTTTAATATTGTCTTTTATTCTTCCCTTTCTCTTGCATCATTTTCTTTTACTATCTCCCTTGCTCTTTCTATTATTTCTTCTGGCAACTTCTTTGTAACAAGGGGAAAAATATAGGATAGCATTTTTATAACCATGATTGGAAACCTGATTTTATCATCTAGAATCATGACCCTCTTTTAACTAATAGACTTGAAAAGTGGCTTCAGATAAATAAGAATACCACCACTTTCACTCTGTGTGACATACAGGGCCAGAACTCCTGTTTCTCCAAACTATTGTTTTATCTCGGTAAAGAGTCTACGACGTGCTTTCCCTTCTCTTCCTCCCACCTCTCTCCTGAGTGCCAGGAGCTTGGCCAAGAGGGAAAAAGGATACCAGTCATGCTGATCTCTTGTTGCACCAGGGTGGCACTTCTTGCTCTTCTCTCCATTGTTCCTCGATACAGCCCAAGCATAATAATAAGAAAGCAAACAACTTTCCTATTATAAGCCGTGAATTCTTGTCCTTGAAGTAACTGTCATGAAATGCCCAACCTCTTGGAAAGGAAGGCAAGTACAGACAAGTTTGCCCTTTACTAAACATTTAACTCCTGCTTTCTGGACAGGGCAGTGGTGCTCTTTCTGTGAGTGTAGGCCCCTCCTCCTCCATGTCACAAATTCTCAGATCGTGTCCCAGGCCACACATCAGGGGTCAAGAAAGCAGAATGTTCTTTGGTAGCTTGCTTATGGGCAGAGACCCGCCCATCCCTGAAAAGCAGCAGCGAGATCTTTAGCGAATGGGGTGAATCCTCTTTTGAGCACCCCAGCAAGGCCTGCAGAGCTGAATCAGGCGTTATTCTCTTGATGTCTCACTCTCTTGCTCATAATGGGGTGCACCTTCTTCCTTTGTTCCCCCTCCTTCAGCAACCTCTATAGTTAAAAGATTTAACTTCTGGTAAACTTTCAGGTCAGACTGAAGAGCCTGTCCACTGTTTTTCTAGCATTTTAACATAGCTTAAAGCATGTCCTGTGGCATTCATCTCCAGGGGCTGAAAGTTGCTCTAAGATCGCTTCAATAATGCTAATAGCTTCAACAGATACACTCAAGTCCCATTCTAGCCATCATGGTTTCTTGTCCTCTTGTATCTTGATGAGCAAAGACTTGGATATCTCTTCTTGCAGTGGAGGAATTTCAGCCCCAGGAATACCAATTCGTTTCCAGCAGTTTACTGTTTGGCCTTCCTCCACACCTACCTCAAAGTATTGCTAAAAACCTTAGGACACATGTCCAGGTTTGGGGACAGAGGGTTGTTCCCATGCTACACACTTGGGCAATGACGTTCCTCCCCGTGGGAAGAAGTTCTGTACTTTAAATTTTTTTTTTTAACTTGATAATCAGATGTATAGGGACCTTTAAAAGGTCACCTTTATTTCTTTCTTTTGATGTTTTCCTGAGACTTGCAGAGAAATTAATCTCTTCAGAGATGGAGGCTGCATTCATCCCTCCTTGCTTCCTCAACCTTGTCCTGAGGGATTTTAAAACATTCTGCAAGATTCTTTCATACTCATTCTTATCACGTTCACTGTATTCAGAGACTTGGCATGGGCTTTAAGGATTTTTGCTCCCCATTTCCCCAGCAAGGTCACAGCCGTTTTCTCAATAGCAGCCAGCTCTAATTCTAGATTTGCTCTGTACAAGAGCTCCTACAATTCTCAAAGGAGCCCCTCAGAGTGGTCAGCATGGATTTATTCTATAATATGCAGATGGAGGAAATGACATGTTTCCTTAGATAAATCAGTTTTAATTGGGCTTTGAGCCTACCACCTGTGTCATAATAAACTTAATCTCAGTTATGTTTAGAGGCCCCTTTCCTTCCCTAGGGTTTATACAAAAATCCGAAGATTTACGTGGTACTGCCAAACAGGGAGAGGATCTCTAGTTCTTCATTTGTAACATTGATCACAGAGTTGCTAACTGTTTAGAGTCACATGATCCATTTTCCATTTGAAGGTGGATGGCTCCATTTGTTCCAGGCCAAGTGTGGACATGGGAGTATTTCCTCTAGCTCTCAAGACCATGGCTCTTAGTTTTTAATCTCCTCAGCATTCAGTTGGCACCTCTTGTGGGTGCTGAAGGGAGCAGATTACAGGCCTTGAGTACCTGAAGATGAGGGACTATTACTCGTTCAACCCTGCTGCACTGGAGACACACATCTTCCCCATTGACTGTTAAAGGTGTTGGTAGCTACTAGACCATTTGTAAAATGGGTTAAGCCCATGGTTTTACTGAAGAGAGGGCTGGCCTGCTGTTATGCTGTCTGATGAAAGGTCTCCTCAT
The DNA here is from genome assembly GCF_000001405.40 of Homo sapiens. Taxonomy (NCBI): domain Eukaryota; kingdom Metazoa; phylum Chordata; class Mammalia; order Primates; family Hominidae; genus Homo; species Homo sapiens. Next base: position 71,132,956 of record NC_000016.10, on the reverse strand, counting down.
CTATAAAAGAGAACCACCTCTGAGTGCAAGAAACCATGACTATCAACAGGACGAGATGGCAAAACACTAGGACTGAGATCTATGGAAGCCCTTGTTGGAGCCAGGCCACATGAAGTTGTGGCTATACACCTCCTCCTTAGACTCTCAGTCCTGGCTCCAATTCTCCATCAGAGGAAGAATCCAGTACCCTCTCTCCTCCCTTTGCCTTCTACTGGCTGTTTTGGAGTTTCAACAGCATGGGAGAAGACCAGCGTTTTCGAATTTGTTTTGTTCTCTTTGTTTTCTGGTACAGGGATTGCATTTCTCATACTCCTCAGTCCATGGAGCACTATCATCTTCATCCTCAGTCCACACAAAGCATTTTATTTATTCTCTTACATCCCCACACCCCACTCCTGTTAATTCCCCCAAAGATACCATTCTAATATGTTACTGTGTCTATCTTTTTACATGAATCTGTTCTTTCAAAATGTATATTGTCTTGGGGGAGAGACAGAGAGAAGTCATATTTTGTATTCCATTTTCTCCTTTTTCTCACGAGGTTGTGTGCTTAAGATCCATTCATGTTGCTATGTGTATATCTAATCCATTGCCTCCACCTTCTGCAGACCAGACCACATTGTGTCACCCCACATTCCACCTGTGCACTCTTCCAGGGGTGGCATCCACAGGCTCATGCCAATGCAGGCATGTTAGGCAAAGGCAACCAGGTCAAAATCTTAGTGCCTCAGCCTGAGAATTAATTAACATTTAATTTCTTAAATGACTTGTTTTCTGGTTTAAAAAGAAATACATTGTGCACTAATAAAATTTAGAAAATATTAAGCACAAAGATGAGGGCAAAAATCCATTCTAATCCTTCCAACCAGGGAAACCACAGTCAATATTTTGGTATGTCTAAGTCTGTATTTTTTCCCTAATAAGTATGTATTTTTCTTTTGCTTTTTTATTACAAAAGTGGGATTATTGTATATGTTACATTTTACCACTTTGTTTTTCACCTTAAAACATTTCAGACATTTGAAAATGATGTTAAGTATTCCATTTAATACCACTTTACTGGCTGCTTATTATTCCCTAATATTCCCTGGATTCCTGGGAGGCAGTGTGCATATTGGTTAGCACCAGGGGATTCAAACCTCCAAAGACCCTGAAGTCCAGGCTATCTTTCAGCTATGTGATCTGGGGCGAGTTACTTAACCTTTCTAAGCCTCAGTTTCATCATCTATATAGTGGGAATGATGCTTATAATGCTAATGACCCTTCTGGTAGTTATGAGTGTTAAATTATATGATGCATGTGCAAAGTTTGACAGGTACCCAATAAATGTAATGTTCATGATTCCCATTTCTGTTCAACCAGTGCTTCATTATCTTACATCAAATTTACCCACTTGATCTGGTATCATTCCAGCACTTTAATGGACATCTTTGTAGCTGTGTCTTTGTTTATATCCATGATTGTTTTTAAGGATTTATTCCTGCAAGTGGAATTTTTTGGTTTCTAAGGGTATATAATCTGTAAGTTTTCCAGATCAGTATCAGATAACAAAAATATCAAATAAAAAAGAAATGGATTCCTTTCTTTCTGCAAACTGAGCTGTCTTTAATTTGCCCTGCCGTGCCCAGCAGTGTGGAAGGAATGCTGCCAGTCACCTTGGACACTGCCTCCTACCTGGCAATAAAAATCAAGCACAAGATGCTTTCTTCCTTGGAACCAGAACACACCGAGCCCATTTCTTTGACTTCTTTTTGCAGTGTGTGATCAAAGCACCCTGAACACATATGTTATTTAAAAAGAGTTATTTGACAATACTGACAGGAGTTGGAACTGGGACAGGAATTCAGTGATCCTAGGCTCCCACTCAGCACTTATGTTGCTAAATAATTTGTCTCTCACCCCTGGTAATACCAGTACAATGATGGGAATATGGTCGTATGTCCTGGGAGGAGATAAAATTCAGTCTGCAAAGTTCAGGAGAAATGTGAACATAGCTCTGGTGGGGGCAATGAGTGGATTGGGGAAAGCTGCTGTTCTCTCTTATCACGATGGATATTAAAAGCTAGAAAAAGAGAGAAAAGGAGGTGCCTTAAGGCATAGCTTGAGCATTTTGTAAGCTGACAGCTTGGCGATTGCCTATGGTTGACAGGGGGAGAAAACCGGTATATAGGCCGGGCGCGGTGGCTCACGCCTGTAATCCCAGCACTTTGGGAGGCCGAGGCGGGTGGATCATGAGGTCAGGAGATCGAGACCATCCTGGCTAACAAGGTGAAACCCCGTCTCTACTAAAAAATACAAAAAATTAGCCGGGCGCGGTGGCGGGCGCCTGTAGTCCCAGCTACTCGGGAGGCTGAGGCAGGAGAATGGCGTGAACCCGGGAAGCGGAGCTTGCAGTGAGCCGAGATTGCGCCACTGCAGTCCGCAGTCCGGCCTGGGCGACAGAGCGAGACTCCGTCTCAAAAAAAAAAAAAAAAAAAAAAAAAAAACCGGTATATATGGAGTTGCCAGCTTTGTCCCAGGAACTGCACTAGAGCCTTGATTACATTTAACCCTCAACACATCTTTCTGATGGAGCAGCTCCTGTGGTCTCTAGAAGGAGAAGGCACTGAGGCTTAGAGGAATCAGGGAACTGCCAAAGTCACAGAGCTAGTAAACAGATCACAGAATTAGTATGCAAACCTAGTCCCTGCCGGCCCCAGGTTCTATGCTCCAGGTAACTAACAGCTAAGAAAGAATTAAAGCTAAGCAAATTTAAAAGGAACAAAATTGTCCTTGCCATGTGAGGGGCAGAATAGATGTTAAATATTTAAAAAGCAGCCTGGAAAACAGGATTACCTGAAAGAAAATATTTGTCCAGATATACATAAGGGCTCAGGAGTAAAGCAATGAGTATTGAATAGGAAAGGAATCCAGGGAGGATCTCTTAAAGAAGGTGGTTGAAGATGAGCAAACAGAGGCTCTGAGAGGTTTGAGGACTGAGTGCAAGGGCAGCAGGTTACAGACTCAGGGCAAGGAGGGACCACCCCAGGGTGGTGGCTGAGGACATTTCCAGGAGGAGGTACTAGAGGGAAGCCCTTTACAAAGTTCTTCATGGGAGTACCCACATGAATCTCACATTGCCTGTTTTCTTTAGGGCCTGTGATGATCTGATCAAAGAGGAGAAGGATGAGACTGATGAGTTTTTTGAAGAGTGCATTACTGATCCTTTACTCCGAGAACATCTTTCTGTTCTGTCCCGAACCTTTGCGAATCAGAGGAGGCTGGTGCAGGGAGACAGCAAGCTGTTCTTCAATAACGTTTTCACTGTGGAGCCCCTGGTGAGCATATAAATAAAAGCTGACCATACAGGAAATGTAAGTGGGAGCACAGGCTTGCTTTGATAAGAGCGCTCACTTGGGGATTGAGACGGTGAGTTGCAAGAGAGTGAAGAGTCCACCTGAAGAAACTCACCATCACTGTGAGACATTATATAGAAGGTAATGGTAAGAATGTCATGGGACACATATATAGGTCACAATTTCCATGCATCAGTCACTGTGTTAACCACTTCCTAGGGATTATGCAGTTCTTCTCATTTGAATATGTATTAGCTTACAAGTGTACAATACAAGATCCCATTAGAATCCCATTCAACAGATGAGGATATTAAGACAGAAATTTTGTGATTTGCTCAAGGCCTAACAGCTGGGGTCAGTGTTTAGAAATCCATCCCTGTTTGGCCTGACTGTACAGCAGGACTTCTCAACCCTGGCACTGTTGACATTTGGGGCTGGGTCATTCTTTGTCCTATACATTGTAGGATGTTTCATGCAAAACATCCTTACTTTTACCCACTAGATGCTAGTGGGACAGCCAAAACTATCTCTGTACACCGCCAAATATGCTCTGTTGGGCAAAATCACCTGGGTTGAGACCTGCTTTGTCTTTCATTCATTCATTGAATACTCATTGACTGCATGGCCTGTATCAGGCACTGTGCGTGTACCAGACATTGATGGACAAAACAGACATGATCCTTGACCTCGTAGTCTTTCTAGTGAGAGCTGTGCCAGAATTAGAATGGGGTCTGTCTGATTCCATAGACTAAACTCTTAAGCACTCTTTCTCCCTACTGCCCCCAAATCAAAGAAATAGCAGCTTTGTTATTTACTGTATGCTAGGTGCTGTGCTACAGGCTTCCTGTGTATTAGCTCACTCCCACCAGGCAGAGAGTGATATGAGGATCAAAACAGCGATAGGAAGGCTGAGGCAGGAGAATGGCGTGAACCCAGGAGACGGAGCTTGCAGTGAGCCGAGATTGCACCATTGTACTCCAGCCTGGGCGACAAAGGAGACTCTATCTCAAAAAACAAAAAACAAAAAACAAACAAAAAAAACAGCAATAGGAGGTGAGGAAGCCCGCAGCTTGTTAGCGCTGCCGAATTGTTGCCATTTAAATCAGATACAGAAGAGACATGGACACGAGGACACTTTAGAATACAAGGTCACTTGTGAGAAATGCCATTGACTTATGCAGGCTCATTTTCCTTCCATCTGCACTTCTAAATTGTTGTTAAAGGATATAACACGGAAAAGGAGCTCCATGGCTAAGTACGTTTGAGAAACGTGAGAGTCAATATTGTTTGAAAGGTTTCTTGGTTATAAGACTTTGGAAAGTCTTTAATATGCTAATGTGTGTTGTTAATCTCCAAGAGGGAGCTTTTCCCTTGGAGACATCCTCTGGGACACAGTTTTCTGGGGCCGGCTATGTGAGTCACTGGAGAAGACAGTAAGGTATTCTAGTTCAGAGGCTGAGGTGATTTTCATAGTCAAAGAAGTTGGAGAAGGCTTCTTGAGAGAAGAACCTGGGCCTGAGTCTCACAGGACAGGCCTTTTGGAGAATGAAATTGTCGATGTGCATGGCATGGTTCACCCAAGGCTCTATGAGTAGACTAGTTTCTTGAAGTCAAGGGTTCATGTAGGGAAAGAAGGTTGGAGATGTGTGCCAAGGCTGAGACTTCTGTTATGTCAGAGGACTATCTAGGGCTCAAGTGAGCAAAGGGATCTCCAAATATAATGGGTTAGATCAAGATGAGGACCAAAAGTGAAAATAGGTCAAGCCCAGAGATATGGAAAAGGTCAAGAAGGGATTATTGATTGGTGCGTGCAAGCAGGTGGCTGAGCTGGGCTGAGGCAGGGAAGAGCCATCAGTTGTGCTAATCTTAAACATACTGGTAAGGTTCATGCGGTCCAAGACTGTTCCCAGCTGCACTGGACATCCAGGCTGATGACTGCTACCCCTGGGCAGCCCTGGGACCACAACATGGTGGTCAGGAGGAGGCCAGGGATAATCCATAGGTAAGTCCTGCCCATTTCTATTTCAGAAGTAGGAACACTGGAATTACCTCCAATGAGCTTCTCCTTATGTTTCCTTCCATAACCCACAGTTCAATGAAGGAGATGTATGTATGTTAAAATATGGCATCTAATATGATAGTTTTTGAATTCCAAGTGGGAACTGAATTAAGCATTCTTGTCACGAAGCCTTTTTTTATCCTTAGGAAGAAAAACGTTTTAGTAATACACAGAAATGGTACCAAAATGATAATTTTTAAGCAAATGAGACTAATTTTATTTGTATTGTCGGGGGGGAGGTGATGCCAGAAATAGGCAGAAATATTCACTTCCAATATAAATGGTCTTTATGGAATCTATCATGATTTTGTTTTCCTCCTGTGCTATTTAGTCTTTCTTTTCATAATAGTATTCATTAGCTGGTTGACAATTTTTGCAAAGTGAAAATGAAGGCATGAAACTTTCCTAGTTTTCCCAAAGTTATTCTGGTCAAAACAGCAGAACTCAATATCAGTTATAATGAATTCTTTATTTATGTTAAATCTCCTTACTTAAAAACTATAGTTCCTGAAAGTTTTATATAAATACAGTTCTCGTTTGTGAAAGTACTATAATCTTACCTTATACATTACTTTTAAAGGTATTTAATGGGAAAATTCTACTATTTCACAGACTTCTTGGCACAAATGCAAGCCAAGGGTGCTTTTTACTGTTGAAATTTTGGTTTTCCGATTCAGGTAAATAAATGCTACAGTAGTCTCAGATGAGTGAGTTGGGAAAGGATTTTTAGAAGAAATGCGATCTGAACTGAAGATTGGAGGAAGGGTAAGATTTAATTAAGTGGAAAAGGAGACAGAGAATGTTTCCAATTGGGAAAATTACAAAAACAAAGAAACATATCCGAGGCAATTCCGTTCTTCCTGCTTCTGAAATAGAAATGGGCAGGACTCACTAGTGGCCTACCCCCAGCCCCCTCCTGACTGCCATGTTGTGGTCCCAGGGCCACCCATCCTCAGGAGGAGCAGTCATCAGCCTCGATCTCCACTGCAGCTGGGAAGAGACTTGGACCACGTGGACCTTACCAGTACATCTAAGATTACCACGACTGACAGCTCTTCCCTGCCTCAGCCCAGCTCAGCCACCTGGCTGCGTGCACCAATGATTCCTTCCTGACCTTTCCATGTCTCTGGTCTTGACCTATTTACATTTTTGGTCCTCATCTTGATCTAACCCATTGTATGTGGAGATCCCTTTGCTCACTTGAGCCCTGGATAGTCCTCTGACATGACAGAAGTTTCAGCCTCGACACGCATCTCCAACCTTCTTTCCCTACATGAACACTTGACTTCAAGCAATGTTGGAGAATGTTTCCAATTGGGAAAATTACAAAAACAGACCATTAGGGAAGGAGCTACCTGACCAACCTACTGTGCTTTAGACTGCAGGCTGCCATCTCCCACCATGCTTTTGCAGAAACACTGGATCTAGGGGGTGGTCATGTGCGTTCCTTGCAAAGAGGGAGTTCTGTGGTCAAATAAGCTTAAGAAATACTGGTTCAAGAGAAGGTGACTCTCCAAGCAATGGAGTGCAAGCAGCATTTCCCTGTGACCACAGACTCCCCCTCCACAGAGCATCCACTGGGGTCCATGTTCTGTGGAATGTGGACACAGACAGAGGGTGAGATGGGTGGTGCAGGTCAGATAGTGGAAATGCCCAGTGCAGGAAGGGTCAGAGAGACTGACCATCTCTGTAGGCAAGGTTGGGTGATGCATGAGGCTGCTGCTGACCTGGAACAGCCCAGGGGTGGTCAGAAAGGAAGGAAATGGCAGAAATCTGAGATGTTCAAAAGAAAGACACTAAAGTGCTTTTTGATCAACTGGCTGTTGATGGTGAGGTGAGACATTGTGAGGAATTTCATTTGTGTTTCTCCAAAGCTGTGCTGAAGATATTGGGAGAATTATGATGTCTTTGATAGAAAGGAGCAAGTCAGGAGTCCTCAGTTTAACTGCTAGCTTTGCCAATAGCAATATAAGCTTAAACAAGCCATTTGATCTTCCTTGGCTTCAGTTGCCTTGTACACAAACAGGGTATTGCAGTTAAGTCACATTGATCCTTTTTGATCTACAAATGCTGACTCTCCAATTTAGGATCAGACTCTGAGCTTCTTGAGGTCAGGGAGGTCCTTATCCTCATTTGTGGCCAGTGCTAATAAACGAATGAATGAATGAACAAATTTAAATCAATAAATGATGACGAGTTTGGCTCTGAACATGTTGAATTTGAGATGACTATAGATATCCAAAAAATTTGGCAAATGCAGGACTAAAATTTGTGGGAGGGGATTCAGGACTGGAAGCAAGATTTGTGAGTGTGCTGTGGAGATCTTCACTGAAGCCATGAAAAGCAGGTGAAAACTCTTAAGAGCAGAGCGAAAAGGAAATTGCAGAGGGCTGAAGAGGGCCTCCAGGCCCTCACATTTAAAGGCTCTGCAGAGAGAGGAGAGGCTGTGACTTCACAGAGAAGGCATCAGGAGGCGCGCTGGCCAGCTGACAGCCTGTCATGGCTTACACATTTGTCTACACCTACCATGCATCATTCAGCACCATTTGCTTCTGAAGGTCTCTTCTGAATCTTGCTCACTCTCAGGTCAGTTGTGCCAAGTGGCTACTACTTAATTTCTGAGAGTGGACCTATGCATCGGTGATTGGTTATTTCTTAGGGTGTGATTCATTTTAATTAGCTTGTTGATATGAGTTGAGTTCACAGTAGAAGCAGAGGAGATTGGAACCAAGCAGTGTTTCCTGCTAATCTAATAATCAATCTCTAATTGATACTCTGCTCAAAAAGTAAAAAGAAAAGAAAAGGGTGATGAAGAGGCTTAGAGACCACCTTGCTTTCTGATGGACTCTTCAGCTCCTGACTACTGAGGAAAGACATTGTGTTCAAATGAGTTAAACTTAAAAAGAAAAACTAAAACTATTACCTCAAGGTCTGGAAAGAAATAAGAAACAGGCTTATTTTCTCAGACCTATATCTATCTATCTCACATCTTCAAATGCATCAGAGAAAACAAAAGGTTAGTTTAGTCCTGGTTGTGTTCCCTGCATATCAAGTATTTTATGGAAGCATTGTTCCTGTTTCAGAGGCTCTTTCAATTTAAAGCAAGGAGATTCAAGATCAAGAGATTAGACCCTGTCCCTAAGTTGCCAAGAGGCGATGATTGGTTTGAATTTAAATAAAATCTTGTGAACAGTATCATGTGAAAAGCAGTTTGACTCAATACTATAAGAATGACAGACTCAAAACTCTAGAACTGCAAGTCCTTCCTCTGTCTTACCACCTGCCAACCATGTGGCCGCAGGTTGTGTCCCTTCCGTCACCTTCTCATCATGCTCATCATTTAACAAGGCTGTAGGGTCCATTGCTCAAGCCTTGAGGAGTTAGTCTTGGGCATCCTGGGCATTGATGTCACTGCACAGTACCAGGGCTGCTTGGTTCCCTCTCTTCCTTGTGATCGAACAGACGGAGGCTGGTAGCTGCTCCAGGGCTCAGAGGTGGGAGTTTGTCTTTTGAGAGACCCCAGAGGTGTTCATTGGTGGAGAAAGGGAGTAATGACCCAGAGAATATTAATCTGTTCTCACGCTGGTGATAAAGACACATCTGAGACTGGGTAATTTAGAAAGGAAAGAGGTTTAATGGACTCACAGTTCCATGTGGCTGGGGAGGCCTCATAATCATGGCAGAAGGTGAAAGGCATGTCTTACATGGTGGCAGACAAGAAAGAATGAGAACCAAGTGAAAGGGGTTTCCCATTATAAAACCATCAGATCTCATGAGACTTATTCACTACCATGAGAACAGTATGGGGGAAACCACCCCTGTGATTCAATTATCTCCCACCAGGTCCCTCCCACAACATGTGGTAATTATGGGAGCACAATTCAAGTTGAGATTTGGGTGGGGACACAGCCAAACCATATCACAGAGTGACCACAGGCAGAAGACAGTCCAGTACAGAGGGCTGGGAGGAATTTTTAAAAATCTTTACTTGATAGTTTATTTATATTGTTGAAGCATCCGAAGAATTGTTTTTCTAGTCATTAAAGCATGGGATGTGTTATCATTGTTTCTGTCAAGTTTTTCATTAGCCTAAATTTTTCCATTTGTTCCTTACCTAGGGAAGGTACTGGGTTCTGTAGAATACTGATCATTCTCAAGCCACCTATTTCCATATGGGTTTTTTTCCCCTTTGGAAAAGAACTGCCAAGTTGAAGTTCTGTTATGCATGTTTTGTGCCTTCCAGAAAATCAAGTGTAATTGGCTACTTTCAGAAATATAATATCCTATTTGTATTGGATGGACTCTGGCTTTACAGAATGTTGACAGTCTCATTCTGTTATTTTCTCTGCTTGGGTCTCTTGGGTACCCTGAGAGGGAGAGATTCAAAGATAAAAAACAGTCCTGAGAATTGAAAAGCCGAGAGTATCATAGGGCAGAAAGAGAGAATCAAGCTTTTGCTTTCCATGGGCATCGAGGAGTCATTTGAGGAATGGCAGCACAAATGTGCTGGCCTTGTATCTGAACCCTGATGCTGCTGGCTGAGGTCACGCTTTGAAGATGCAGCAATTTTCTGAATACTGAACCCTTGATATTTTCCCAAAAAGAAAGGTCTGAGAATTTAAAGGTATTTACCTAAACTGCTCCTAGCTGATTGACGGACATCAGCGAGCAGGGGAACATTTCTGCTTCTATTAGCAAGTGTCTCCTCGATCAAAGAAAACTTCATTTGGTATCCCTAGGGAAGCTTAAGCTTAATTTAACTAAGCCTTAAAAAGAGAGAGAAACCCTGATAATTTCTTTATTACCATATAAGTAATAGTAAACCATGCTTTGTCGTCATCTAAGCCTGCAGAAAACGTGCTGTTCCAGCAATTCAGACTTTGAGAGCACAGCTCAAATTTAGTTTACTTTATTTTTCCCAAGCGGGCATAGCATGTGAGCTCAGCAGAACCAGGTTGGGTGGAAGTCCAGATGGCTAGCAGAGAAGAAAGACCCAGCTTTTCACTACACACTCCTTCCACTTCTCCTACCATTATAGCCTTGAGTCACATTGCAAACATGTGGAAGCTGACTCTTTGGAAATGGAAGCCAGAAAGGAGAAAGAAGGACAGGAATCTGCTGAGAGCAAACTGGCCTTGACAAGTCACAGCTTCTCCATCAGTGTGGTTTTCCCACTCCTCAGCCTTTGTTTATCAGGATCATCCTTTCGGATCCTTGTGCTCAGCGACACTTTTTCCAATTGTTTGGTACATTCGCTGTTGTATTGGAGAACCAGTATAGGTGGCAGGAGGCCTGGGGAAGCCTTAGAAACAGCATGGTTCCTCGGGGCTCATTAAATAACTTAACAACCTTCCCTGCTAGACAAGACACAGTTCTGTTCTCTCCAGAGAAAGGCATGAACATCACACACAACTACCTCCGCTCTATAGAACCTCTGTGCACTTTTCACTGTATTTGGGTTGGAGGTGAGATCAAGATAGAATACTCCTTTTGTGAAGCTTCCTCTGACAGAAGGTGAAATCTTAGAGCCCTCTCTTAGAAACTTTTATGGTCATTATTTTGAGAATCATAACTTAACTTGATTCATAGTTTCTTGTCCCAGGAAAATAATGAAGCAGAAAAATCTCTTTGCATGTCATGTGTCAATTTGAACTTTTCTGTCAGTGATAACTAAGATGGTTTGGCGTCAGTTTTTTAGCTTCTATTTTTCTGTTCCTCTTTGAGACAACTGCTGTTTGCCCTGGGTGACGTTATAGAGAGCCATGATTTCTCTTATTGATCTGGAAGGATCTAGACGAGCAGTTGTGGGTAATGAAACGGATTATAGCTTCTATAATCTATGGGTTTTTTTGCTTATTCTTTGATAGAAATGTGGCTTTTAGAGCATGTTTTCATTTCCCAAGAGAAATTCTTTATGTTGATATTTTTCTAATATTTTAAGGAAAACTATAAGATAGCTGAAAATATTTGTTTATGTGGTGAAGAACATTTCCATTTGGGTGAAACATGGTAGAATTCATCACCTATTATAGTTACTCTTGACATCATTATTCACCCCCGCTGCTGTGAGCTGACTGGACCCTGACCTTCACCACACCAGGATAGCTTGATACAGATCCACCATGCATTTCTCAAGAGCTGCAATGTACTAATGTTGACTTTGTCATCCAAAGGAACCTCCCATGAGTCACCTTCCAGAAGTAACTGGAAGGATACAAGCATGCAGGGGGCCGTGCTATGTTTTCCAGACAGGAACACCAGGTCTCACGAAGCCTGCTTGAGTTGTAGTATTTTTCAACTTCTTCTGGCCTTTTTTATGATATTGTGAAGAAGTTGAGGCCTGACTCTTTTTATAATTGCAGTGGGTTTAGAGAAGTCAGGGAAAAAATTATTACAGAATCTTAGCTCTGCTACTTAAACTATTGGTCTGGCTTTGGGTAAGATACTTCTTTTTGCCTTGATTTTCTCATCTTTAAAGTAATAATACTACTTCACAAGGTGGTAGTGATTGAACTAGTTAATGTGTATAAGCACTTTACACAGTGTGGAACATGAGCTCTCAGTGGGTGGTTACGTATATTATGATTTGTAGTTAAATACATTTGTCTTGTCAGATTAGAGAGTATGATTGGAAAGCATAGTATTTGAGTGGGCAAACGTGGATCATTCTTCTAAATGTAAGTTGGGAACTAGAACATAACCATTTTATTTGATAAATGTAAAAGTTGAGTCGTAAACTACTTTTTAGATAAACCAGGAAAATTACATATGTATATAAGTCTCTGTTCTTGCACTTTGGTTTTTTTTTTGGGAGGGGGGCAAGATTTGTAAGAAATAATCTTTCAAGGAAGGAAGGAAGGGAGAAACGAAGGAAAGGAGGTAGAGGGGTAATAGAGGGGAAGGAAGGCAATTTTTTAAAAAGATGTTTGTTTAAGGATTTTCAAGGGAGTTTTTTTTAAAGATCCCCTGTAAGTATTGCTGATATAATTTTTAAAAGGTGAACACTTTTAAATGACACCTTTCTCATGATCATATTTATCATCTATCACAAACCAGTGGCTGTTTGTTCATAGACAGCTTTCAGAAAGTCTCAGAACTGTGGCCATCGAGTCACTTGGTTGTTTATTCTTGTTCCAGAAGGAAGCATGAAACTCCGTGTCCAGAGATATTTAATAATTTGGGCAAAAATCGCAATATGGGAATTAGCTTTAGGCTTGAAAATTTAAAGTTGATTTTTTTCTAGTAGGTCACTTTATTAATAAGTAAAATGCAATTACTTTACTCATTGCGAATCTGAAAGAAAACATTAAGACCAAGAAGGAAGATAATTACAGTATAACTGAAGGCCATTTTGACAATTCTTTTCAACAAAGAAGGTCATAGTCACTTACAGATTCAATCCTATGTACTCAACCTCTCATTTGGAGCAGGAAAATGGGCAGTCATGGGAGAGGGGTCACATGTAGAAGGCTCGCAGAATGGGGGACGCGGATCCGTGTGATGAGGCAGGTTTTGTAGAACTGGGAAGAAGGGATATTGATGTCAGAGCCAGGAAGGAAATTTCTGGATGTTTTGATTTTCAGAAATGTTAGAACTGAGTAATAAAGAAAGAAAGTTTTTTTTTGCAGAGACATAAATGACATGGAATTTAATTTCAGAAGTGTTAAAGAAGTCATATGAAATCTTTCAAAGACGTGAAACTGGAAGTGGGGTCTAAAGTTGAGGCTTGTTACCTATTTCTGAGGTTTGCTCTCCCATTTGATAGAAAATGCTATATTGAGTTTTTGCTATAAGGAAATAGAAGTTCTTTCTCTTTTACTTAAATCCCAACTGAAAAGTAGAAATATCCTGCATGTTCCTAACTCCTTCAAATGAAATCACATTGAAAGCATCCTTCTGTGAGAGGAAACCGAATGAGCACGCTGTTTTCAGGTACACACAACCGTCTTAATACACGGTACCTGCTCCAAGCCCAGGAGAGGAGTTTAGAATAAATAGGGTTTGTCCTTCCTTTATCTCTCGGGCTCAGTGAAGGCTGCAAGTTACAAGTGGATGTCACAGGCAGAGTAAGACAGCTGCAGCCCACAATAAGTAAGCACTGAGCCCACAGCTCCATTTGCTCAGTCTGAACCCTGTCGATTCGGATTTCTTTGTGCTGGTCTTCTCACCAAGCAGAAAGGCTTCTCCATCTCCCAGGAGCCTCCACATCAGATGATCTCTCACTGATGGCTTCCGAATGTCAACGCTTCCTCCTCTGGAGAGATTCCAGTCACCTCTCTGGAGTGTGTCTACCACCACTCACTCCCATCCCTCCAGTTGTGCTAATCAGACCTCTTTGATGATGGCAGTCCAAGAGTGTTCTAAGAGAAACTGAAGTGTGTTACCCTCTTCTGCACATGGACCCTGGATTGCTGGGATCATACTTTTGAAAGCATTCCTGGTCCACTTCAAACCATAAGACCCTGACTTGCCCACATGCACTGAGCTTATGTGATTTCCAGTGGGGGCCACTTCCTACAGTTCTGGTGAGACTTCTCTAGCCTGGGTTCTCTCAGGATCTAAGATAGCCCCTGGCCCTTTGGTCATTCCATTTGTGTAGGAGCAGGTTAGCGGTGTCCATTCTGTTTACCCAAACACAGCAGAGTATTAACCCACCAAAGGAATATGTTTGTGTCATGGGTGAGTAAGAAGCCCAGGATTTCAGTAGTCCTGAGATGAGATAACTACTGATACACCACTGATTGGCTAAGCTGCCTCATCTGCCTGGCCTTGCCAGTTGAGTCTAGCCATGAGTGTTTCTAACACTGCATATCACTAAAACCCCCACCAATCAAAAGGGGCCAGATATTTATCATTTATCAGAAGAAAACAGATACTTATTTCAAGATTGGAAAGGTGCCACAGTGAAATGCCTAAATACATCAAAGTGCTTAGGACTTCTCTGTTCCTCATATGCTCTCATAGGTCTCTTTTGGCTCTACAGTTGTGTGACTTTTGAGGTTCTGGATGAAGAGAAAATGGTAGAAGTAGGTTGCAGAGATGAATAGGTGTCTGCTACTGACTACACAGTGTGCAAACTGAGTAGATATTGCAGATTCAACAAATATTTATTGAGCACCTACTAAGAGCCATGAAGATTGAAGCTTCCCTGAGGGTAGTTGCTGTTCTGCCCCTACCCAAACCAGGGATGGCTTACTCTGGTTTGGGTGGGGGTAGAACGGCAGCTACCCTTATGGAGCCTTCATTCTCACAGGCTGATCTGGGGATGTGAGATCTAAAGGAAACTAGGATGTATACGACATTTTAAAATGTACATTGAGTGACTATTCACTGTCTGCCCAATGCATTCCCAGTACCAGGGCTTCAGAGAAGCAGAAAGGTGTGGGCCGTGACTGCAGAGAACTCAAACCTTAGTGGGATGATAAACATATATACAAACATTTTACAGTAAGTGCTGTGTCTATATAAATACAGCCCAGAGGGGGTCACAGAGGAAGAAGTACTTGACTTCCTTGGTGGAGGCACCACGTTTCTAACTTTTGAGGTGACAGCATAAGGAAACATTCTTACTCTATAAAAACAGAGCAATGGCCCGAGGTATCATACCTGCATAATATTTACAGCCCTCTCTGCTCCCCCTTAAGCCCTTGTGCCTCCTTCATTCTGAAGTTAGGAAAGACACTGCCTGCAAAGTATACTGATAAGACTGATTGTGTTAATTAATAAACCCAAATTGGCTCTAGATTTTTATTTTCTCCCTCTTGTTTGATATCTGCATTTTTAAACCATTTTGTTCTTTTCGACATTCTTTATTCCAGAAGTATGTTCTTTCTAGCCAGACTGCAAATAGAGAATGCACCAGGGACTGTCTGGAGCTGGAGCCTAATTATTTATCAAGTTGTCTTTCCTTAGTTTTCTATTTAGCTGGCGGGACTGTTTATAGATTTCTGGATGTGTTGATCGTTTATGCTCACTTGGCCCTATTTACAAAAATCATACAAAAAACACACACATCTTTTCCCCTTTTCAATACTTTCATCTTAGTCCTTCTAAGTAGCACAAAAATAACATCGATCATAGTAGTCAGTTATTTACTGAGTTCTGACTGAGCATGGGGCAAAGTGTTTGACCTGCATGACTTTGTCAGACCTTAGGAACCCCTTTGAGGCAAGTGCTATCAGCATCTCTTTTTACAGCCTTGAGAAGCTAATGAAGAGGCCGCAGATTACATAGTTAAAAATACTAATCAAAGTATACCTAACAAGGAGATTCTGATACATTGCATTTTGCATTACCATTTTAAAACTTGGTTTCCTGATTATGACTTTTTGGTAGTTCCAATTAAAGGGAGAAATGCCACACTGGAGTAGAAGCAGGGTTTGACCAAGCTATTGTTCTACCTTGGGCCATTGCTATGTTTTTGTAGAGTAAGAGTGTTTCCTTATGCTGTCACCTCAAAAGTTAAAAACGTGGTGCCTCCAGCAAGGAAGTCAAGTACTTCTTCCTCTGTGACCCCTCTGGGCTGTATTTTTATAGACACAGCACTTACCTCATATACTGTTAAATGTTTGTATACATGTTTATCATCCCACTAAGGTATGAGTTCCCTGCAGTCACAGCCCACACCTTTCTGCTTCTCTGAAGCCCCGGTACTGGGAACACATTGGGCAAACAGTGAATAGCCACTGAATATACATTTCATTTTAAAATGTCTTATACACCCTAGTTTCCTTTAGTAACTCATTATATGTTCATAAATTCACTGAAGTTATCTTTGAAGTTTGTTTCCAACTTGTACCACCTCATAAGTTATCAAGAAGTATACATTTACTATCTGCTGGTGAAAGAATGCTTTCTTGTACTTATTAGAAAAATGTTGTCTTTAAGTTTCCTGGAATTGAACCCTTGTACACTGTTGGTGGGACTGTAGATTGGTACGGACATTATGGAAAACAGTATAGAGATTCCTCAAAAAATCATAAATAGAACTGTCATGTGATCCCACAATCCCTCATCTGGGTATATCCCCAAAGGAAATGAAATCAGGATCTCGAAGAGAGCTCTGCACCCCCATGTTCATTGCAGCATTATTCACAATGGCCAAGCTGTGGAAGCAACCGAAGTGTCCAGCGACAGAAGAATGAAAAAAGAAGTGTGTACATACAATGGAATATTATTCACTCTTACTAAGAAAGAGTTCCTGCCACTTGTGACAACATGGATGAATCTGGAGACATTGTGCTAAGTGAAATAAGCCAGACACAGAAAGACAAATACCACATGATCTCACTCATATGTGTGTGAAATCTTAAAAAAAAAAAAAAAAAAAAAAGGTCTAACTCATAGAAACAGTTTGGTAAGAGATTGGTGGTTACCAGGCATCAGAGGGTGGGATTGGGGGCGGAAATGGGGAGATGTTGGTCAAAGGGTACAAACTTGTAGTTATAAGTTCTGGAGACCTAATGTAGTGCATGGTGACTATAGTTAATAATAATGTATGATATGTTGGGTACTTGCTAAGAGAGTAGACAGACCAGGTCCTCTCACCACGCACACACAAGTTAACTATGTGAGGAGATAGATGTGTTGATTTCCTTGACTGCAGTAATCATTTCACTATACAAATATATATCAAAACATGTTGTATACCTTAAACATATACAATTTTATGAAAAAAAAATTTATTGGAGTTTTAATGTAATAACACTTACAAGCAGTGTCTTTCTTTTGTCATATTGTTTTTTAATGATTCTTTCATGTTTTTCAGGAAGGTGATGTCTGGCCCAACTCATCAGCTGAAATCACCGTGTACTTTAACCCACTAGAAGCCAAGCTCTATCAACAGACCATTTACTGCGACATTTTAGGTAGTGACCTCCTCCAAGTGGTAAACTCAGGTTACCAGGCACCCAGAGCATGAAGTGTGGTGCCTGAGTGTGTGTGTGTGTGCACATGTGCATGTGGGATCATGCCATGGGCGGTACATGATATTGATTATATTGATTAGGGGAATTATGGAGCCAAGCTATGCCCCTCTCACTTCTTCCTATAACAGATCAAACTTTAAAGTGCTTTACAATTATGGTGGCATGTGGAGGAAATGGAAACTGTATTAGTCCATTTTCATACTGCTAATAATAACTGCCCGAGATTGGGTAATTGATAAAGGAAAGAGGTTTAATTGACTCACAGATCAGCACGACTGGGGAGACCTCAGGAAACTTACAATCATGGTGAAAGGCAAAGAGGAAGCAAGGCACCTTCTTCACAAGGCAGCAGGAGGGAGAAGTGCCGAGTAAAGGAGGAAAGAGCCCCTTATAAAACCATCAGATCTCGTGAGAACTCACTCACTATCACAAAAACAACAAGGGGGAAACTGCCCCCATGATTCAGTTACCTCCACATAGTCTTTCCCTTGACACGTGGGAATTATGGGAATTATAATTCAAGATGAGATTTGAGTGGGGACACAAAACCTAACCATATCAGGGACCATGGCTCTTAGAGCAGTAAAAATATTGCTTATGACCAATTCCCACAATCTCCTTTTTTGTTCCTTTTATAGTATTTGGTTACTAATTTTTTTTCTTTTTAAGTTTTACCAAAATAATTCCAAGTGGGATGGGAAGGCAGCTTGGCAGAGGCCAGAGCAACCAGGAGGGTGCACAGGTGGGATGGCAACCTGATGATGACATCAGGAGATTTGATACATACAGGGAATTAAGCAGAAAAGTAAATACATTGAGGATGATGGGAACCAGTATTTCTCACTCTTGGAGGAAGGAGATACAAACATGGAAAATAGGGTGAAGCCAAACCCTTTGAAATTGGAATGGAATTAGAGTTGTCAATGTGAACTCAGAGTTGTTGAGTTCACACTGACATGTATAGATAGATATAAAAATAAATATACATGTAAATGTGTGTATATGCATGTGTACATGCATGTGTGTATTTCCTAGCTAGGTCCATTGAGAAGTCCTGGAAGCTTTGAGACTCTATAGCAGTGAGCACACCAATCACCCAAAGCTTGGTTTCTAAATGCCACTCTTTAGTGAAAGGAACTGCTTAACTTCAGGACCAAGGTAGGGAAAGAATAAGATGAGCCTGGATTATCTCCTTTGCTAGACGGTAAGGAAATGCTCAAAGAATGATAGGCACATGTCGAAATGACACAGAAGACAGCAAAGAAACTCCCACTGACCACATTTGGAATGAGTCAAGAATCAAAATAATGATACTAATAGATTATTATAATCCATTGAATAAATAGGAATCTGTGAATCCATTTAATGTACTACTTGGCAATCATCATTGCAATAACCAATTCAGGTAAAAGCGTCAGTGGATCTTAAGAAAATGGGTGAAAGTAGGACATGGAATAGTCTCAAAACATCTTTCCTCAAAATACTTTTTATGAAGGGGAGAAAACTAACTTTGCAGTGAAGAAGCCTGGGAGATGCTATCTTGGTTTATCCCAGTAATAATACAGCAAATCAACCTCTCAGATCACATGCCAGGATGCAGTGAGAACACAGCATCCCTTCTATGATATCAGGGCCAAGATACCTAAATTGGATCTAATCAGGAGGAAACATCAGGCAATCCCAAATTGAAGAACAAAATAAAATGACCAGCCTGTAATCTTTAAAAATATCAAGGTCATGACGGCCGGGCACGGTGACTTCCGGCTATAATCCCAGCACTTTGGGAGGCTGACGTGAGAGGATTTCTTGAGTCCAGGAATTCAAGATGGTCCTGGGAAACATAGTGAGACCCCATCTCTACAAAAAATTAAAAACTTAATCAAGTGTGGTGGTACATGCCTGTAGTCCTAGCTACTCAGTAGGCCAAAGTGGGAGGATCACTTAAGCCCAGAAGTTTGAGGCTGCAGTGAGCTGTGATTGCACCACGGGACACCAGCCTGGGTGACAGAGTGAGACCCTGTCTCAAAAAAAAAAAAAAAAAAAATCAAGATCATGAAAGTCAAGAAATCCCGAAGAACTGTTCCAGGTTGAAGGAGACTAGAGAGACATGGTAATTGGGTGCAGAATGTGATCCTGGATTGGGCCCTTTGCTATAAAGGACATTATTGGGCATGGGATAGATATTTAATAGAAGTTCTTGTATTACTCTGGAAACCTTTCTGCATTTTAAAAATGTTTCAGAATTGTGTTTAAATGCCAATGCCAATAAATAAGTAAAACATGTAGATAGTAAAATTATGAAGCTAAATGTTAGTCTGTGTCACCACTGCTACTTCCAAAAACTTCTTTTGGCTGTTTCTTGTGATGGTGGTTTCCCTTGCCAGCTCTATGCTTATGTTGCTTTTGGTGGATTTATTAACTTCGTACATTTTCTTTTGACGCCCCAGTATGAAAGATGAGGGTTTAGTTCACTTTTCGGTTCCTAGGTTTTTCCCCTTCCTAAGTTTACTGAGTTAGGATTTACATGCAGTGAAATTCATCATTGTTTGGAGCATGGTTCTGTGAATTTTGACAAACCTAAATAGTCATATAACCACCAAAATCAAGATGTGGAAATGTGTATCTGAGATCACCCCATAAAGTTCCCTATGCTTCTTTGCAGACAATCCTGTCCCCCAGCCTCAGCCCCTGACAACCCAATTGTTTTATTTTATCTTATGAGGTTTATTTATAGCCTTAAATAATACACTTAAGCCTGTATTTTTTGTTCCATCAACTTTACATTATCTCTTGATGTGTAAGGATTTTGGTGCCTATAACTAGGTTATCCCCGACTAGTCCACTAGCCTTCTCCCTCTAACCTCTGTGAGCTATTCCATTTTTACATAATCATTATTGATAACCACTGTTAAGTCTTCTTCTTACATAAATATTATACACTGCAGAGCCAAATAGGTTCTGGGATTACATTTTATCCTGTTTGTTCAGTGCTCTGGTTCCTAGTCACTCAAAGAATGTCCCTAAGGTCCATATCAAGTATATTCTTTCTTTACCAATTTATCAGTTACTCACAACTATGCCTCATTTTAGTTTACTTCTTAACTGACTCTTTTGTACAGCTTTTGATTTCCCCCCTGTGGTTTCTAATTCCTTATTTCTTCACTCCTATCTAATTTTATAATTCATTCTCTTTTTCTCTTTGAAGATACTGATCAGAGCCTATCAGCTTCTTATTTTAATTCAGATCAGTCACCTCCTGAATGAACAGTTGTTATCCAGGAATTTTAAAAAATATTTCTATGTTCAGTCACACCTTTTCATTCTCAGTCTGCTCAAGTAACTTCCTTAGAAATGATGTATATAATGTGTGTATGTAAATATATGGAAGTGGAAACTTTGATCCTTGAATGCCCGAAAATACCTTATTTTGCCTTCATACTCACTTGACAGTTTAGCTGACTATAGGATCCCAGGTTCAAAATCATTTCTCCTCAGAACACTGGAGACTTTGTGACTACTTGATTGTAAAAAATTCCAAAGCCTGAGGTCATCTAATGTCCATTCCTTTATAGGCAGCCTCTTCTTTTTCTCTGGATGTTTTGGGGGCCTTCTTTTCATATTTGGGGTCTGAAATGTGATGAAGTCATGTCCAGGAGTGGGTTTTTCTTATTCATCCTCCTCAGCCTTCTGTGGGCCATTTGAATCTGATGACTCACATCACTTCAGCTCTAAGAAATTTTATTGTGTCTTTGATATTCTTTCCTCCATTTTTTTTCATTTTATTTGTCTGGAAAACCTGTGAATCCAATGTTAGACCTGGAAGATTGATCATTTGTTGTCAAAGAACAAGATTTTAATCATCAAACACTACTAAGAAATGACACTAAATTTAATTCAAGTCTATGCCTAGAGAAATACTGATGTTCATGAATCAGGAAAGACGGCAGGAGTGTGCTGCATAGCTGTAGCTCTCCGCAGCCACCAGCAGACCTGTGGCCAGCACCTGTGGCATCATTCCTGATGTGCAGAGCCACCGCCCTGAACTTAAATAGTCCGCTTGGTACATTACTGCTATTCAGTTATTCAAATGGCAATTTTCCCTTTTATACAGATAACAACAACAAACCCAAGTTACTCTGACTCAAATTGTTTCCCTTTGCAGTTGAGACTTTCCTTGGCTGTCTTGAACAGGTTCAAGAAAGCATTTTGCCACAGTGGTTTCCGGGCATCTTCCATTTTGGAACTTTCTTGCAGAGGTACAAGCAGGTGTTACTCAAAAACTTGGAAAGTTTTCTTCTTTGTGGTCAAGGTGAAGCACTGAACTTTAGCATTTGCCAATTGCTTTGCAAGAGACTCAGCTCAGTTTTTTTCTGAATACTTCCTAGCGATCTTTCATTTCTGCAATAATATTTTTAATTTTCAAGACCTCTTTTGTCCTCTATTCCTGTTTCATAACTAAGTGTTTGTTTATGGATGCAACTTCTTCTCATTGATCTGGGGATAATCATTTGAACTTTCGTTTCTTAAAAAATAAATCTTATGTTCTCTGAATTGCCCATAATGTTCAGCTGTTTGTCTTTCATGCATTCATGGGGTTCCTTCCAATGCCTTCTGGTCCATGGTCATTCATTCGTATGTAAGAATGAGAAAATGGCTTTCACGTTGATGGTAGCTAGTGCTGCTTACCTCTGCTGTTTTATATCTAGGTTTCCCAGGAAAGTATGGCTGCTGTGTTTGTTTTAAACCTGGGGGGAGAGTATAAGAGTGCACTGTCAGCAAGAATGCACATCATTTGCATCCTTCAAGTGCAGCAATTCCCCTATTCTGCCACACCGTGCTGTTTTCGGTCCATATCTATGCAGTCACTTTTTTCTGTGTAAAAGAGGCTCAGGCAGTCTAGGAATGTGCAGAAGTATGGGCTCCCTGACCCAAGCCTGTGCTACCCTGCACCTCCCCCAGGTGTGTGTTTTCTCCCAATGAAGTTTCCCTCACCTTCCCTCGATAAAACCATCACCTTGACTTTTATGATAGTTGTTTCCTTGCTTTCATGTATAATTTTGCCACCTACATATTCATCCCTAAGCAAAATAGTATAGTTTTGCCTGTTTTGGAAATTGATATATTGATATATATATATGAAATATATATATTATATATATTTATATATGTTTATATATATTTATATATTATATTATTTATATATTTATAATTATATATAAATATATTATATATAAATATATATATAAAATATATGTATTTTATTTTATATATAAATATATATAAAATATCTATAAATATATAACTTATTTAGATATAAATTTTTATATATTTATTATATTTATTATATCTATTATATATTATGTATATCATAATTATATATAATATAATATATATATACACACATACATACAGGACTCATCCTGTATATCTTATGCTGCTAGCACCAAGAAAATAAAGCTACTCAATAAATGTTGATTAAATGAATAAGCAAATAACTGGAAAAAAATGACTAAGTGAATCCTGTTTTGATTTGACCTCTCCCTTGCATGTGAATGCAGAATTCTCCAGACGTCCCCAGAATGAATGCAGAATGGACTAGGAGTTTTTGGATTGACATAGGTCTGTCTCCATCCTGCAGACGAGCATCACCTACAATGGACAACCTAATAGGTCTAGAGGAAATGTTAGCACAGCAGTGTCAGACATGGGCTGGAAATGCTCCAGTGGCCCCTGTGCCACAGGTGGTGGGACCTCCCTCCCATCTGCAACTCCCTGTGGACATTGTGCTTGGCCTTATTCCAAGGGGTTGGCTACTCTCCAGGAGGTTCCCAACCATTACACAACAAGTGAGATTTCCCTATTGTTTTGTTTGTAATTCTGAATTCTCCCACAGAATTCACATCCTGGGTAAGCCGAATAGTATAATTTTCCATCTGCATGACATTCTTCTGTATTTTGTTAGTGGATTATTAAAAGATATGCTTGCCAGGGAAGAGCTTTGCTTACATAGTAATTCCATATTATCTTCCCTGTAAATTCTGTGCAATTCTCTGTGTCTTTTCAAGAGCTGCTGATGATTCCTTACTATTATCTTCAATGAGTTGGTAAAACCTCTTGGTCTTAGGTCACTAAGAAATACTTGTTAGACAGATAAAAAATCTCCTTCCCTTGTTTTGTTTTGTTTTCCTTTGCTTTAAGATAAACGTGGCATGTAGAAGCAAATACGTATAAATAATTCTTTCCTCCTCATGTCGTTTTGCGTAAACGACAGTATACTTTACATAATGGTTTTAACATTGCTTTTAAAATATTTCCCAGGGATTATATACAATACTAAATAAAAGATGTCATTCTTTTCATGATTGCATAGGAACCCTTTGCATTTACATACTGCAATTTAATTTTTAACCTTGTGTCATTATTGAATAGAATGCAGATTCAGAAATTACATAATACATTTAGTGGTAAGCACAGAAGTGGCCTCCCAAAGATGTCCAGGTCCTGACCCCCAGAATCTGGGGACATGTTACATTAAATGGCAAAGATGAATCAAGGCAGCAGATGGAATTAAAGTTACTAATGAGCTGACTTTAAGATAGGGAGACTATCCTGCATCATGTTGGTGGCTCAGTATAATCACAAGGGTCCATAAATGCCCAAGAAGTAGGCAGAAGGATTGGTCTCAGTGTCAGAGGTCTGTGATATGAGAAAGTCTCAACCAGTCATTCCCAGGCAGTAAAGATGGACAAGGTAAGGAATTCAGGGAGCCTCCAGAAACTGGAAAATGCAAGAAAATGAATTCCCCCTACCCCAGGGTCTCCAGGAAGGAATGCAGCCCTGGGAATATGTTGATTTTAGCCCAGTGAGACCCATGTTGGACTTTGTTTCTAGTTGTGTATTTTCATCTTAAAAATTTTTTTTTAATTGACAAATAATAACCATACATATTCATGGGGTACATAGTGATGTTTCAATATGCATAATATACAGCGATCAGATCACTTTGGACTTTTGACGTCCAGAACTTTCAGATAATACATTTGTGCAGTAAGCCACTAAGTTTGTGACAGTTTCTTGTAGCAACGATTGGAAACTTATACACATACCGGTACATTATAACAAATAATTATAAGGCAAGCACTATGTTATTGCCACCAAGATCAATAATAGAATATTTTCAGCCCCTAGAAGCCTCAGTGTGTTCCTTCCCAATCATACTCCTCTCACTGCAGCCTCCCCTGGAATCACCACCATTCTGTTCTTGATGACCATCATATCCTTGCTTTTTTTGTTGTTGTTTTTTGTTTTTGTTCTTTTGCTTAAGATTTAAACAAAAAATTAACTTTTAGGTTCAGGGGTACGTGTGCAGTTTTGTTTTTGTTGTACAGATTTTTGTCACACAGGTTCTAAGCCTAGTACCCAATAGTTATTTTTCCTGATCCTCTTCCTCCTCTCACCCTCCGCCCTCCACTAGGCCCCAGTGTCTGTTGTTCCCCTCTTTGTGTCCGTGTGTTCTCATCATTTAGCTCCCACTTATAAGTGAGAATATGCAGTATTTTGTTTTTCTGTTTCTGCATTAGTTTGCTAGGGATGATGGCCTCCAGCTTCATCCACATTCCTGCAGAGGACATGATCTCATTCTTTTTTATGGCTGCGTAGTATTTTGTAGTGTATATGTATCACATTTTCTTTATCCAGTCTACCATTGATGGGCTTTTAAGTTGATTCCGTCTTTGCTATTGTGACTAGTGCTGCAATGAACATATACATGCATGTTTTCATGGTAGAACAATTTATATCCTTTTGGGTTTATACCCAGTAATGGTATTGCTGGGTCAAATGGTAGTTCTATTTTTTGTTTTTTGAAGAATCACCACACTGCTTTCCATAATGGTTGAACTAATTTACACTCCCACCAACAGTGTATAAGTGTTCCCTTTTCTTTACAACCTCACCAGCATCTGTTATTTTTTGACTTTTTAGTAATAGCCTTTCTGACTATATGAGATGATATCTCATTGTGGTTTTGACTTCCATTTCTCTAATGATCAGTGATATTGAGCTTTTTTTCATATGCTTGTAGGCCACATATATGTCTTCTTTTGAAAAGTATTTGTTCATTTTTTTGCCGACTTTTTAATAGGATTGTTTGTTTTTTTCTTATAAATTGGTTTAAGTTCCTTATAGATGCTGGATTTTAAATCTTTGTCAGATGCATAGTTTGCAAATATTTTTTCCCATTCTTTGGGTTTTCCCTCTTTAGTCTGCCCATAGTTTCTTTTGCTGTGCAGAAGCTCTTAAGCTTTTTTTTTTTTAATTTAATTTTACTTGTTTTTTATTATGCTTTAAGTGCTAGGGTACATGTGCACAACGTGCAGGTTTGTTACATATGTATACATGTGCCATGTTGGTGGGCTGCACCCATTAACTCGTCATTTAACATTAGGTATATCTCCTAATGCTTTCCCTCCCCCCACCCCACAACAGGCCCCAGTGTGTGATGTTCTCCTTCCTGTGTCCATGTGTTCTCATTGTTCAATTCCCACCTATGAGTGAGAACATGCGGTGTTTGGTTTTTTGTCCTTGTGATAGTTTGCTGAGAATGATGGTTTCCAGCTTCATCCATGTCCCTACAAAGGACATGAACTCATCATTTTTTATGGCTGCATAGTATTCCGTAGTGTATATGTGCCACATTTTCTTAATCCAGTCTATCATTGTTGGACATTTGGGTTGGTTCCAAGTCTTAATTAGATATCATTTGTCAATTTTTGCTTTTGTTGCAATTGCTTTCATGTATAGTTTTTACCCAATGTATGTATCTCTAAACAATACAATTTAGTAATGCCTGTTTTGAAATGTACATATCTGAAATGAGCCTACATGTCTCATCTATGTTGCTACTTTTGCTCTAGTTGTATTTCATTTTCATTGTTGTACAGTGTTCCATTATGTAAATATATGTTCAGAGACAGGAAAAAACAGGGAAGGCTACTGGTCATAAGGGAGGCCTCTGAGGATGCATGAGATTTAACCCACGTCTCCAACTGCAATCCTCTTTTCTTTTGAAAGCTTTTGATATCTAGGCACCATGAGTAGAAAGAGGTACAAAAGCATAGTTCCTGCCCTGAGAAAGCATAGAATTCAGTGGAGGAAACTGACACATAGCCAACAGTTATAGTGCACTGCTACTATAGAAGTTGATTATTATTATAGAAGCGGATACAAGGTACACAGCTCAGGCTTGGGATGTCAAGGAAAGCTTTCCAGAGAAAGTGACCCTTGAAGTATTTGTGAAGCACGTAAAAACATAAACAAAGGCTGGGCATGCAAGTCAGGGAAATACTTTGTGAAAATACATGAAGAAGCATTATGTGAAAATACATAGCAAGAACATGAAGTGGCAAAGAATTGCAAGTTCTTAGTGTGTGACTGCTATGGAGATTGAGAGAGAGAGAGAGAGAGAGGGAGGGAGGGAAGGAAAATGAAGCTGAAAGCTAGAGTAGTAGGTAGGATCCATTCATAAAGGGCTGCCCTTGGATGCCAGCCTAAGGACATTGGACTTTCTGCTGAGTACAGCTGGCAGTCACTGAAGCACCCTAAGCATGTTATGGCAAATATAACATCATGAAAAGCCTTTCCATTAATCTGAAACTGAATAATTTTTCTGCATTTTAAGTCATTCTGTTTTCTTAGAAATAGTTAAATCTGTATGCTAGATATTTATAAAGACTTGCTGATGGTTTGATCTGGCTCTTGAAACTGATCTTTCATCTATTTTGACTTTCTAATGGAATGTGGAAATACCTAACTTTATCAGGAAGATTACCTTTTTAAAAAAATGCAAAGGGAAGCTACATATATTTGGTTTGGATCAGCATATGGGAACTTCAAAAAGAAGTAATACTCTCTAATTTAAACTGTGAAATGCATTGCTAGGTAACATTGTGAAATGCATTGCTAGGTAACGGAGTCAAATGCAGAAAAGCAGCATGGTGGAAATGATTCCAGATGCTCCCACTTCCTTCAGAGACCCAATTAAGATGAAACCTCATTGTCCATTTGCTTTCTGTGAGTCATAAAAGGGAAAATTTTGAATTTTAAAGACAATTCAGGGCTTCTGATTTTTATCTTAATTGAATTAAAGAATGGAGATTGAATTAGATTTATTAAAAAGAAAATCACCCCAATCATTGAAAACACTTTTGAGTTTTCAGAGTAATAAGTAAGTAATATGCTACATATTGGTTACTCAGCATCTCTCCAATGTTGTTTTCCTCTTATCTCAAATTTCTCCTTTTGGAATTTTTTTTTTTAGATATATGTGTTTCCTGTGGAATTACCATGTCTCTTAAATGTCTCTGCACATTTCTGGTCTCACTATGATGTATTCTGGGTATTTTTCTAAGATCTTTCTTCTAGTTGACTAATTCTTTCTTCAGCTATATCTACTCTTCAGTGTATTCATCTGTTCAGTTTTTAATTCATTGACTTGGCTTTTTATTTTTAGAAGTTATATATAGTTTGAATATTTTCATATTTTATTCCTTCATTATGCTTTCTATTTCTTCATTTATCTCTTCAAAGATTTTAAGAATGCTATATGAGACTTTTTTTTATTACCTCAAACTCTTAGGATACCAGCTCACATGTTTGTAGTAATCACTGATTTTCCTCCTACTAGATTGTTTCTTCAGATGGCTTGAAATGTTTGTATTATGAACTCAATTTTAGCTTGGGTACCGAGTTATGAAACTATTCCCTCAGAGCAGATTTTTATTTCTTCTGCCAAGGGTCCTGTGATTTTTTATTTTCTCAGCTTCTGATTCTCGCACCTATCAGATAGTCTAAATTTCGATCTCATATGTGAACATGGGATTTTGATTTATCATAGGAGGCTCTCCCTCCTATTCAGAATTCTAAGTAGAAGACAGGCTTCATCACTGCTTCCCTAGACCAATGAGTAGAATTATTCTAGTTGCCTTTGTGAAAAGAGGTAGTCTTTCTACGGTCCTGGATTTATGCTAGAATCTTAGTTTAATTCTCCATTCCCAGATGGGAACAAGGCTGTGTCCTCTCTCTGTGAGGGTATAACTGGACCCACTAAACCATAAGTTCTGTATCTACTCTACACATCTCTGGGCCTTCTTTGGGTCATCTCACTAGTTTACTATGCTAGCTGAGTTCCCTTTTTATTTCTAGAACCTGTTATTTTCTTTCCTTTATTTTGAACCTGGAAAAGCATTAAAAATATTTATTTGCCATGTTTTTAATCAATTCTATTTTTTTTTGTATTTTGGGTGGAAGAATGGACTGCATCAGTTAACTTGGACATACCATCAGAAGTTAATGTTATTAATTTTCATATCTTTCTCAAAGTAATGTCCTTAGAGAATCTGTATCAGAATCCCCCTGGCTACTCATTAAGAATGTAGATTCTTGGGTTTTATATATGTTTTATTGAATCAAAATCTGTGGAGACGATGCTGGAGAATATTCATTTTAAACAAAGCCTACAAAGTAAGTGTAGTTAACTAGTACAAGGTTGCAGGATATGAGATCTATACAGAGGACTGAAATTTTAAAAGGTAGTATCACTTACAATAACATTGAGAAATATAAAATAATTAGAGATAAATTTGACAAAATGTATACAAGACCCATATACTGAAAACTATGAAAGATTAATGAGAGAAATTAAAGACCTAAACAAATAGAAAAATATAGCTTGTTCATAGATTGGTAAATTCAATATGGCTATTCAATAATATCTTAATGACATCTTAATGCCATTTCTCCCCCAAATTCATCTATAGATTTAATTGAAATCAAAATTAAAATCCAAGATGGTTTTTTTGTAGAAATTGACAAGCTGATTCTAAAATTCACATGGAAATGCAAACAACCTAGAATAGCTGAAACAACTTTGGAAAAGAAGAATAAAATGAAAGGACTCCTACTACCAGAGTTCAAGATGATTTTTAAGCTACCATAATCAAGATAATCCAGGATAATCTCCCCATTTCAAAACTCTTAATCACATCTTTTGACTTATAAGGTAATATTTACAGATTCAGGAATGAGGATGTGAATATCTTTGGGGGCCATTATTCAGCCTGCCATAGATCTCATGTGGATTTCCAGCTGTTTTAGCTCTTTACACTAAATGATCCATCTTTTCTCACTGATATTCAACATCAGCTCTCTCATAAATCAAATTTACATAATAATTTTATGTTCACATTATAGTATATGAACGCATTTGTATATAAACACAAAGACACTTGCAGATTAATCTTATTTGTGTCTCAATAATTCAGTAAGGTAGGCTGGAATTATTATCTTTATTTTACAGATGAGAAGGCTAAAGCTTAGAGAATTTAGGTGAGTTTATCTGTGGGGCTTCTTAATCCAAGATTTGAATTCTAGGTTGTGACAGTCCTGGTCCCTGTCCTGTACCACACTACCCCATAAAGACATGGTTCCGCTGAAATAGTGCAACCCATATTCCATTCTTGTAACTCTCAGAAACAGTCAGGTTCCCAGCCCATCCAGAAACTCTATCCAGTTTTTCTAAAACATTTTAAAACACCTATATAACAACTCATCAAAGATTCCTGTATAACACAAGGCATTTAATATATTCAAATTACCTCTATAATGCTTAAATAAGTAAGTATATAAATGGGTGTATTGGTTTGTAGCATGTAAAGATACTGTACAATTTTAGACATGAATTACATTTTCTTTCTGCACAGCTGTAAACATGAACTGTAATACAAACAATAAAATAAGTATTAAAGATTCTAAAAGTCTAGGATCTAAAGATTTTGTCTAAATTATTCCCTGGTTGGTAGTTGCCCTCAGTACCTGGCAGAAACAAATTCTAGGACCCATGAAAGACTAAACCATCAGGGAAATTGTGGGAAGATGAGCTGATAATGCATAACACATTTTAAAGAGGAAAGCACGAAACAAATCTGTCTTGTCAGAACAGCTGAAGGTCGGGCTGTAACACACAATACATTTTACTGCTGAAACTCAAGCAAACATAAATGTTTTTGCTGGCACATGCATACATTCATATCATACTTATAATATTGTTTTCATTTAGATAATGAATTTAGGTAAAACAACTTACATCATATTATTATTAAATGTGAAAATTCTGATAATGAGCTTTGGGGTTCCAAGAAATACCCATATAATAAACAATTTTGTGCACACAAACACACAACAAAATGTATTAGTTAACATTTCAGCAAGTTTTGTGTTTTTAAAATTTATATTGAAATTACACAAAATAATATTTGTATTATATAGTTAAGATATAAGGAATAATAGTAAGATAAACAACTGTGAACCTGTCACCCACGTTAAGAAATGGGACTCTACCATATTTTAGAATATCTGTGTCCTTCTGTTTCCTGCAGAGAGGTAACTATCCATTTAAAATTTTGTGTAGTCAGTTAATCATTTCCTTGGTTTTCTTCATACTGCTTTTTAGCCATATGTGGGTATAACCCATAACAATATATAACTTATTTTTGCATATTTCAAACTTTACATAAATATTATGATACTATATTTGTTTTGCTGAGATTCACTCATGTCATGCATGAGACTCTAGTTTAACAGTTAATATTCTATTATTTGAATATATAAAAATTCCTATCCAGTTGGACATTTGTGTTGTTTCTAACTTAATGCTGTTATGCTATTGAGAATAATGCTCTTATGAACAGTCTTGAACATGTTTTCAGGTACATGGTGCCAAATTTTTCTAGGATATATCCCCAGGAGTGGCAACTCCAGGACATACAGGATGTATACACTCAGGTTTACTAGGTAATCAGACTTCTCCAAAGGGGTTGTGCCAGTCTACTTTCCTACCTGCAGGAGATGTGCCTATAACCTTACTCCATAACCTTGACTTCTCTTAGTATTGATCAACTTTTAAAATTTTGCTCCTCCACTAGTTGTGAAATGGAATCTCACTGTGGCTTTGATTAATATTTCTGCAATTATGAATTTCATTATGTTAATGAAAATAGCATGTTATATTGGCTGGCCATTTGTGTTTCATCTCCTGTGAAATTCGTATTTGGCCTTTGCCCATTTTTCTATTGTGTTGTCTTTGTATTGTTGATTCATAGGGGCTTTTGATGTATTTGGGATGTAACTGGCTTGATATGTCCTGCAAATATCTTCTCCTAGTTTGTGTCTTGTCCGTTCACTCTCATTAAGGTGATTTTAGTGAACAAGAGTTTTAATGTAATTGCATTTGATAATCTTTTATTTTATAATTTGCTCACTTTTATTGTTAAAATCCCTTTCTCTACACCAAGTTGGTAAAGAGATCATTCTATATTTCTTTCTAAAAAGTTTCATAGTTTACCATCACATTGATCCAACTTGAGTTGACTTTTGTGTAGAGTAGATGGGAGGGACTCTGTGTCAGTTTGTTATTGCTGCTGAAACAAGTTACGAGTTACTTAGTGACTTAAAACAACACACATTTATTCTCTTACAGTTCTGGAATTCAGAAGTCTGAAATCAGTTTCACTGAGCTAAAATCAGGTGTCAACAGGGCTGGTTCCTTTTGGAGATTCCTGGGAAAAATTTGTTCCTTACTTTTTCCAGCTTTTAAAGTTGCCAGCATTCCATGGCTTGTGGTTGCATCACTCTAATCTGGTTGCATCATTGCATTGTCTTTTCATCTTCTGTGTCAAGCTTCCCTCTGCTTTCCTCTTAAGGACATTTGTGATTATATTAGGGCCCACCAAGATAGTCTAGGATAATCTCCCCATGTCTAAATTATTAATTTAATTACCTCTTTTGACATATAAGGCAACATTCACCCTTTTGCCATATAAGGCAATATTTAGATTCAGGAGTGAGAATGTAAATATCTTTGGAGGGCATTATTCAGCCTACCGCAGATCCCATGTGGATATCAGCTGATTTAGCTCCCTACACTATGTAGCCATCTTTCCTCA
Organism: Homo sapiens; assembly: GCF_000001405.40. Lineage (NCBI taxonomy): Eukaryota > Metazoa > Chordata > Mammalia > Primates > Hominidae > Homo > Homo sapiens. The sequence goes on along the minus strand of NC_000016.10, from coordinate 71,100,636 downwards.
CTGATATTCAACACCTACTCTGATATAAATCAAATTCACATGTATTTGTGCATCTATTCTGAGTTTCTCTTCTGTTTCCTTTGTCATTTTGCACTTTCTGCCCCAGTACCACACTATGTTAATTACAGTAGCTTTCCACTAGATTTGAGTTTATGAAAGGGCAAGTTCTCCCAATTTGTTTTTCCTTCGGCATGTCTTCTTTTTATTGGCCCTTTGATTTTCCATTTAAATTTTAAAATCAACCCACCACACTCCACCAAATTCTACCTGCTGGCGTTTTGTTTAGCAGTACATTGAATTTATAGATATAAATCTGTTGGGAGAAAATGGACACTCTCGATGACATTGAATCTTCCTTTTCAAGAATATAGTCTAGTTCTCTATTTATTCATTCATTTATTTAAATCCTTGTTAATGTCTTCCCATAAAGTTTTACAACTTTTGCTTTGAAGTTTTCAAGTATGTTTTGTTGATTTATTTTTACGTACCTTATATTTTTGTTGCTATTATAAATAGAACCTTGAAAACTAAATTTTTCTGACTGTTGCTGGATATAGAAATACAGTTGACCTTCGTAAATGTTTGCTAATCCTGAATCTTACTCTCTTGTTTATTTTATTTTATTTATTTTTTGAGACCACTTCTTGCTCTGTTGCCCAGGCTGGAGTGCAAGTGATGTGATCATAGCTCACTGCAGCCTTGAACTCCTGGGCTCAAGTGATCCTCTTGCCTCAGCCTCCCAAATAGCTGGGACTACAGGCTCACTCCATGATGCCTGGCTAACTTTTTTAAAAAGTTGTAGAGACGAGGTCTTGCTATGTTGCCCAGGCTGATCTTGAACTCCTGGCCTCAATTGTTCCTCCTACCTTGTCCTCTCAAAGCACTAGGATTACAGGCATGAGCCATCATACACAGTCCCTCTCTTATTAATTTTAAAAATTTATTTATAAATTCTTTTTTATTTTCCAGGTTGACAGTCTTAATATGAGTGAATAATGTCTGTTTATTCTTCTATTTATACTTTTTTCCTCTGAATTTTTTCTTACTGCACAGGAATGGAACTCAAGTATAATATGGAACATCTAGGATATCTTAGATGGTATTTTAGTCTGTTCAGGCTGCTATAATAAAATGCCATAAACTTGGTGGTTTATGAAAAACAGAAATTTATCCAACACAATTCTGGAGGCTGGAGAATCCAAGATCAAGGCACCAGCAGATGGTGGAAGGTGCAGACGAGCTTGCTGAGGCAGCTTTTATAAGGCACTAATCCCATTCTTAAGGGCTACACCCTCATGATCATAACACCTCCTAAAGGCCTCACGTCTTAATGCCATCATCTTGGGAGTTAAGATTTCAACATATGAATTTGGGGTTCAGGGGACGCTAACATTCAGACCATAGCAGATGGAAAGTTTTTGAAAGCCCATGGTTTGCATTTCCTGGTACATAATGCAATGGGATCTGTTGCATCTGGGGACTTCAGGGTCATTAAAGGGGTTCTGTAGTGCATCTCCCTACTTCTCATGTGTGAAATCAGAACACTGCAGTCATAGATGAGGACTGCTCTATGTTTTAAAATATTTTGGTCTTTTAATAAGGAGTCTGCCCTTAAAGTTTACTAGTTCCTCCATGCTTGTATCTCTTGCTGCCTTTTGCCAAGACAAGAAAAATATCTGCTTAGAAAATCTTGTGGAAAAGTAGCATTTGTAATGTGACCCTAAAATTTATACTAACACTTAGAAACTCAAGGCTGGGCATTACTTGTACTCCTGTTCTGGGTGAGGGGAGTGGCTAGCAACAAATAAGACAAACTCCTTTGAAGTAATTAATAACTACCAAAGAAACATTGGCTCACTGCTTTATTACAACACATCTCCTTTTTTTTTTTTTTTTTTTTTTTAAGAAAGGCAGTCAAGGTAACAGATGGAGAAAGTTTTAGGCCTGACAGTTATAAATAGTCCTGCAGTTTATTCCATGATATATTTGCAATTCTCTTTCTTTGCCATTCTGAAAGTTGGATCTCAATCAAAATACTTTTCTCTTGACCAAAGAGTGTAAATTATTCCCAATAGTCTAGACCTCAAAAATAATAGAGTAGGGTAATGCAGTTTGGGCCCTTTGAAAGTTTTATTGGCCGGGCGCGGTGGCTCACGCCTGTAATCCCAGCACTTTGGGAGGCTGAGGCGGGCGGATCTTGAGGTTGGGAGATCGAGACCATCCTGGCTAACACGGTGAAGCCCCGTTTCTACTAAAAATACAAAAATATTAGCCGGGCGTGGTGGCGGGCGTCTGTAGTCCCAGCTACTCAGGAGGCTGAGGCAGGAGAATGGCGTGAACCTGGGAGGCGGAGCTTGCAGTGAGCCGAGATCGCACCACTGCACTCCAGCCTGGGTGACAGAGCGAGACTCCATCTCAAAAAAAAAAAAAAAAGAAAGAAAGTTTTATCTATAGTTTAGAGTATTGCCACAACTAACACCTGATCTTTAGAGGACCCTCTTTTCCAGGGATCGGATGGAGCAGGGGAACCCTTTGAATAAATCAGTCATCCTAAGTATGGCCTTTGCTTCTTATAATCAAAGTAATGCTTGTCTAATGACCACTGTGTTGCCAAGCACTAGAAAGAACAAAAGGACAAGTATTCTGTCTTTAACGGACATTTAACGGGGAAAAAGCATTAAAGATACAAAAGCTAAACAGCAACAGAAGACAGTGGAACATAAAATGTCACAAGGTGTTAAAATGATGATAATGAATTAGAAATATCACTTGGCTGTTCTAAGCATACTTTCTGTAATACTGAAAACTACATCAACGAAGCATCAAAAGTATTTTGAACGTTCAAAATGTCCATACAGAGCAAATATATCCTCTTTCCTTAGAGAACTTGAAATTATATGGTATACATTTAAGGAAAACCATTGAACTATCAAAGATTTTCAAAGTGGTGATATCCCCACTGCTGGGGAGAATGTGGAGAGAAAGAACCCGTAAATACTACAGATGTTTGTGTGGAATTAGCACAACCATTCTTGAGAGCAGTATGGCTATAGCTGTCACAATGTCAAATGTGCATCCCTTTGTTCTGGAAATGTTTCATAAATGATAAGCTGAGTAATGTGAATTAACTCTTTCTCTCTAAGAACACCTAGGAAAGCAAGGCAAAATATTTTTTAGAGTCTGTTTTTTAAGGCAAGAGAGAACTACTGGAACATGGGGCCAAGATCCAAGAGAAGGAAATCAAGACCGTCAGACTTTGGGGGCCACTTTATCCTTAAAGACACTGCCTTTTTGGTAAAAACTGCAGAGAGGCCAAAAAGATAAGTAAGGTTAAAGAAGAAAACAAAAGTCCGTGGTATGTCCCAGGAGGAAAGGCCCTAGTAATCTAATCCCCCAGACTTTAGAGTAGGACCCAGTGAATTAGAAATGGGCCAGTCCTCAAAGAGACTGAAGTTCAGCTTTGAATCATTGTTGTTATTGGTTTAATTTCAAACAGTTTTCCACTGGAGATCCAGAAGATAATTAATCCCTAGCGTTCTAAGGTGTCTATTGTTTATGAGGAATTAATTTATCTCTGTTGTACCTAGGATGATGCTAGCTACCTACCCTTCTTGGGAGAGTTGAGAAAATAATCACTCAAATGATTTGCTGCGGGGCTTAATTCTCTCACAAAACCTTAGCTGAGAACAGCTAAATTAGGTTGTCTGGGATTACTAATGCCCCCCAGTCGCCAGCTAGAAGCCGGAGGGAGTTATCTTCTTGTGGCTTTAAATTATGTCTATAACTTTTATATATACTGATCAGCACTCAATCAAAAAATGACCAAGCACATGAGGAGGTAAGACAATCTGCTAGAAAACCAGAGTAAACAATAGAAACAAACCCAGGAGAACCAGATCATAGAATTATCAGACACAGATTTTAAAAATGTTTTTATCAAAATTAAGCAGAGATCTGAAAACTAGAAACATTCTAATGAAAAGTCTAGAACTAAGAAGTTATAATAACAAATTAAAAACTCAGTGGATGAATTTAACCGCTTGTTAGGTATAGCCAGAGAGATTTTGTAAAGTGGAAATTAGATAAATCAAATAAAATATCTGAAAATACTGAAGCATGCAGAGACAAAATATAGAAAAAGAACACACACACACACACAAAAGACAGAGAGGTGAAAAGTGGAGAAGAAACAATATTTGAAAAGATAATGACTCAAAATTTTTCAGAATTGATGAAAGACAATTATTCACATATTCAATAAGTGCTACAAGCCCCTGAAAGGATAAATGCAACCATGCCTAGGAACATTATAGTAAAATCACTGAAAGCTAAAGACAAAAATAAATAAATATGTGTGCATAAAAATTAAATCTATCAGAAGACAAGATAGATTGTTTCAATTGAGCAATAAGAGTATGAGCTGACTTCTCAACAGAAACAGTGGAAAGCTATAATATCTTCAAAGTGCTGGAAGAAAATATGGAAAAATTGTTCACGGATACATGTTCGATAATAGTAATTACACTACAAATTGTAATGAAAGGTTGGAAGCCACTTAAATGTCCAATAAGAGTTTTAAACATATTTGCCTCCCAACAGTGGACCATATAACCATTAAGAAGAATAAGGGAGATCTTTAGGTATGATATGTTAATGATATGTTAAAATGTTCCAAAGGTATTATTAAATGAAAAAAAGCAGGTTGCAAAATAACATAGTATACATTCCCATTTGCATTAGCAGTATTGTGATACAATTAAATATAAAAGGATAGGCACCAAAATGTTAACAGTAGTTATCTTTGGATGATGCAATTATAAGATAATTTTATTCATATTCTCTTTAAATTTTGTAATGATCACGTATTATCGAACAAAGATAGTTTCATTTTAAAAAGGGGGAACAAAACCAGTCAGTACTTCAAAGGTTGTGTGCTCTGTATTGACCGTGAGTTCATTGTAGAATTGTTATAACGGATATTGTTAAGTGCATTTCATTATCTCTACATGGAAGAAATTCAGCAAAAGTAAGCATCGGGTAAGATCCCTAGACTCAGATCCCTAATATTCTGGATCTTCCGAAATCTAAGGAAGATCAATGTGAATAATGTCCCTTGGAGCCCCAGGTTGGCTCTCATTTTATGAGAAGCATCAATCAATGGTCACCCTTCTCTGATTTAGAATTACTTTTCTTTGTAAGAAACTTTGGAATAATGTTAAGAATTGGGTTAAAATTTTTAATTTTTTTCCTGCTAAAATGTAAATTGCAATACAGTCTGCTCCCTAAAGATAAGAAACTAGCAGTATTCTTATTTTCTTAAAACATTTGGATCACAATACCAAAAGACACAATTTAAAATGCCATAATCCCGAATCTTGAGTTCCTGAAAGATCAAAACCCCTAAGGATCAAAATCCCTAAAGTCTAACATCCCTGGTGTCTAAAATCCCAAAAATCACAGTCCTGAAAGATTAAAATCCCAAATGTTGAAATCCTGAAAACCAAAGTCTAGGGAAGCGATTAGTGTGTTTTCAGCTGCACACAGGATAGTTGCATTATGCTGATTGTACCATGTTAGGTGGAACTATTACCTTGTCTTTACTGGGAAATTTAGTATGGTTTAACACATGGGTGCCAGGTTGACAAGGGATGGGCTTGTGGACTTCATTTTAGATGTCAACTTGACCAGTAAAAACTGGTGGAAACCTGGTAAAGCATAATTTTGGGTATATCTGTGAGTGTTTCCAGAGGAGATTTGTGTGTAAGTCTGAGTGGACTTGATGGGGAAAATCTGCCCTCATTGCTGACAGGCCCCATCCAACCAGCCAGGGACTTGGGAGAGAACAAATACAGAAGGCACATTGGTTTGTCTCTGAGAGCTGGGACAGACTTTTCCTCTGCTGCCTTGGACATAGAAATTTGACTCCATGCAAGTGCATTATCACGACGTTGCCTTTGTGCGTAAGCATTGTGTGTGTACGTAAAAATGCTGACACTTCCTCAATACATGAAGAGATAGTCTTTTTGTAGATCTGAATTTGTGAGAGATAAAATTTCTGGAGATCTCAGCTCTTTGGGAAACTGCCTAAGTGGGGGTGACCCATCATGGTTTTTGATCTATCTTCTCAAAAGACTTAAGTTGTTCATATGGTATTTCAGGTGATCACAGTTATAAAGCTGGGTGTCTGCAGTTACCAACCATAATGACATGCATTTGTACTTTGCCCTTTTTCACCTATTCCTTTATAAATACAGCTTGTATGCTCATAACTGTTATACCCATGTGACTGTTGTTAGTCTACCTGTGTTTATGCTTGCAAAAATATGCATTCTATTATTGCCTATTTTATTGCATAAAGTGGCCTTTGAAGTGTTCTGTTGTGTTTTTATATGTTTCTCAAGTAAATCCCTCTTTAAAATGTAAATAAATATATTGTAAAGAATGTCTTTTGTTTTTCCAGAATTATATCTTTGGGATTTTGGTTTTTCACAATTTCGCCAGTCAGGATTTTGGCATTCAGGATTATGATTGGCTCCCATATAGGATGAATCTTCAGCGTTAGTTAAATTGCAGTTCCCTCGGTGCAATGCAGGGAGCTATTTAATAATTTTGATTATTTATATTGGTAACGTACATGAGGGAACATGATTTGGGGTAAATGAAGCACCATTTGGATGATAAAGTCTGAATTGTTTTTCTAGGCCGAGAAATCCGTCTGCCCCTCCGAATCAAAGGGGAAGGCATGGGACCTAAGATTCACTTCAACTTTGAATTGCTGGATATTGGGAAAGTTTTCACTGGATCTGCACATTGTTATGAGGTAAGCACTAGAGTTGTTCGTTGATACTTCAAACAGTACTTGGCTTTTGGGGTTTGTTTTATCTTATATGTTTTTATTTGATGGAAAGAGTATGCAATCACATTTATTCGCCGTTACTCATCCTTGTTGAGACCCTGGAGTGCTCAGATTCTTCCTCCTCCTGCCTGGCCATCATGAGGGGAACAACTTTTTTATCTTCATTAGCCCTCCTTCACTTTAGTGAAAGCTAAAAAGCATCAAAGCCATAGTTTCACTGGTTTTATCCTCATTGTTTTGTAGATTGCAAAGGGAAAACTCATAAATACATCTCCCCATCTGTTTAGTGCTTGTTCTCTGACAACATAAATTCCACAGATCAGAGGATAGATAACCTTTTACATTTTCTAGAACGTCCTAATGAGCATAGCTGTTTTCACATTTCAGAATTTTCTCTTAATGCACTAGTCTCCAATCCATGTTTTAAAAACCAATCAGTTTCTGGAAGAGACTTTCCTGCTTTATCTTTCCAATTAATTAGAAAATGAAATTTTACAGGATGTATGCATGAGTTATTCAGGATCAGTGTTTACTTCAGTGTCTCCCCATCACTAAATTTGTATCTAGGGCACATTTTTTACATTACATCAGACTGTAACCCTTGAAACTTCATTTTGGGAAAGTTCCTTCATTGTATATGTTTGTATTTTTATAGAGGTATTTTAAACAATTATTTAATGAGTGACAAATAGGTGCCAGATTCAGATTCATACTTTATTGTGTGTGCATGTCTATGTGTGTGTGTGTGTGTGATTTCTAATCCTTACCAAATTGTGAAAGTTAGGCTTTATTACATCTATTTTGCATATGAGAAATGTGGATCGTGTAGTAGTTAATATCATACACATCTCCCTTAATGTGTGTTGAGCACAGTGCTAGTGCTTTGACCTTCACTCGTTCATTTAGTCCTCACAAAAACCCAATTTGTATCCTAGCACTTTGGGAGGCCAAGGCAGTGGATCACTTGAGGTCAGGAGTTCAAGACCAGCCTGGCCAATATGGTGAAATTCAATCACTACTAAAAATACAAAAATTACCAGGGCATGTTGGCAGGCATCTGTAATCCCAACTACTTGGAAGACTGAAGCAGGAGAATCACTTGAACTCAGGAGGTGGAGGTTACAGTGAGCCAAGATCGCGCCACTGCACTCCAGCCTGGGCAACAGAGTGAGACTCTGTCTCAAAAAAAACAAAAAAACAAAAACCACCCCAAAACAATAAAAACCTATTTGTGAGAACTATTTGTGAGGTACGATTAACTATTTCCATTTCATAGCTGGGTAAACTGAGTCTTAGAGAAGTTAAGGTAGTGCTAGATATTGTAACAAACAAATACAAAAATACATAATGTCTCAAATATGCTAGAAGTTTCTTTTACACCTTACATAAAGTCCAAAACAAAGGTTTCTAGTGAGCAGGTGCTCTCTTCCAGCAGAGAAGCTGGAACGTCTCATGCTTGGCCACCCCTACCACGTGGTCTACAAGATTGTGGAAGGGGAAAGGGCATGGGGGAACGTATATGATATTTTTATAGATGGTAGCACATTTCACTTACATTCATATTCCATTAGCTGTCTGCACAGTAAAAGAGGAAGTGCATTCAAGGAACGGCAAACCTGAATGCCAGGGTAGTTAAGTAACTTGGCAGGGTCCTGCAGCATGTAATGTTAGTGAGTCCTGGGGGACTAGGGCTCTCTCTCCTGTTCTGGGAAAAGAAGGCCTTTGCTGGCCTCTCAACCCTTCAGGTTCTCAGCATCCCAACCTCTCACCTCGGGTAAACCCAGCCTCCAAACCACTTGGCTCTTAGCCCAGCCTAACCTGGTGTGGGGACAGTACCCTGCATCCCCCACATTCACAAAGTAACTGTGGCCTAAATGGGATGATGCAGAAGGTAAACAGAGATGGTAATGTCACAGTGAGATGGACTATGCATAGGAACCCTGTGTAAATGAAGAAGTCAGTCGCATGGCTGTCGTGAAATGACAAGTGACACAGCTATATCCCACACTGTCCTGGATTGCATTTGAGAGGTCACTTGGGGAGAAGGAAAAAAAGTCCAGTAGTTCTCATTAAACTGATATTCTGTCTGTAATTCATCCAGTGTGAATTTCCTGTATCTTACAGACTGAACTTATGAGTGCCACATCAGAAAAGAAGCTTTAGTTCTGATGCAAAATGGATAGGGTTTCCCTGAATGTAAATTTAGCAGAAGTGTACTTGAGGCCACCACTTCCCACCCTCCCTAATTTTAATAGTAAAGCAAACCACAGCCAGTTAAATAAGTGTTCAATGAGGTGATGCATCAGATTGGACAGTTTGGAGAGCTGTGCAGTGGCAGAGAAGGACACGGTAAGGTGCTTCTTATGGGAATATTTTGCACTGTCTGCGTATTTAATGCTGATGCTTCATTGCATCTCTCTTTCAATTTATTGCATTACCTACTTGAGACAAATTTGAATAACTAGCTATTGCCCTTAGTCATTGCTGAACATAGCAGATACATAAAGAATAAACCATTAACCCCAAGAGTATACCCTATTCCCCAGTGTAATTAAGAAGGAAAACAAATGAGAGGCAAAGTTTGATTATAAATTTTCTTCTCTCCAAGGAGCTAGACCTCAAGGGAAAGAGTATTATCGGTAATCAAAAGGCCTCTGAATTGTGTCCCAAAACTATTGCTGGTTTCTGTATTCGTAAGTAGGTGCTTATTTCTCAGGAGGAGAAGAATGATGTCATATTCTTAAAAATGGAGGAATTCTCACCATACAGAAAATATGGGCAAAACATTTCTGCTAACCAAAAAAACTAAAAGGCAATCCATGCATCTTCTGAAAGAGAAGAACAGGGTCCTCCAAGTTACCACTAATGCCTTCAATTTGCCTTCATGTTACCACTAGTACGTACTAGTCACTTCTTAAGCACAGGTAAAATTTAAACCCATTCTATTAGGCACTGGGGATATAAATAGCAGTCACTGACTACGTGTGGTGGCTCATGTCTGTAATTCCAGTGCTTTGGGAGGCTGAGGTGGAAGGATCGCTTGAGCCCAGGAGTTCAAGACCAGCCTGGGCAATACAGAAAGACCCCATCTCTACAAAAAAAAACCCACAAAAATTAGTTGGGTGTGGTGGCACATACCTATAGCCCCAGCTACTCAGAAGGCAGAGGCAGGACGATCACTTGAGCCTAGGAGTTCAAGGGTACAGTGAGCTATGATGGCGCCACTGCACTCCAGCCTGGACAACAGAGCCAGACCCTGTCTCTTAAAAAACAAAAAACAAACAAACAAACGAAAACATAACAGTCTCTGTCATTTTTAAGCACTATTTGCCAAGCACTATTCTAAAAATTACATAAATTAATAAATTTAATTTTACAGCAATATGAGAAGTTAGTAGTACTTACATTTTACACATGGGGAAACTGGAGCACAGAGAAACTAAGTAGATTGTCCAAGGTTACAGAGCTAGTAAGTCAATGGCAAAGCTGAGATTTGAACCCAGGCAGTTTGGCTTCAGAGTCGCTGGCCATAATCACTTTTCTACGTGGTCTCTTTAAACGCAATGAAGGGTGAAGCCTGGTTCCTGCTACCAGGGACCTTAGAATGAGGGAGATGCGAAAGAAACATAAAAAGATGAATAAAATAGCAAGCAGCAATTATTTATGCTTCTATTTTGGTGCATTGTCCGTCTTCTCTTGGCAGAAGAGGCTGTCTTCCTCTGCTCTGCCTCTGCTGCCGACTCTTTCTCTCCATCATATATTCTGGATGCCCTCTTCCCTGCAACCTGAGCCCCTGAACTCATCCTCCTCTGCCTCCACTCAGACCCCATTCCCTTAGTTACCAAGCTCTCTTCTCTTACAACAACAACAGGCAGCACTTGGGTGAGTGTTTCCTCTAGGCTGAGCACTGAATATGCATTATCTCATTTATTATAAATATGCTGTCTCCTCCACAGTACCTCCCCACAGTCTTGCCACTCCCATTCTCACCTTTCACCACTCATCTTCTCAAAACAGGAATCTAAAATAGTCAGCCACTATTTCCTGTACACCCACTCAATTCCCTAAATATTTGTCCTCTGGATTCTGCAGTCATGCCCCACTAGAATTACTCTCTTCCTCAAGGTCAGGGATGACAATAATCTCTAACTAAAAATAATGTCTGTAACCTTTGCTCCAGACTTACTCTCCTGACCTCTGTCTGCATCTGACTTCTTCTGGGAATCCTCCTCCCTCAGCTTCCGCGTTCCTGACACACGTCACATTTGCCTGCTAACCTTCTGAAAGTTTCTTTGAGATCTCTCATGCTCTTTGTCCTCCAAAGCCTTATGTGTAGGTTGAGGGTGGTTCCTATATAAATCAGGAAAACATGCTGTTCACCCTCTAGGTGTAAGGACAGCATTGGCAAGGATCAGAGGTGGTGTCTTTGGAAGCCAGGATAGAACAACATGGCTGTAGTGAAGGTTCATGCACAAGAATTGTAGGGACAGTAGACTGAGGCCTGCCTTGTAGGACGCCTAATATCACGAGTGTGCATGAAGGAGCTCAGGCATGAGCTCTTTACATGCACACACTAAACCCAGTGTGCAACCACCTATGGGCAATAACATGCTTCCAGAACACTAGAATATAGGAGTACAACTTTTCTATAGTAAAACAGTTGCTTGCATAAGAATCTCAAAACAATCATCCATCCAGTAGAATCTGAGATGAAAATGTCTCAATAGGATGAAATCTGATAGCACAACAAAGAGAACCCTTGTCATCTGGGATCCACAGTGATGTCTCATTTACATTCTTCAAGCTACATTATAAACATAGGTTTAGGTAATTCTCACTCTGCTATTCTAACTTGCTTTTTATTTTTAAGTATGCTGCTTAACCTCAGCCTTCTCATGCGTATAAGAGAAATACTTACTTTCCCTTGGTTACTTTATAGAGAGTAGCAAAAAAGGGAGTATTTTAAGGCTCTTCATCAGTATATGTGATTATGATCAGTCTTTATAGCACGAGCATAATATATATGACTAATTTCATGTTAAAGAGGAGACTAAAAATGTAAAATTACTTTCTGGCTTGGGAGTTCTATCTTCAAACACTCAAGGCATCAGACTGTTCATTTGTCCCTGAGTGTTCTTCTTTGGTTCTAATTCTGCAACTTTCCCTTTGTTGCTGTTAAACAGTACAGACACATGCTTATATGAAAATAGGTCAGAGGCCCATTGACCTTCACATTCTTGCCTTTTATTGATATAGGCGATACTGTACAACAAAGGCAGCATCGATGCTCTCTTCAACATGACCCCTCCAACTTCAGCTTTGGGGGCCTGCTTTGTTTTCAGTCCCAAGGAAGGCATCATTGAACCAAGTGGAGTCCAAGCTATCCAGATCTCCTTCAGCTCTACCATCCTGGGAAACTTTGAAGAAGAGTTCCTGGTCAATGTCAATGGGTCACCTGAGCCTGTGAAACTGACCATTAGGTAAGGTACATTTATAATGAATGTAGAAACTAACAGAAGTTTTAACCTATTGCCTTTTTAGCTTTTTAAGTAGATCCTGTCTTGGATGCTGATGACTATCTTTGTTGATATGAACACATCAGCATAATAGAGTGTGTTAAATTTCCATCAGTGTTTCCCTAGTGAGCATGTATAAGTTATTATAGATACAGATGCTGTTTGGAGATCTAGTTTTTCTACAAGTTATAGTCTTATAAAATAAGGATTTAGACATTAAACTAGCTTCTAGTTACTCTCTATGTCTTAGGATGTTTAGAGAAAATAAGTTATTACAGTAACACCTGAATAAAATCATCTGGGCTAAGCTTTGGCCATTATCACAGTTTCTCTAAACTTTTGTCTTTTGTTCTTATTTTAAGGAAATTACTTACATGATCTCACTATTATGTCTCCAAGCATTGTAAACACGTTGCTCTGACTCTATTTGGATTCCCACAGCAGCAGGTTGTTAATTACCATGGCAGTTTCTCTTATTCTGGTAACTGCTAGCAAGACCTCCCTCCATCTACAAGCTGAGGTCTCCCTTGGGGCAAGCCCTGGGGATAACATAGAAAAGAGATAGAGACATATGACCTGAAGGATCCAAGGAAAATGTACTGATCTCATGATATATACTATACATTCAGAATCTCAAGATTAGCTGAAAGGTGATTACTATTTATTCTCAACTCTTCCACCTCAGTGTCCCTGTTATGCACTGAATTGTTTCCCGCAGAATTTATATGTTGAAGTCCTAACACCCAGTACCTCGGAATGTAACTCTTCTTGGACATAGGGCCTTTAAAGAGGTAATTAAGGCAAAATGAGGTCAGATGGGTGGGCTTTAATCCAATATGATTGGTGTCCTTATAAGGAGAGGACATTAGGACACAGACATACACATAGAAAAGGGCCATGTGAAAAAATAAAGAGAAGCTGAAGCGAGAGACCCTCAGAAAAAAATAACCCTGCAATCACCAACCCTTCTGACAGCAACAGAAATAAACTTCTGTTGTTTAAGCCACCCAGTCTAGGGTACTTTGTTATGGCAGCCCTAGCAAAGTCATACAACCCCCAACAACTAAGGAGAGTGAACGTGTGTGCCTCAAGGGTTCTGTGGCATGACCAAAGCAGCCTGTCACAAACATAATCTTTTTTATTTTTAAGTCTCAAGACTTATCTGAAACATTCACAAGACATTTACGTTCTCTTCCATAATACATGTGTGTTTGTTATAAGAGAAAAATGAGGGTTGTTTTCCAAATATTTGAATAACATTGACTCTTCACGAATATGTGCCGTGCTTATCCCAGCCCATGGTTAACATCCTTTGGGTATGTATACAACATGAGAAGGGTGGGAATACACTTTCATTTATATGAACTTCAGCCCACTTCCTACCTTCATAACATCTCATCTCTCATGACAAGCAGTGAAGGGTGGTTCTCTGAAGAAGTAGGAAGAACAAACTTGTGAATATAACCTTGTCTCCAATTCACGGATCCTCTAGTCCCATGAGGGCCTTTGATAAGATCCAGCAGATCAACTCTTGGAAGCTGACTACTGGGCATCAGGAAGTATTGCTCTGAGTCATAAGCACCCTTGACAACATCCAGTATCATAAGCAAGCCTTCATACGTAAGCAGCAAAGATAAAACCTTTAAGCTCTGCTCTAAAAACATTTAAGATAGAAGGAATAATGGCCCTATCTGTAGGAAGGAAAGTATAGGATATTAAAGGAGCAGTTTTACTTTTCAGGTAGATGAAAGAAAGGGAAAGTGCTAGCCAAGGAAGGCTAACTGCCCCTCAAGTTTAATAAGAAAGCCCATCCCAATTTCACCTGGCCATTCCCCATTTTAAGTTCAGGCCTAATAATACTGTGTCTTACCATCAACATACATAGCTACCCCTTTTAGGAATAAATATGTATTTTGGATATTTGTTAAATAAACTCTTATTGAGTACCTCCTTCAAGCAAGGTTGTATATTAGGTGCAAGAACTCATGTATTTGGGTTTCTTAGACATTCCTGATGCATGAATACTACTGCCCTCACTTTTGACTCTGAATTATTTACCCAAATTCAGGATTGCCCATTCTTTAAACTATTCCCTAAAGAAACTTAAAAATACAGTAAAAGAAATAACAAAGGAATTCAAAAGGGTAGAAAATATCCATTTAACACAAAGAAAGGCAGTAATGGAGGAATAGAGGAACAGAAAAGACATGAGACATATAGAAAATAAGTAGCATGAGTCCTGCCCTATCAACAATTACATTAAATGTCAATGTATTAAATACTTCAATTAAAAGTTAGAGAATGGCAGAATGGATTAGAACAAAACAAACAACCCCGCCAAAAATCTATATCTTTTTGCTTTTTACAAGATATCTATCTTGTATCTATATGCTTTTTACAAGATACCACACTTTAGATTTAAAGATATGAATAGGTTGAAACCAAAAGGATGGAAATATATACACCATGCAAACAGTACCAAAAGAAAGCTGGAGAGTCTATGTTATATCAGACAAAATAGACTTTAAAATAAAAATTGTTATTCAAGACAAAGAAGGGCATTTTACAATGATAAGATAGTGAGTTCATCAAAAAGATATGGCAATTATAAACACACATCTGATAACAGAGCACCAAAATATGTGAAGTGCAGACAGATAGAATTGAAGGGAGAAATACACAATTCAGCAAAATAGTAGGGGATGTCAATACCCCACTTTCAATAATAAAAAACTAAGCAGAAGATCACAAAGGAAATAGAAGAGTTGAACACTATAAACCACCTAGACCTAACAGACATCTACAGCACACTCTACCCAACAGGAATAAAAGAAAGGACATTACTACCAACCTTACAGAAATTAAAAGGATTAGTGGATAATGCTATGAACAATTGTATGCCAAAAATTAGATAATGTAGATGATATGAACAAATTCCTAGAAAGACACGAACTACCAAAACTGACTCAAGAAGAAATAGAAAATCTGAATAGACCTGTAATATATTCCAACCAAAAAACAAACAAACAAAAAACAAGATCAAGTGGCTTCACTGGTAAATTCTACTGAATGTTTAATGAAGAATTGTCATAAATCTTTCACAAACTCTTCCAAAAAATAAGAAGGTGGGAACACTTTTCAACTCATTTTATGAGGCCAGTATTACCCTGATACCAAAACCAAATGAAAACATTACAAGAAAAGAAAGCTAAAAACCCATAACCTTTATGGATTTAGACCCAAAAATCTTTGACAAAATACTAGCAAACCAAATCCAGCAACATGTGGAAAGGATTATACCCCATGACGAAGTGGGATTTATCCTGAATGATGAAAGGTTGGCTTAACATAAGAAAATCAATCAATGTAATAGAACATATTAATAAGAATAAAGGACAAAAACCACATGATTATTTCAGTAAACACAGAAAAAGCATTTACCAAAATTTAGCACCCTTTTATGATTAAAAAAAAAAAGTAACAAACTAGGAGTAGAAGGGAACTGCCTCTACATGGATCAAAGACTGAAATGTAAGGGCTGAAACTATAAAACTGTTAGAAGACAACATATGGATAGGCCCGGTGTGGTGGCTCATGCCTGTAATCTCAGCACTTTGGGAGGCTGAGGCAGGCAGATTACCTGAGGCCAGGAGTTCGAGACCAGCCTGGCCAACATGGTGAAACCCTGTCTCTACTAAAAATACAAAAAAATTAACTGGGCATGGTGATGCATGCCTGTAATTCCAGCTACTTGAGAGGCTGAGGCAGGAGAATCACTTGAACCCAGGAGGCGGAGATTGCAGTGAGCGGAGATTGTGCCACTGCACTGCAGCCTGGGTGACAGAGTGAGACTCTGTCTCAAAAACAAACAAACAAAAAGATAGGGTTAAATATCCATATCCAAAAACCAAATAAGCAATAGTTTTCAGATAATCAGCATCTAAGCACAAGCAACCAAAGAAAAAATAAATAAATTAGACTTCATCAGAATGTAAAAAAGTTTGTGCTTCAAAGGGGATACTGTCAAGAAAGTGAAAAGACAACCTTCACAATGGGAGAAAGTATGTGCAACTCATATATCTGATAAGGGACAATAAATTATTGGACAATTATAACTCAATAAATAATTCAATTTAAAAATGGACAAAGCGTTTAAGCAGACATTTCTCAAAGAAGATATACAAGAGGCCAATAACACATGAAAAGACTGTCAATATCATTAATCCTCAGGGAGATGTAAATCAAAACCCCACAATGAGATACTACTTCACACTCACTTGGATGGCTATAATCTTAAAATGGAAAATACAGTAGTTTCCCTTTATCTGCATTTTTAGGCCCCAAAGCGCAAAAGTAAAATTAGGGTTACTCAGACACAAGCACTGCAATACTGTGGCAGTTGATCTGATAACCAAGACAGCTACTAAGTGACTAAAGAGCGGGTAGCATATGCAGCATCGATACACTGGACAAAAGGGTGACTCATGACCTCGGCTGGACAGAGAGTGGATGACACAAGACTTCATCACACTACGCAAAGTGGCAGGCACTTAACAATGTATGACTGATTTGTTTCTGGAAATTTTTTATTTAATATTTTTGGACCGTGTTGACCATAAGTAACTGAAACAACAGAAAATCAAAACTACAGATAAGGAACTACTGTAAGTATTGGTGAAAAGGTGGAGGAATGAGAACTCCCATACACTGGTAATTAGGAATGTAAGACATGGCAGCCACTTTAGAAAATGATTTATCAGCACCTCAAACATGTAAACACTGAGTTACCATATGACCAGCAATTCCACTCCTAGGTATATACCCAAGAGGAATGAAAGCATATATCCACACAAAAACTTGTACATGAATGTTTATAACAGTATCATTCATAGTAGCCAAAGATAAATGAAATGTGTTATATCTATACAATGGAATACTATTTGACCATAAAAAGGAATGAAAAAAAATGGAGCACTGATAGATGCTACAACATGGTAGCATGAATGAACCTTGCTACCACGGTCTTTTGTGACTAGCTTCTTTCACTTGTCATAATGATTTCAAGGTTCAGCCATAATGACACCATTATAAACCTTGAAAATAAGGTTCATCCATTATGAACCTTGAAAACATTATGAAAGAACCCGGTCACGAAAGACCACATTACATGATTCCATTTATATGAAATGGTTAAAGTAGGCAAATCTATATAGATCTGAGGTAGATTAGTGGTTGCTTAGGGCTGGAGGGTGCAGGATAGTGGGTGACAGCTAAAGGGCATGAGGTTTCTTTTTGAGGTGATAAAAACGTTTTCAAATTGACTGTAGTGATGGTTGCATATATTTGTGAATATACAAAAAACATTGATTTGTACACTTTAAATGTGTGAATTGTATGATGTGTGAATTATATCTCAATGAAGCTGTCATTTAAAAAAAAATTCCAGGAGGCTGTAATAGTGAATAATACTTCTGTAATTTCCTGGGTGAATTTTTTAAATCTCTGATCTGTTCTCCTAAAGATCCCAGAGTAGTCGTGCATGTCACTTGCAATGTCTAAATAGGTTAAGGTGTACTTGGGTTTTCCATTGGGAATAATAGGATTTAGGGATCTCCCAGGAATCTGCTCACAAGTGAACTTCGACTAGTTAGTACTCCACCTGCTCTGTGCAGGGTAAGCCTCTTGTTCTATCTTCTGGACATTTCCATTTACCAAAATTCACATGCCACTTCTTGATTTTGGATGTTCATTTCTAGTTTCCTTCAACAAACCTGACTATGGAAAGAATCTTTATGGGGATTTATCACCAAACTCATGATCAATTGCTAAGAGAAATAGACTTACATAAATTTCCTCCTCAGTTCACTTCCTTTAAAGCTCAGTGTTTCATTTGTCCAATAGTGTTGCATTGTTAGTGGTTTGTAGCATTTCAAACCACTAACAATAATTTTGAAAACCTGTTAAAAATCTAGTGTCATGAATAAATGTCTATTCATAAAGGGTAAAAATGCATGTATAATACATCATCTGTTCTCAGCTCCACACATTAACACTGACTTGACTTGTTATTTTACTTTGTCAGAAATACTTTCTTGGGCCTCGTAGCCCAGGAAATGTCTATAAAGTTAATATCGTAGGTTCTGGAATTTTGTTTCTTACTTTTTTATTGCCAGGTACTCATTTCTCAGTACTGCATAAGCTAGTATTTTAGCTAATGTGCCTTGAAAGATCATAACAAATATTATACTTTCACTCTTTCTGTTTACTCTTCCAGTTATATAACACAATATTTTCAGTGGTTGGATAAACAACACTAAAATTAGTGTGATTTTTTTAAATTACCCACAAGCAATTTTCTTCCCTCCTATTTTTATGTATGTGATTTTATAAAGTTTGAACCATAGCACAGATACATTTTGTATTCAACTTGTCTCACTTACATATTGTAATAATTGAATCATTCTCTCTCTTGTCTTTCAAATTATAGTTTTAACAGACCCCTGCACTGATTTATGACACAGCCTTGGCATAGATTGTCCTAACATTCTGAATCCCTGTGAGAATTAATGTGACCATATCTAAGTCCAGATGGGATGGTTCAGCCACAATTCCCTCAGTTACATGTGCCTTTGAACAAGTGTCATGTATCTCTGGTTGTTTAAACTTCTGCATTGATTAAATGTCTGCTTTGTGTAAATTTTTTAAACTTCTTTCCTACTTTCTTTAGCATCTTGCGCATGTCGGACACTTTTGATCTATTTGTTACTTTGGTCCCTAAAAGCTTTTTTTCAAGTGAAGCATATAGCCTGTCGGCCTGTTTGTTGACGTCGTTCTCAACTGGATCCCAATTCCTGGCTGAGTCCCAACCACTCCCTTTAAAATCACTTCAGATCGTTAGCATGAGATATAATAAATGCTCATGAGAAAGTTAGACCTGAAACTTGTTGCAGTGAGTCTTTGCTGTGGCCATTCCTCCCAGGCTTACAACAACCTCTCATCACATTATAGTCAGAGCTGAAGCAACCGGAAGTATCACTAAGGCACCAATCCATGTCTTTACATGGATCATGGAGAAAAATATTATTGCTCTGAAGGTAAACAAGATAACTGAATAGTTTTCTTTTGCTGTTGTAACAAATTATCACAAATTTAGTAGCTTCAAACAACACATACTTAATATTTTACAGTTTTATAGACTTAATGCAGGTCTAGCTAGGCTAAAATCAGTGTTGGCAGGGCTGTGTTTCCTTCTGAAGGCTCTAGAGGGGAACCCATTTCCTAACCTTTTTTGGCTTTCTGAGGCGGCTCACATTCCTGGATTCCTTCTTCTTTGTTCAAAGTTTCCTTCTTCTGTGTTCAAAGCCAGGTTGAGTTCTCAGATTGCAGCACTCTGACCTCCTCTTCTGTCTCTTTCCTCTATTTTTAAAATCACCCTTGTGATTACAGTGGGCCTACTAGGATAAGACAGGATAATCTCCTCATCTTAAATTCAGTTAATTAGCAACCCTAATTCCATCTGCTACCTTAATTCCTCTTTGCCATGTAACCTAATATATTCATAGGTTCTGGGAATTAGGACATAGATATCTCTGGGAGCCATTATTCTACCTACATTACCTTCTAAGCTAGAAGTCATAGAATCTCTCTATTATTTATTTTAAGCTACAGCATCTCTCCAAGATCATAAAGCCTTACACTGAGAGAGAAATAGACCAACATTTAGAGTAAAGAGTCATTCAGTGTCACCTAGTCCAGTCCTCTCTTTTATACACGAGGAAGAGAAACAGAAGCTGATAGAGATAAAGTGGCTGGCCAACATCACAGTGAGTGAATGTCATAGTGGTAGGAATGTCACAGTGGTAAGAGTGGAATTGGAACAGTTTATATGAAAGCATGGACAGGGATTACTAGTATCAATGATAGTCTTTGATGTGTATTACATGATTAGACCTATAATTTTTATTTCTTGACACATTAATAACTTTACATGATATGTGTCTCATTCAAAATAACAACATTTTGTGCCCTTGTTTGGTGATCCATCTGCTCTGCCTCTCACCTATTCATTGGTAGAAATAAGATAATAAGTTAACCACAGCATTGTTTGTCAAAACCCATGGTTTGAATCATGAAAAAGAATTTTAAGAACCACTGTGATAGACCATCATGTCATCATTTCTCTAAATCCTGGATACTATAATTGACATAAAGTCAAGGTATGGTTTTTGTACTTATCCTTGCCCTACTTCCTGATTGTGACTCTGATTCACTGGATTCTCTCCCTCTCCCCCACCTTGTATTCCTCCTTCCAGAGGCTGTGTCATTGGACCTACCTTCCATTTTAATGTTCCAGCTCTGCACTTTGGTGATGTTTCCTTTGGTGAGTAGTTTTCCATTTTAAATTAGAAATTGAATAGGATTCCTTTTCTCTACGTGGAAGGAGGAAGGTTTACAAAGAACCCCCGTTCCACAGCACTGGAATAGGAAGTCCAGCACAAGGACATTCAGAACATGTGCCCTATATCTGATTGCCCTGCATAAGAAAACAGAGTCCACATAACCATCCCAAGTCAGTTACTGCCAAGAAATCTTATACTGATTCATTGTTTGGAATCTACTCTATAGTTCAGCTCTGAAATGTTAATGTAAATGCTATATACCAGTGGTAAGCCCATTATTGAGCTCCAAGAATATCTAAAACTCTTTCATCTAGAAGTCTTCTCCACTTGAGCACCCCAAACACTGACAGTCAGGCATAAAACTTATATATTGACAAGTAACTAATGTTGAGAAATTCATCCAGAATGTAGCACTGAAAGCAAAAGAGTTAGACTACATGAAAGCGAAATAAAGGGACATGGAAAGTAAGATTTAAAAGTTCTAACTAACTAACTAACTTGTATCTAATAGATACAAGTTCTAAGTTTAAAGGTTTAAAAGTTCTAACTTGTATCTAACAGAAATGCTAGATGGAGAAAGAATGAAAATGGCCAAAGAGCAATATTTGAAGAGATGGCGGCTGAGAATTTCTAAACTGAAGAAAAACATCTGTCCTTATAGTGTGCAACTGGATGCTCTTTCAATTCTGTAACTCCATCATAGGTAGCATGTAGCTTCTATGTCTTGGTCAAGTTTTCTGCCCTAACCTTAGCCGTCATACTCACATTCCAGCCAGCAGAAAGGAGGAAGAGACAGGAAAAGAGTACACCCCTTCCTTTTAAGGACACTTCCTAGAAGTTGTACACGCCACATATGGTTATATCCCATTGGTGAGTACTTAGTGGTGTGGCCACAACCAAGCTGCACATAAGGCTAGGAAATACAGCCTCATTCTTGTTGGCCACATTCACAACCAAAACTTAGGGATTTCGTTACTTCCTGAAGAAGGAAAAGGATAGTGGGAGATAACCAGCAATTTTGCCGTAACTTAGCAAATCTGGGCAACATCAATTAAGAATCAGCCAGGCATAGTGGCTCACATCTATAATCCCGCCACTTTGGGAGGGCGAGGCGGGAGGATTGCTTGAGCCCAGGAGTTCAAGACCAGCCCAGGCAACATAGCAAGACCCCATCTCTACAAAAAACTAAAACAATCAGCTGAGTGTAGTGGTACGTACCTGTCGCCCCAGCTACCTAAGAGGCTGAAGCAGGAGGATCTCTTGAGCCCAGGAGTTGGAGGCTGCAGTGAGCTGTGATTGCACCACTGCAATCTAGCCTAGGCAAAAGAGCAAGACCCTGTCTCTAAAAAACAAATAAACAACAAAAAAACCCTCATAACTCTTATTAGGAACCAGGAAAGAAATACAATTGCAGATATTTAAGGCAGTAAAAACAGATAAGAGAATGCTATATACAACTTCTTTAAAAAATAGGAGAAATGGATGAGTTGGGGGAAAACATACGTTATTAAAATTACCGCAAGGAGTAGAAAACCTGAATAGAAAAATAATCATAGAATATACTGAAAAAGAAGTCAAATATCTACCCCTGAAGAAAAGACACTAGGTCAAACAGCTTTACAAGTGAGTTCTACCAAATGGTGAAGAAATGGATGTATCTCACATCACAGAAAAATGTAGAAAGCTATTAACTCGTTTTAGGAGACAAATATATTCACAGTAAAACAACACAAGAAAAGAAAAATATAGACCCATCTCTCTTATGAACATTGATTTTAAAGCATTAGCAAATCACATGCATAGAGATGCATTTTTAAAATTACATCATGACCAAGTAGAATTTATCCCAGAAATCCAAAAATGGTTTAGTAACAGGAAATCCATTCATGTAATTTACCACAATTTATATCATCTCAGTTCATGCTGAGAAAAATATTCCACAGAATCCAACACTCATTCATAATGAGAAATAAAAATTCTTAGAAAACTAGGAGTAGGAGGGAAATTCCTTAATATGATGAATGAAAAATAGAAAAAACCTACAGTAGGAAAATGTATTTAATGGGGACCTTTATTCATTTAGTAATGTATATTTAGTAATATTAGTTTAGCTATGTTCTAGACACTATTCTGGGGACTGGGATATTACAATTTAATGTTGAAAGCATTCTGATTCATTTTCAGAGACAAAAAAAACAAAAAACAAAAAACTATTCTCAAGCTATCATATAACATTGTCCTGGAGGTCCAAGCCATTGTGATAAGAAAATAAAAGGAAATAAAAGATAAGTAGTTGAAAAGAAAAAAACAAAACTATCATGGTTTATAGAATGTATTATTCTCTACCTAGAAAAACTGTGGTAATTAACTGACAAGGCATTAGAACTAATAAGAGTTTAGCAAGATATTCAAGCAAAATATTATTAAAAAGTAGATTTTTAAATATATCA
Source organism: Homo sapiens (assembly GCF_000001405.40). Taxonomy (NCBI): domain Eukaryota; kingdom Metazoa; phylum Chordata; class Mammalia; order Primates; family Hominidae; genus Homo; species Homo sapiens. The sequence continues at coordinate 71,077,415 of NC_000016.10, read as the reverse complement.
GCAATGATTAACTAGAAAATATAATTGAAAAATATCATTTAAGAATATAAAACTATAAAATAACCTAACAATAAATGTGCAGACACTACAGGAAGAAGATAATTGGTTAATTCCCTGGGGAAAAATTCACAGAAAGAGCCAATAAATTTTTGAAACAAAGACCAGTGACTGTGGACTTTATCAGATATTATAATGTACTTTAAAGCATAGGCAAATAGACTAATAGAAACAAAGCCATGACTACAGGGGAATTTACACATGCTCAATGTGAAATTTCAGATCAGTGGAGGCATGGGCTGCTTCATAAAAGGCAAAGAAACAATTTGTTATCCATTGGAAATAATAGAAAAGTTAGACTTTTACCTCACATCTTTCACAGAAAAAAATCTCAGATCTATTAAACAGCTAACAATGAAAAACAAACTTTTTAAAATATCAGGAGAAAATATAGGTGGTTATGTTTATATGCTAGCAAGTGTGAAGGTCTTAAACAAGATGCCCAATGCAAAAGCCATAAAGAAAAAGGTTAGTAAGTGTGGCTCCCTAACATTAAGCAAATTTCCAAACAAAAAGATTTCATGAACACAGTAAAAAGACAATGCTTGCAACATAAATAATAGGCAAAGTATTAAAATCAGAATACATGAACCTTCAGAATACATGAAACTAACTCCTGCTAATTCATGAGGAAAAGTGAAATTATCCAATAGAAAAATTGGCAAATAGATGAATAGACATGTATGAATTGGTAAGTGTTTAAACAGAATAGAAGGTCTATGAAAGACATATTAAAAGATGCTTAATCTCAATCATCTTAGATATTTTTTGTGAAGAAAATTTAAGTATTTTTTTATAACCCAACTAGTATTTCTCATGTGTTCCCACACTACCAAGCAAGCATGGCAGGAGTTGGGGGGCACTGAGGCACTGGCCTGGGGGTGCCTCATCTAGCTATCCACTTACCTGTGGCGCCCATTTCCACTGAGGTATTGTGGGAACACTGATGGCTTGTCCTTTCAGCTCCAGCAGAGCCAACACTGACTTGGCTTCCACTGACTCCATTCTCCCTAGAGCTAGACCTGTGCTTCCCCCATGAAGCTACTGAGCACACTGAGATGTGCTGTAAGTGTAAAATACTATTGATTACATGTTGAAATAATATTTCTGACATGTTGGGTTAAATGCACTATGTTGTTAAAATTAATGTCACCTATTTGTGTTTTGCATTGTATTTCCGTTGGACAGTGTGAAGTTAATCTCTCTTCTCCCTTCATAGCCATTGAGGTATGGTTGCCTGGCCTTTTGCTATGGCAGCCCTGTTGCAGACCCATGGCAAGTTCACTGTTCTCAACCCAACTACCTTCCAGAACCATGAGTGGGAGGAAGGGTGCCATGTATCCATGTGTAATGCCTGGGTCCTTCTCCAGCCACACAGGAACTGAGAGATCCTCAAGTACTGATTCCCTTTCAGCGTAAGCATACCATTTTTATCCTGAGTTAGCTGCCCCAGGCAGGTATGAGAATATTCTGTGAAGTGGTCTGCTCTGAGACTCCCAACAAGAAAGCCAGGCAGAAGTCCCTTTGCTTCCAACATCCCCTCAACCTATTTAGCCACCCTATCCCTGAGATTCTGGCCTGTAAGGCAGATGCCATGATGTACACATGTGGCCACTCTGTTATTCTTCCCCTTCCCATACTCAACTGAGACAAAAGGAGTAGCCTTTCCACTTCCTCTTCCTGTTTGCCAGAACTCTCATATCATCGCCTCCTTTTCCTATATGCTGTATGCCAAATAAGAAAATAACCTGTGTGTCCATTTAAAGAATAACCTGTGTGTCAATTTAAAGGCTCTTATTCATCCTCAAAACAATGACATTGATAACATTATTCTCCATCAGATCTAGAATGGGATTTTTGATGTTAGGGAGCTCTGGCTCACACGAAACCAGGTACGCATGCTCCAAGGTTAGATAGGTTTTTCCCTTAACCATCTTCCATTTGGGCCTCCTTTATTAGGACGCAGGAAAGATTATCATTGGGTAATTTATCCATAGTTTCCTTGAGCTATAGAAATAAAAATCAACAGCTGTTCCTCATAGTTGGTTCAGCTGAAAGTTTTGGTAATTAGCTTAGCTGAAAATTAGAAACAATTTACTTTTCTTTTGTTTTGTAATATCTTATTGAACCATTTGATGATATAGCAGCTATGCAAGAGGCCAGAAGACACTGCAGAACCATGACCCCCAAGATTTCCCAAACCTGAGACATGGAAACTTATCTCAAAAACCAACTTAATCCACCTTCAAAACCCAAGTTATCTTTTCTTTTAGTTTAGCTATGAATGCTATAAATTCTTTAATCTTCTCTGTATTGTGGCAGGAAATGTCAGCAATAACATCCCTTTTGGGCTTGCCAACAGGAAATCTAAGGCGATCTGGTTTTCAAAACCACATGGGTCAGTGGGTTTAGGCTACTTTGCTTTGCTTCTGGAGTCTGTACTGCATCAGCCAAAGCGAGGGGCAATTTTGTGTTAATTTCCAATTATATGACCCCCACAATTTAAGCCTCATGACTCCAACAAAGTACCATTATTTCCCCAGGTGGATTGGTCTCTCATCAAATAGACTTTTCACAAAGAAGCATGGTGGCACTGGAGGATGTGGAGAGGCATTTGAAACTTTCTTTTCTTTTTTTTTTTTTTTTTTTTTGGTGTTTTTTGTTTTGTTTTGTTTTGTTTTGAGACAGAGTCTCTGTTGCCCAGGCTGGAGTGCAGTGGCACCATGTTGGCTCACTGCAATCTCCGCCTCCGGAGCAAGCAATTCTCCTGCCTCAGCCTCCCGAGTAGCTGGGATTACAGGTGCATACCACCACACCTGGCTAATTTTTTAATATTCTTTGTAGAGACGGGGTTTCACCATGTTGGCCAGGCTGGTCTGGAACTCCTGACCTCAGGTGATCCACCTGCCTCTGCCTCCCATGTGCTGGGATTACAGGTGTGAGCCACCGTGCCTGGCCACATTTGAAACTTTCTAATTATTACCCCACATATGCAAGTAGGGAGGCGTTAATGAGACAGATGAGCATAAGCTTGTTATTAGCTCAGGAATGAAAGACTAATAGGGATGCGTATAGTTCCTGATGCAAAAGTGAAACTGATCATTCCAGGAATAAGCCAAGAATTGGAGGAATATTTTAGTTATTTCAGAATGATGGACATATTATGTGGGGTTTAAAAAGGTTTGCAGAGGCTAATATAGTGGGGAATACATTAAGCTAACTAAAGTTGACAGTATTATCCCTGTATTGACACTAAGTTCCATTCCTAAAAAGGAGTCTGTTATAGATTAGTGTTGGAGATGTGGCATTTATTTGCTTGGTGGTGAAGATATGGATTTTGCATCAGGGACTGTTGGAATTGATGATGTTGAGATAGATGGGTGGTGGGTAATAGTACTATATGTTGGTTTCTAAAATTTCTATGGCTATAAAGATTTTTGATGGTAGGATTGGATGTTGGATGACCTACCCAGAAATAATTAGTTCTGTTGACTACAGCTGCAGTAGCATGAGAGAGTCAGATAATAGAATTGGGTGGTGATTGTCCTTGAAGGAACATTGAGGCATAGATGAATCCTTGGATGGGTTAAAGAATAAATGGACCAAGTAACAACTGGCATGCTAGCTGATACACTAAAGGCCCAGGTAAATATCTGCAAACCCACTATTTTTCAGGAGATACAAGGATGTGTTGAATGAGAATAAGGAGTTTGAAAACCTCCAAGCATTTATTGAACTCGGCCATTGAATAATGTGGACAGAGAAGTTATTGCAAAATATGATAACCTGTCTGGGATTTGGGGACAGAGTTGTTCAAATAAAGCATCAAAAGATGCATTACCGGTGTCTCTTCTATGGCACTGATATAAATTGGCAGTATGTAGCTGAAGGAGAAATATCTAAGTTGACCTTCGGAGGGTGTAAAGTAGGGAGTCGGGAGCAAAACCGGATTGTAATGATCACAGAATGATCTTAGAAGGGTTGGCAGAAGAGATCATAGTAGGTGTGAGCAAAGCATGCCCAAAACAACTTGTCAATAACAGTAAGGGAGACATCACAGGGTGTATCAAAATTGTATAACCTTAAGATAAGAAACAAGGAGTAATATGGCAAAATGATGAAAAACAAAAGTACGCAAGGGAGAGTGTGAGAATCAGTAACGTCAGGCATCTAACAAAATCTCATCCCATCAGTCTTGAGCAGAAGCTATCTACTGTGGGTAAAGTCTGCTTGTTCTGAGGGACTTGAAATAGCAGTCTATTTCTGAAGGTCATCTGCTTCTGAAGGTTTTTTCTGTTTTTTTAGAAAACCTCTACTTAAGATCCCCAGTGAGAGTATTTTTCAACACGTCTTCAGCCAATAATTTAGCTTCTATGGGCATCTTTTTCCTCAGAGGTCCACCTCATAATTTAACTGCAAGGTCAGTTGTTAGAAGGCTCTGAAGAAGACCTTCATTGGTGTATTTTTCAGGGTACTCATTCTTCAGTTAGAAAGAGGGGAGGGCTTCTGAGGGTGGTATTTTAGGGAAGACTTTTTAAACTTATAGATGAGCTGGTTCTCACAATATTTTGTTATGTCTGCATGAAGCAAGGTTGACCCAAATTGATGAAATACTTGTAATCACATGGATCTTCTAGTTATTATTTCATAAAGTGAATAGTCTATGAGTTACAGAGGGAGCTAATCATATCTGATGGCCATCAGAGCTAAAGGTAAAACTCTTCATCAAGGAACTCAGAACCTCGGAGAACTGGGCCAACTTAAGATCAGTAATACTATTTTTATGCTCTACATTTCCCAAAGATTGTGAAATTTTTTATCAAAGGGCTAACGCACTATAAAATTCTTTTTAACTCTTGTAGTGTAAGGTAACATTCCCCAGGTGGGAAACTTATAGTCTACAGTTTCTTAGTCACAGTCACAGCAGTGGTCTTTCTGTACAGAAGGGCTCAAACCCATCCAAAGAATTTACAGTTACAAGCACATATTCTGAACTTTGTGAGCTGGGCCTAATCCACATATATTCCAGAGACTCACATCCCACTTGTACAATGTTTCTGGATATGGTATCAGGATGGGAGGCAGGAGCCAGCCACATCCCCAGCTACAGAGGAGAGATTTTCCCATTGATTCTTATTCAGAGATTATTTCCTCTCTTCTATGGTGGTGATGTTTTACGTATGATAAAACATTTTTGTCAAAGACCACTTAGATTTGGGGGCATAGTTGGTATTCCAGAGACCATTGGAATGAACAGAGGTTCCCAATTTTAGGCAACGTTTGTTTTCTGAATCTGAGGCTAAATTTTCTATGTCCAAAATGAGTTGGATATATGTGCTTATTGATTCCCATATTCTGAATTATTTCTATGGACAATGACAAAAATGCCACCTGATTTGCATAATGATCTGCCAACACGGTTCCCTTTGCTTTGTGGAGATTTTTACTTTACTAGAAAAATAAAGAATCCATTGTCTAAAATATTCCATGAATCCCCCAGTCTCTCAATTATAATTTAGCATTTTGTCCTGCATGTTGATGAATCAATTTAATACTCTCATTAGATAGGGTCCTTTCTCTAGTAGAGACGTCATGTTCCAAATAATATACCATATTTTTAAAGAAATGTAATTTTTCCTTTACAGCCTTGTGATCTTCCGCTGCTAGTTTCTGCTAGTCTTCTTAGGAGCTTTTTAGGTCAGGTGAAAATAAGCATCTTGAAGGAGAATTGAATCTCTTGAGAATGTTGTGTTTTAAAACATTATACAAGTATTGGGAGAAAGATCAGGTGCCTCTGTGAATCCTTGAGACATTCTGTGCAATTATGTTGTTAATTATTTGAAGAGAAGGCAAATAAATATTGACTTTTTATCTACTAGACCCTATAAAAGGGAGCATAGAGGTCTACAACTGTAAAGTACTTGCATTCAGGTGGAACTGTAGATAGAATAGTATTAGGATTGGTTGCAACTAGAAACCTAGGAGTAACATTCTTATTAATGACCTTCAGTCTTTAACAAATCAGCATCCCCTTCCTTTAGGCTTCTTGACAAGCAATATGGGATATTACAGGTACTAGTACAAGAAATTGTTGTAACTAGGAGGTCATAATTGGCTTTATTCTGTGAAAAAGTTCTGGCTTTAAGGAAGCAGTCTGGGCAATGGTTTGGAAGACCACGTGACTCTTTATAATACCCACTTTCCATAATACGCTCCACATTCACAGATCGTCTAACTCATAAATGGTCAGATCAAATAAGGCTAAGCCATCTACAGTTTCCAGAGTCATTATTTGGTAAGTCCAGGAAAGTCACATGTAGCATGATTGTGAAGCTGCCTTCCAAGCAGTTCCTCTGGAATTTCCAAGAATAACCCTTCAAGTGCACTCAATCTCACAGTTCTTTTTCCATGAAAGATATCTTCCAAGTAGGTTGGCAGGTGTGTTATCACAAAGGATACATGAATGTGTTTCCTCCAATGGCCTAATGTGTAGACAAAAGCTGAGACATGAGGCAGAAGTAGATCAACTCAAAATAGCCCCGACAGCAACAGTCATTACTCCAAGAGACCAAGTACATTTTATTACAGCAGAGTTCAAGGTAGAAGAGTAGCATTTCCATCCAGTAGAAATATGCATTTTTGTTCTCCTGTGTCTATAGATTATTCTTCTTGTTCTGAAAGTGGTATCAGATACAATAGCTGCCTAGGGAATCGAAAATCAGAGTTTAGTGGCCGGGCACTGTTGCTCACGCCTGTAATCCCAGCACTTTGGGAGGCCAAGGCAGGTGGATCACCTGAGGTCAAGAGTTCAAGAGCAGCCTGGCCAACATGGTGAAACCCCATCTCTACTAAAAATACAAAAATTGGATGGGCGTGGTGGTGCATGGTGGCGCACACCTGTAATCCCAGCTACTCAGGAGGCTGAGGCAGGAGAATCACTTGAACCTGGGAGGTGGAGGTTGAGGTGAGTTAAGATTGTACCACTGCACTCCAGCCTGGGTTACAGAGCAAGACTCTGTCTCAAAAAAAAAAAAAAAGAAAGAAAGGAAGGAAGGAAGGAGGAAGGAAGGAAGGAAGGAAGGAAGGAGAGAGAAAGAAAGAAAGAAAGAAAGAAAAGAAAGAAAATCAGAGCTTAGTGTATTGCTTGCCAAGCAAGAAAGGTCCACATCTCTTAAGAGAGGAGTCTCACGGAACAAAGCTGGATACGATGACAAAGCAGCTTTGTCTAAGAGAGGTAAAAGCCAGGTGTTAGTCTCTGGCTGGCTCTAAAGCAGTTTGTAAAGTCTCTCTTGGGAAAGGCTATTTTTTGATACTGTGTCATCAGCCCTAAGAGCGTGATACCCAGACAGGTCTAGGACACACTCTATCATGTCTTGGCAAGCTCTGGGTCACCCAGGGGGCAAAACCATGCAGGCTTTTTCTTTCACACACTGGCAAATAAAAACAGCAAGCATGATTCAATGTAAAAATGTATATTTTTGTGTAAGAAATAAATGCAAAATATACTTCCGCAAGACTACTCAGCCAACTACTAACAGAGGCTGCCTCCCCGGAAGGGCCTGAGTGGCAATCAAGGGGCTTGTTTTATATGTGGTGTTTAATCTCCCACATAGTAAATGCATAGTAAATATTCATTGAGTGAATGCATAAATGAAAAAGTAGATACATTAATGAATGAAAATGTATTTATTGATGGAATGAAACAATAAAAATAATATTTAGGGCAAGTTGGAGTTAAGTAGTAATGAATAGCACAGACAGTTCATTCAAGAAGCTTAGCAGTTTCTAGGGGAGATTGAGGGTCAAGGGAGGTGTTGGGGGGGCTTTTATTTCTCACATCATATTTTGTTTTCCAGGGTTTCCTCATACCTTGATATGTTCCCTCAATAATACCTCTTTGATCCCCATGACTTACAAACTGCGTATCCCTGGGGATGGCCTTGGCCATAAAAGCATTTCATATTGTGAGCAGCATGTGGACTACAAAAGACCATCTTGGACCAAGGAAGAAATATCCTCAATGAAACCAAAAGAATTCACCATCTCTCCTGACTGTGGCACCATTCGCCCCCAGGGATTTGCTGCTATCAGGGTAAAGTGCATGGCCTTCCTGCACACACAGCTAAGCAGCTGAGCCTTCAAAATAGTCATGGGCCCTCATCTAGGGTTTGCTCTAGCATGTCCAGTGTCAGCAGGAGGGGGTGCCTGTCAATTTACAGGGAAACGTGGGCCTATAAGGAAATAAATCAGACACAAATACATTGGGCAAAGCAATGGGCACTGTGCCAGTGGCTTTACCTTAATCTAGATGCATTGCCTTCACCAGAAGAGTGGGTTCTAGGCATTTCTAGTGAAGCCACTGCTATCCAGACAGTACTCCCAGCGGTACTAATATAAACAGATTTCACAACTTATTGATACTTAGGTTTATCTTTCCTTCAGACTCAGATCCTTTAGATAGCAATAAATAGCCACACTTATGCCAAAGATGATATCTGGTTTATTCAGCTTTGTAATCCGAATCCAGGCTTCATTCATGGTGGATGTGGATGTGGTATCACTAACAGCGCCTTATCTTGAGTTCTGCAGGAAAAGCCATGAGAATTCAGCTTCCTCATCCTGAGGAATACTCATCCTTCCATGTTTTGTCTGCAATCAGGATAGTGCTTTGCCTTGGTTATCGCCTCACAGTGCCACCAGTGGAATTATTTCACCCTTAACTGTCTTCCCTCTTTTCTTTTGCTGTTGTTGTTTGTTGTTGTTGTTGCTTCCCAGATATCTCAGGAAGATTTTAAAAGACACAGCGTCTTGCTAGCAGCCTTCTGCCAAAACCACTTGTTCTTCCTTCTAGCCACAGCCCAGATACATAAACAAGGGGTTACAGTCACACTAGGATTCTCTGTTTCTTTCCAAATCAATGACTTCATCTTCACTTTATTTTTCCTTTATATTTAGAAAAGCTTTCTCCAAGCTCCAGTTTTCCCTCCTGATCTGCACTTCAGCCAGGTCTGTGTGGACTCAAATTTGCATCCAGTGATTCCCTCTGCAACTGAAAACATTTTAATTAGTACCAGATGCATAATTTATAGATAGAAAAGCCTTAACTCATGCCAGAAGCTGTTTTCTAGACTTGAAACTATCTCTTCCAGTACATACAATTTTGAAGCAATTAAAAATCATAACAAGTCTTCTGAAAGCCTAAATGTACAGCTTCACAGCAGGAAATAAAAACACAGGGTAAAATGTTCTGAGCCCCCCAAGAGCCTCCCTTGACCCTCAATCTCTCCTAGCAACTGCTAAACTTCTTAAATGAATTGTCTGTGCAATTCATTACTGCTTAACTCCAACTTGCTGGAATTGGAATCTAAGTACCAATGAGTTCTGAAATCTGTTTATGGTTTGACCATGTTCTATTATCCTCAAATAGACCTTTCTTTGGAACTTTCTATTTTCTGCTGTAATAAAGAATGTGGGATGGTGGGGGCAAGATTTTGGTAAAGCAGACTGATTTCTTACACCATTTTCTGGAACTGACATGGTTATTTCCATTTATTTTACTGTAAGAGAACTTGTGCTATAGTGTTTTACTAGTATATTACATTTTCATAATTCATATAGCCCAGAGGTAGGGAACAATTTAAATTGCAGTAATTAAAGTTGGTTCGATGTTGCTCATCGTTCATGCTCATTTTTCCCCTTATGCAGGTATGTGGCTTCTTTGACAAAACCTCCTCAGAAATGAGCAAAGCCATTGTACTAACAGCCATTTGGTTTCTACCCTGGCCTTTGAAAACACTCAGCATGCCCTGACCCCACAATGTAACTTGTCAACTAAAAATGTAAAATGCTATATATCCATAAAGCACTTAGAAACCACTCTGATCAGCGTAGTCCTCCGGAGGCTCCCCTCCCCCGTGTAGAGAGAACGTGCTTTTTCGAAGACCAACTTGTCACCTTTTTCTTTCCAGGTGACATTATGCTCCAACACTGTGCAGAAATACGAGCTGGCACTCGTGGTGGACGTGGAGGGCATCGGAGAAGAGGTGCTGGCGCTCTTAATTACAGCAAGGTATTGCTCCCCAGCTTGCTCTTCTCCTGAGTCGCCCCCGAGCCTCCAGTAATGGGCTGCCTCCCAGAAGGCAGCTGGCCTGCCAACCCAAGCACACTGAGTTTGTCCTGCCTTCCTGGGAAGGGAAGTTGAATCTGACATTCAAATGACAAAGCAGCAAATGTTTCTAAAGCACCTTTGGTGGAGATAAGAAGAAGTGTGTGTGTTTTGTAGAGTTTAGGCAGAGAATCCTAAGAATAGTGAAAAAACGGGTCAGACCCTCTCTAACGGGTTTGACTTTCAAAGTATGTAACCAGAAAGGTTTTAGCAGGAAGAGGTGAAGAGCTGCTCATTTTTATTTTCATCTTTCAACATAGTGCTCCAGAGTTATGCAATAGGAAGGTGATGCTGTCAGTCCTGCAGTGGAAGATCCATAGAGCCAAGAGGTCCCTGCCCCGGGACACTGTTGCTGTGACTTGAATTTCAGGCTAGGAGTGGGCCCCCAAGATGAGGCTCATCTTTAACAAGGTATACTCCTCAGAACCATCTCCAACTCCTCTCTCTTTTTGAGAGAGGCAGCTGGGTTAAAATCCTGGCTCAGCCATTTGTTGACTGTGTCCTTTTGACCAAGCTACAGTCATTGCAGTACTGCTGATGAGGGTGGTGGTGTCATCGACTAATGATGATGTGATCCCAAATAAAATCCTGGGGCCACACTCTTCCCAAAGCAATCAGTGTCCAGATCTGGGACTTTAAGTTGTATGTATGCAAATGCTATGTATAGGAAATAGAGAAAATGACTTAGGAAAACTGATAATCATGCTAATATGTCAATCTCTGGAATTCTGATCTCTTGTGAATCTTAGGAAGACATACACTTTAAAGATGGGGCAGATGTGCTGGTTGGTGGGGAGTTAGTAACTGACACTATTTCACGTGTCTTGGGCTTGGATGAAGATAAATAGCAGTGCAGAAACAACTTAAATTAGGGTTCCCACTGTGACCTACTTAGTATTCCTTCAAGACCTATTTTTTCCTTTGTTTACAAACAGTAAAAACCCTAATGTGGTCCTTTCTATGCCCAGATTTGCCTTTCAGTCTAGTCCTGCATTTCTTGTCTATGCAGGCTTATTCAGATACTTTCTAGCCCCTTTCCCTACAGCTATCGATAGGAAATTCTAAATTAAAAAAAAAAAAGGTCTAAAGAGGCTATGAGTTTTCTACTTATATTCTGTGACCCAAGTCAAGTAGTATAAGCCCTCTCAGTCACAGTATTTCAGGTAGTAAAGGATTAGCTTTAAGAAAGTCACTGGGTCAACAGACAACTTCCATTCCAGCTAGAAATGAACACTCATGCAAAATCACAAACTTTGCGGTTAAAGAAAGCCTCTTTCATGTCCTTATTTTTGGTGTAATCTGTAGGAACTACTCACTGACTCTTAACAGAAGAATTGCTTTTAGAACTGTAGCCTCAAGTAACTCTCTCCTGAGAGCCAGCAGTGACAGCCTGCCATGATTCTGCCACAGGCTCACTCCCTCTTACTGGGCACTTACCTGGTGCTGGGCTATGCCCTTCCAGCACCCTAAGAAGAGTTTATAATGCCAATATCAATCCCTAGAATTATCCTCATTTTACCTATGAGAGAAATGGGACTCTGAGACAGAAAGCATCTTGCCCAAGGTTACACAGGTTGTACTTAGTAAGGTCAGTCTTTGAAGCTGGCTCTGCAAATTCAAAAGCTGGTACTCTTCACCATTGCACTATACTGAAGCAATGGCAAAGGGTAGGATAGACATTGAGAGTCACAGACGGCAAATAAAATCCAAGTCACCTAATAATAGACCAATGGTAAACACAGGGCTTCAACTCCCCTCTTTTCTGCATACAACCCTCCCTCCCTCTCCCCCCACCTCACCCCCGCCATGTCGGCACAGTGACAACCCCGTCACAGTGCCAGTTCTGGACCAAGCAGCCACCTGAGCCTCTGCATCCAAGACAGCTGTTCTGCATAGGAATTAGCATTATTATTGTTATTTAGATGATGTGAGCTGTCGCTAGTCCTTGGGGGGCTTTCTGACTGGTCCAAAGTGTCACAGCTAGTTAGGACCACATGCTGGTGGCATTGGCCCTGTTTGGCATGGAAACAGATTCACTACCCTATGGATCTTGCGCCATGGGGACCCCTTGCCCAAAGAAGGCCAAATATATAAAACAATGGAAATGTGAGTCATTACCCACCAGACAGCTCTTCAAGGAGTTCTGCTTCTAGTCCTTTTTTGATTAAAAAGTGGTGACTGGGGGCCAAGAGACAGGGAAGAGAGGAGGAGAGAAGCTTTGAAAGTGACTAATGTGGTTATTAGAGAAAAACTACTATGTGACACTGACAAATGTATCTCGCTTGGGGCTCTGCGTTTTCTGTATGTAAACAAGCTCTCTGTTTTGAATTGTGTGATGGGCTCCTCCGAGCAGGTGTGTTGTACCTGCCCTCCACCTGGTCAATACAGAGGTGGACTTTGGGCACTGCTTCCTGAAGTACCCGTATGAGAAAACACTCCAGCTTGCCAATCAAGATGACCTCCCAGGATTCTATGAGGTCCAGCCTCAGGTGAGTTCCTTTCTCCTTCTTCAGTATTAATTATTCTTCCATTGAGTTCCCTTGATGAGAAAGAGAAATCCCTCTGAAGTGCCACATTCCTGAACACATGACCTTAAGTAATGCTGATTTTTAACCCTTAGATAGTCTAAGGATCGGGTTATAAAGTCACAGTTGGATTGCTAGCTGCATGCCTGAGCAGCTGCAGGTGTAAATCGTTGTTAATTTCCCAGAGAAATTACCCTTGATAAACAAGGGAAAGTGTCAATTAAGCCAACATGCAGAATTGCATCTGCAAATAATTGCCTGTGAACTAACCATGCATGGGAAATGAGCTAGGAGTTTTCATTATGTCCATGGCTGTGAGTTGAATGGCATCAGTAAGTAATGCAATATTTATAAGTAGATTTGTTGGACCAGAAAGCTAGAGACAATACAGGAATAAGAAAGGAGGAATTATCTCTTCATGTTTTATGAAATGTGTCTGTCCATATGCCACTACACCCAGCTAAGTGGGAGACTAAGGAGTTAAACACAGATGGATAAACAATTTTTTAAAAATCTGTACAGATTAGAGTAATGGAAGGTTACTACTGAGATGCAGTTTACCAAGAATGCATTTGGGTATAAAACTCAGTTATAGAATTACAATATTCTAACTAAAATATATGCAAAAATGTCATATGGGGGTTTATTTGGCTACAAGATCAATGGAAGTTAAAACAGCAATATGGAGGCCACAGAACCAAGGCAAGTTTAGGCTGCCGCAGAGAATTACCACCTTTAGGTAAAGGAAGGTGATAGCTGCTGGTCAGAACACAGCCAGAATTTTGTCTTCAGATGTTGTCATTGTATTTTTCTAATGGAAACTTGAAGACGAAAAAGCACCATGTTCGCAGTAACCAAAATGGCAATCCATGGCATCTGCAAATCCAATCATATGTGTGTTTAATCTGAAACAGAATAGAATTAGCTAGGATAACACAGCTACCTTTCACAAGTCACGGGGCTGTTACGTAAGAGAGAAATAGAATGGTTCTATGGGTTTCTCTGAGACAGAACTAGAAGCCAAGGGTTAGGGTGACAGGAGACAAGGTCTAACACTCAGATGCTCCACAGCAGGCCAGGCCAGCCCTGCACAGTGCATGATCATTTCAAGAACTCAGAGTGGAGTGTGCATCTGGGGTCAGGGGAAGTTGTTTCTGCACAGCAGGACTGGGCATAGGATGAGGCACTTGCCTTGGGCACAAAATTTAAGGGGAAGCCAAACACTCAAGATACTTAGTATTTCCATTACATATTGTAAGAAATCAAAATTAATTCCAAAAAATCCATAATAAACAAGATACCAAAACCTAGGTAAAGAGATCAGTCCGACCTCAGGCTGTCATAAGGCTCGGCGGAGCACTGCGGCACAGGGAGGAGTTAGACTGGGCCATGTTAGGCCAGACCAGATGCAGAGAGACTGTGGCGTACCCCAGGCAGGTGACACCTGCATGCTCTGTCGTCCTCCCCAGCAGCAGAGGCTCTGAGAAATGGTTCCCAGAGTTATATAGTAGCATTTTAAAAATTTTATTTGCGTTCTTGATGCATAAAAGCTGGTAATATGGTGCAGAACAGGGTTCTGAGAAACACAAATTGGTCAATACTGGACAGTTGTTCATTCATTCATTCATTCCTCACTTTAAAAACTGAGCATATGCTTTGGGTCAGAAAGTGGTCATGTAGAGAGGAGAGGCCCAGCTGTAAGCTAAGAAGTTGTCAGCGGGAGATGCAGGTGGCATGGTGCTGTCCAGTGCATGCTGTGGAAAAGGACTGCACAGGATGCTCCCTGGGGACAGAGGAAAGGTTCCCACCCTAGGGCCCTTGAGGAAGAGAGGGAGAATTCAGGATGAGTGTGCCAGATGGGTTGATGGGTATGGGCGTTCTAGGAGGAGTCACCACAAGTGCAAAGGACTGGAGGTCAGAAGCAGCATCATGGATTCAGGAAACACCAGCAGCCTCTATTGATGGAGCACAAAGGGCAAGGGAGTGGGGATGATGCGTGAGGGTGCAGAGGGCCAGGTTAAGGAACTTGGAAAGTGGAAAGTGGACCTTTTCCTTTTCCTAAGGAAAGTGGAAAGCTGTTGCCCTGAACTTATTTGAGTTGCGGATAATTCTGCATCTTGCTGTGCTGGGCACTTTGAATTTTGGGCCTCACGCACATCCCACTTAACCAAACTTCCTTTTGGCCGAATTGGGGTGCTCATCCCTATTTACTTGCTTGAATAATAAGACATTTCTAAAACACCTCTACGGACTCAGGAAAACACTTCAAAATAAGCAAATACGCTATTTGTTCCATGCTGTGCTGTCCTTACCCCTCTGGTTTTCTCTCCCCCAGGTGTGTGAGGAGGTGCCTACTGTGCTGTTTTCCAGCCCCACCCCCAGCGGGGTCATCTCCCCAAGCAGCACCATCCACATACCACTGGTCCTGGAGACCCAGGTCACTGGAGAACACAGATCCACGGTTTACATCTCAATCTTTGGGAGCCAGGACCCCCCTTTGGTGAGAGTCCATTTTCAGAACTGCAATTGAAATTGCTGTGCTTCTTCTCAAACATTTTGAGCTTTCTCATTTGAGGCCCACACCATATTCACATACACCCCAGTTGCTTGGAGTTGTAGGGTTTTATGTTTTTACTCTGCAATGGTAAAATACCGGTGCTATGTGACTTTACAGAATCTGTTTATGGCTACATCTAACAGAAGCGGTGTTTTATAGCAATCATCCTTAAACCTAACAGGATACCAGGAGTTTCTCTCTCTCTCTCTCTCTCTGACACACACACACACACACACACACACACACACACTGTCACACATGCCTGACCCCTCTCCAGTCCTTTGAAATCAGAAACTCTGAGGGGAGGAAGCCAGCACATCTGTACGGGAGCCAGCACATCTGTATTTTTAATAAGCTCCTTGGTTGTTCCTGGTGCAAAGCTGGGTTTGGGTATCACTGGTTTGTCACCTGTAGGCTGGGAGATCAGTTTCCTTCACTGCTCACCTGAGCTTTTCTTGTATATTAACTTGACTCATGGCTCATATTAGCCTACTCAAGCTAATGTGCCATCAGCCTACTCAAGCTGTTAAGAGAAATAGTCTCTCTCCAAGAGGAAGAGGAAGAGGAAGAGGGATTCATGGAAAGCTCTCCACTGCTTAGGCTGAGTTGAAGGATAAACATCGAATCCTACAGGAGGTTGCCCAACAGGCTCTGTATTCCTAGACATGTGGTTTACTTGGGAACTAGTGATGTCACCTTACGTTTCTTTGTTGTGACTCTGATTGCTTAGACAGCGTAAAACACTAGGATTTTGCTTTTATCTCTTCCATATAAGATGCCGTAAATAAGCCACTTAACTTATAAAACAGCATCACCAAGGCAGGCCAACCCCAAAACATGCCACCAGTTCAGGTCCCCCACGAGGCTCACTGTGCTGCTGTCCTACCCCCCTGCACAGATGCAGCCCATGAGAGGGTAGCTTGCTGAGCAGCCAGAACTTTGTGAAAGAAAAGGGCCACCTTCCTCAGGCAGACACAGTGCCTGGCTCCGGGGACAGGAAGAAGAGAGTAGAGCAAAGTGGATTTCAATCTCCAACCCTCACAACTATGTGCAGTGGCCCTGCCCTGCCACACCACTTGTAAAGCAACAGAACTGGAACTCAAACCCAGCCACATCTGACTTTGAAGTGCTGACCCTTAACCCCGTACTAAGTGTCATTGAGGCTGGAGTGCTGTGTGGGATGGAGGGGACCCAGATTCTGGTTTCCCCTCAATGCATGGCTCTGGGCTGACCTGGGGAAGCTGCTCATTCTTTCCGGGGAGGAAATCCAGGCTGGATTCACAGGTCTGACCAGCATGGCCCTCGCTGTGTTCCCGAGACCACAGCACACCAGTGGGAAGGGGTGCCAGTTCTCATAAGCATCCTCTTTTGCCCTTGCTTTTTATTGAAGGAATGGCTAAAAGTGGCTAGCCATTTCCAGCTGTTCCTGTGTTCTTTCTCTCTGGCGGAACTCAGGTATGTCACTTAAAGAGCGCTGGAGAAGGCCCAGTTATCTACGTCCATCCCAATCAAGTGGACTTCGGGAATATCTACGTCCTAAAAGACTCTTCCAGGATTCTCAACCTATGCAACCAGTCCTTCATTCCCGCATTTTTCCAGGCACACATGGTAAGTCATGGGACATGATGAAACACAGCTTTGGCTTATAGGCAATGGCCCTATTTTTGCAACATGTCTTTGAAAATGATCACCAGAAGCAGAGATTTGCATGGTTATGTTGTTGTATTAAACCACGTCATTCCCATCCCCAGTTCTTCTTTATTATAATAAATTAACATAATAATGTATGCATCAATTAATAATTTTGTTGATTAAGGGATGCCTTAGCTCAAGGGATGTCTATTATAATACTTTTTGTTGATTAAGAAACACAGTGTGCATGTCTTTTGGTAAACAGGCAAGTACAGTCAATAGAATCCCAGTTCAGGAAGATGCTTCGGAGGTCAACAAGCTCCCCTACTGAACTGTACCTAAGCCCAGCCCCAGCCCTCAAAAAAACACTTTTTAGATGTCTCTTTAACTAGAAGTGCTCCCTTTAATTTGAGTCCTTTTGGCTATACATATGTTGGTGTGTTTATTCTATTTTTTTCCTCTCTTCCTTCTAGCAATATTTTAAGGTAGTTTGTGAGGATGTCTGAAATACAGGAGAGTATTCACCAAAAACAGAAATTAAAGTGAACAGCAAAGACAGATACAAAATAGATGTAAAATGGTTTTAGAAATGGATTTGTCTCATTTCTATGTACAGTTGACCCTTGAACAATGTGAGGATTAGGGACACCAAACCCCCATGCGGTTGAAAATTCACATATAACTTTTTTTTAAACTTTTATTTTAGTTTCAGGAGGTACATGTGCAGGTTTGTTACACGGGTAAATTGTATGTCACAGGTTTGGTGTGCAGATTATTTTATCACACAGGTAATAAGCATAGTATCCAACAGGTAGTTTTTATATTCTCTCTTCCTCCCATCCTTCACCCTCAAGTAGGCCCCAGTGTCTCTTGTTCCCTTCTTTGTGTGACATTTGGTTTTCTGTTCCTGTGTTAATTTGCTTAGGATAATGGCCTCCAGCTCCATCCATGTTGCTGCAAAGGACATGATTTCATTCCAGACACATAGACCAATGCAACAGAATAGAGAGCCCAGAAATAATGCCACACAGCTTACAACCATCTTATCTTTTACAAAGTTGACAAAAGCAATGGGGAAAAGATTCTCTAGTCAATAAATGGCATTTGCATAACTGGCTAGTCATATGCAGGAGATTGAAACTAGACCCCTTCCTCACACCATATGCAAAAATAAGATGGATGAAAGACTTACATGTAAAACCTAAAACTATAAAAATCCTGGAAGATAACCTAGAAAATACCATTCTGCACATGGACCCTAGCAAAGATTTTATGACAAAGATTCTAAAAGAAACTACAACAAAAACAAAAATTGACAAATGGGTCCTAATTAAACTAAAGAGCTTCAGCACAGCAAAAGAAACATACAACTTTTGACCTCTCAAAAACTTATCTGCTAACAGCCTACTGTTGACCAGAAGCCTTTCCAATAACAGTCGATTAACGCATATTTTCTATGTTATATGTATCACATACTGTATCTTACAATAAAGTAAGCTAGAGAAAAGAAATGTTATTAAGAAAATCATAAGGAAGCAAAAACATACTTAGTTATTAAGTGCAGGTAATCATCATAAAGATCTTCATCCTCATCATCTTCACATTAAGTAGGCTGAGGAGGAGGAGGGAGAGAAGGGGTTGATCTTACTGTCCCATCGGTGGCAGAGGTGGAAGAAAATCCACATAAAAGTGGACTGATGCCGTTCAAACTCATGTTGTTCAAGGGTCAACTGTATTTCATAATGACATTTAGACCTGCTAGTCTTCTATAAGCTAATTTTTATTTTATTTTTGCACAAGAACAGACATGAAATGGTGGGGGTTTTGTAGAGTTTAGGAATTTCTTTTTTTTTTTTTTTTAATTTTATTTATTTATTTATTTTTTTATTATACTTTAAGTTTTAGGGTACATGTGCACATTGTGCAGGTTAGTTACATATGTATACATGTGCCATGCTGGTGCACTGCACCCACTAACTCGTCATCTAGCATTAGGTATATCTCCCAATGCTATCCCTCCCCCCTCCCCCCACCCCACCACAGTCCCCAGAGTGTGATGTTCCCCTTCCTGTGTCCATGTGATCTCATTGTTCAATTCCCACCTATGAGTGAGAATATGTGCTGTTTGGTTTTTTGTTCTTGCGATAGTTTACTGAGAATGATGATTTCCAATTTCATCCATGTCCCTACAAAGGACATGAACTCATCATTTTTTATGGCTGCATAGTATTCCATGGTGTATATGTGCCACATTTTCTTAATCCAGTCTATCATTGTTGGACATTTGGGTTGGTTCCAAGTCTTTGCTATTGTGAATAATGCCGCAATAAACATACATGTGCATGTGTCTTTATAGCAGCATGATTTATAGTCCTTTGGGTATATACCCAGTAATGGGATGGCTGGGTCAAATGGTATTTCTAGTTCTAGATCCCTGAGGAATCGCCACACTGACTTCCACAATGGTTGAACTAGTTTACAGTCCCACCAACAGTGTAAAAGTGTTCCTATTTCTCCACATCCTCTCCAGCACCTGTTGTTTCCTGACTTTTGAATGATTGCCATTCTAACTGGTGTGAGATGGTATCTCATTGTGGTTTTGATTTGCATTTCTCTGATGGCCAGTGATGATGAGCATTTTTTCATGTGTTTTTTGGCTGCATAAATGTCTTCTTTTGAGAAGTGTCTGTTCATGTCCTTCGCCCACTTTTTGATGGGGTTGTTTTTTTCTTGTAAATTTGTTTGAGTTCATTGTAGATTCTGGATATTAGCCCTTTGTCAGATGAGTAGGTTGCGAAAATTTTCTCCCATTTTGTAGGAATTTCTAATTCAATAATTGAAAGTATTCTTAATTTTAGAAATAGTTTTCTAAATTTAAATATAAAATGTTTAATTGTATAGCCCTCTGCCTACCGTCAAATTATTGCATTTGGATGAGAACTAACATTTAGTTTCAGCATTTGTCAGATATTTCTGAATAATCAAGTATTATTAATTTCATAAAATTTAAGGAATGGCATTTTCTGCTGACTTGTGACAGCTCACCAGAGACGTTGGTCCCAGTTAGCAGCCATTTATCATCATTATTTATTTTTATTATCATTTATCTTTACTCATTATGAAGGCAGCCACATTCACATATGGTCACTGGTCTTTTTAATAGAGGTTTTCACACAACTCCAATCGTGCTCTAGCACTGTGTGGATCTCATGTAAAGAATATTGTTTCATAATGTTTAAAGAAAAATCCTATAGAAAAGACATTTTTACTAGTCTTTATCCAATTAGTTAATTGATGTGTTTGGTAGAAAGCACAGGGTACTGCTTAGGAAGTGTTGCTTCCTGGTTCAGTACCGAGTTGATGCTGGGAGAGGAAGAGTCAATCTCTGTCCAGTGAGCCGAGATCATACCACTGCACTCCAGCCTGGGTGACAGAGCGAAACTCCATCTCAAAAAAAAACAAAAGAAGAAAAGAAAAGTGGTTTCAACTTCAGGTAGTTCTCATAGGGGAAAATTAAACGCTTATTTCAGCCGAGATTTTTGTTGGATGTCCTAGTAAATATGATATGTATTAACGTTATAAAAATTGAACTATGCTAATTTGAAATTAACTACAGTGGAAGGAAACTGAAAAATTTCAACTTGACGTACAGTACCAAACCTTCAAATGCATTCTTACAGGAATTACTAAGCATTAGGAGAGAGCTTCAATTAATAGTTTATTCCCCAAGCCTATTACAAATTCAGGTGCTGGAAGTTCTTCTCTTTTCTTGTTGGATGCTGTGACAGGAGGGGCCATTCTCTGTCCTCTTTTGGCCATAGGGTGAATGTCAGCCCTTCCCAGATGTGGCACTCACCGTCAGCCATCTGTCACACTCAGCCTCATGTGCGGCCACACAGCACAGCACCACTGTGATTAGATTTACCCTTCGCAAGAAACAGCTGTTTGTTATCAGCCAGAGGGGTCAGGAGATGGGAAGCCGAAGCCTACCTCCATAGTGATATTGGAAGATAAATGACACTTAGAGCAATTTGGAATTCCTCAGAAACAAATACTATACAAAAAAATGATTTTTAAAAACACCTGGGACCTCTTCATATAGTATGGAATGAAGAAACAGTGAAGATTATATTTTTTATATTCTATTAAAACAATTTATTTTCAGTGTAAAAAAAGTTGATTAGTACAAGGAAGAATGTTCTGTGACCTGGAACAGTAGACTCTCCTTTGCTTTGGAATGCCTGCACCTGGAATATCAGCCTCCACCAACAGTTCCCAGCAGGCTGACTTCTTTGGAACAATCAAATAAGGCACCTCTGGTTTGAAGGAGTAAAAAAAAAAAAAAAAAAAAACAAATCTCAGAATGTGGGAACGGAGAATGGAAAGGCCCTGTTGGCAGGAGAATGCGCGCTCTGCTTGTATGCAGGGAGCTCTATCAGGAAGAGAGACTTTCCCCTCCCTATGAGCAGCGGAAATAAGGGTGAGGATGCAGCAGTGCCCCAGGGCCCTGGGGACCTCAGCACTGGGCTGGAGGACAGATGCCTCCTTTTAATGGGTGCCCCTTGCTAGGCAGAGGAAGTGCCTTGCTCGGCACTTGTTTGGAAGCATCTGGAATCGTTTTCTTTTTGCTCTTGGCTCTAATTCAGCCTTGGCTACCTTTAGCTCAAACCTTGGGTCCAGATGTCAGTGACACCTTGGGACTCAGATGGCACCAAGACATCTTTGTAGTGGCCTTCTGCCTCCGTGATCTGCAGAGAAAGGCCATTGTAATGAGATACTTAGAATTCCTGGATCCAGGAAACAGGAATTCAGATGCCTCATCCAAGCATCGTTCTTTTAAAACATTTATTTTTCTTCATCACTTGCCACAGCCATACACAGTGATATGGCAGCAAGGGAGAATTATTGGGCTTTCAAAGCTCCTTCAGACCCTCAGCCACTGGGTTATTTCCTCATTTAAATAGGGACCCCCTTTCTGTATGTATTTGTTGATGTGTCTGTCTCCTTTAAATGACAGTAGTCTCTGCACTGACTTTCCAGCACGTAGCAGCTGGCTTAACAATTATAATGATGGCAATATGGTGACACTAAGTTAATTCTGACTAACATCTATTTCATTCTATTTGCCACTTTTTATACAGTATTTCATTTTCTACAATTCTGTGAGAAAATACTGTTATTATTCCCATTTTAACTAGGTAGAAATAGGTTAAGTTAATTGCCACAACTTGTAAGTGGCAGGCCTGGTTCTGGCCCCAGTGGTCTGACTTTCAGATTCCTTCTCTTTTCCTCTGCGCTAATGAACCGCCTAACTTTACCCCAGCAGTGCTTATGAAAATGGACTTGGAAATGGTGAAAGGAGCACGGTTTCATGTTCATAAATGACCCTTTAAGGTAGACACACCTAGAGGAGTAGGATTTGTTAAAAGGGCAGGAGAAGAAATTAAGGAGTATTTCTGAAGTACAGAAAATGACTGTATGTACTTCATTTTATGCAGAGGGGTGTTGAAATGTACATATATAAATTATCTCCACAATGCCATTTTTCCGCCAACCAAAATGCCTTCAATTGTATATCTGAAATAAAGACACATAATTTACTTTTTCACTTTCTTTTTTATCCTTTGTAGTATAACATAGAGCATTTAGTTATGTATGTAAATGTGTGTAAAAATTCTTCACTACTACAGCTAGTAGAAGTTTAAAATTCAAAGTTGTGTCCCCTACTTTAACAAAAGAAATAGACAAACAGAAAGAAATTGGCTGGCAGGCATTTAACATCAAGGGAGATTGTCAGTGCTGGACTCTATCCATTTTCAGAGAGAGTGAAAATTGTGGCTATTACCGGAGAGCTCATTTTAAACTTCTTATAGCAACTGGTCTGTAGAAAACTGCAGCTATGCCTTGTACACTGCATCACCCCTGCATACTGGGGCTCACTGTAGATCTGGAACTCTGTCTTCTCCTTGGGGAATTGACTGTATTAGAAGATTCCATGCTACAGACATTTCTAATAGACAAACAATATGACTCCAGGGCCTTTTGACAGATGACATCATTAAGCTATTCCACCCCACAATGTGTGTGAGGAGGAGATAGAATGGGCTGTTTCTCAGGCTTCAATGAGTAGATTAGCTCTGCCCTCTAAATTGTTACATCTGTGGAGGGAAATGATGAGGAAAAAGGCATAAGGAAAAAGGAAAGAAATGTGCATGAATCAGACAGCAACTACAGTTGTTAAGCCTCTTTATATTCTTTTTGTTTCTGATGGGTTTTACAAAATAGTAGCTTTGTTTCCTAAGGTGAATTTACAATATACTATTTAGTTTTTAGCTCACAGCCCAACTCTTGTGTTAATGTGATTCATGCCTAGCACGTGCTGTGTTCTCAACACATACCCACTCCCCTTAAGGTTTGCGGTGTCCTCATTCAGCAGATCAGATAACCGAGATTCTCTTGGTTAAGAGAACTGGCCAAGGTTGCATGATAAAAGTCAGCCATCACTCAGCTTCTCTACATTTTAGTCTATTTTCTGTCTGTTCTACCATAGAAGTATTTAATTCTGGAGGTCAGACACTATGTATATGAAACATATTTTAATACAGAAAAAAATCAAGAGATATACTTGATACAAAAATTAACACATGTTAATCTTTCCCCACATTTATTTACCTCAGATCCTTTACTTAAAGAAATTATATATTAATGTTAATGTCTATGGAGTTCCATAGATTCTCCTTGCCAGTCCTATGTCCTTTCTCTCTGCCCATAGGCAACCGTATCATGAATTTGATGTGTGTCCAAACCATGTTTTTATATTTATTACATAATATATATATTATATGCATTCATAAATACTATATTGTGGCATGTTGTTGCTTCTAAAATGTATATAAATCATATCACTGTATGTGACATTCTGCAACTTATTTTTCAGGCTCAAAATTACGTTTACAACATCTATCCATGTTAATGCCTATAAATCTAGTTATTTCATTTTAATTGCTGTGGATACTCCATTTACCACTTATTATGTTTATTTCTTTGCCTACTTGTTGACAATTGGGTTATTATAACAATGCTGCAGTGAACAGAATACTTGTCTCCTTGTGTACATAGGCAAGAGTTTTTGGGTATATACAAATAGGGAGTATATCTAGGAGTGGAATTTGTTGACTCTTCAGATAGGTACATTTTCAACCTCATTAGATGTTGCCAAATTACTCTCCAAAGTGATTATATCAATGTGCCCTTCCAGGAGTGTTTGAGGTATCTATTTATGTAGTGGCTAAAACTTAGTATGGTCCAACTCAAGTTCTTGCCAGTCTGAACATGAAATGATATCTTATGTAGTTTTAATTTGTATATCCCTTATTACTATTGAGATTGAGAATTTTCATTCGGGTGTCCTCTTCTGTCAATTATCTATTATCAGTTATTTATTTATAGATGTTATATATTGTGGATACTAGCCCTTTCTTTGTAATGAAGTTTTGGATTTTTTAAAGATGTTTTTAGTTTTGATGTCAATTTTATGAATCATTTTCTTCACTGTATCCATTTTCTTTCTTTCTTTCTTTCCTTCTTTCTCTTTCTTTCTTTGTTTTGTTCTTTTCTTACTGTCTTTTTTTTTCAGGTTCTTACTCTGTCACCCAGGCTGGAATGCAGTGGCACAATCACAGCTCACTGCAGCCTTCCACCTCCCAGGTTCAAACCATCCTCCCACCTCAGCCACCAAGTAGCTGGGACTACAGGCACATGCCACCACACCCTGCTAAGTTTTGTAATTTTTGTAGAGATGGGGTTTCACCATGTTGCCTCGGCTGGTCTCAAACTCTTGGGTTCAAGTAATCCACCCGCCTCAGCCAGTGCTGGGATTACACGTGTGAGCCACTGCGGCCAGCCATAACTGTTTTCTGTGTATGGTTTAGGAAATCAATCCCTGTCCTTCTATTTGAATAGGTTTAGACTCCTATTTTTCATGTCTTTAATCCAGCTAAGTTTATTTTTTTATCTAATGCAAGTAAAGTCTATTTTTTTCATGAAGAAAGCCATTCGTCCTATCACCAGTTCTTGCATACTCTTTCCTTTTTTCATGCATTGATATTGCTTCCTCTGTTATACTTCAGACTTAATATGTGCCTAGGTGGGTTTCTGAGCTTTCTGTTATATCCCATTTATCTATCTCAGTGTCACTACCCTTACTGTCTTAAAAGCTACAGCTTAATGATAACAATAACACTTGTTATGTATCAGGCACTGTTCTAAGTCCTTTTGTATGTATTATTTTACATGATCCTCAACAGCTTGATTAGGTAGATTTTATTATTATGTCTATTTTACCAATGTGGAAAATGAGGCACAGGGATGATAAATAAGTAGCTCAAATTTGCATACCTAGAAAATAAACACTGGAGCTTTACTATGAATATCTACTGGGATTTCTTTTATATCCTTTAATTAAGGCTTATAATTTTCTTCATAAAGGTCTTACACTTCCTTTGTCATCTCTCCTAAGTTCCTTTTGGTGAATGGTACCTTTTTGCATTGAATTTTCTAACTAGATAATAATTTATAGGAGCACTATTGAATTTTCTTGTGTCAGCTTTCAATTTTGCCACACATCTCTTCATTAATTCTGTTCGTAGACTTTTATCTGCAAGCTTCCTTTTCAATCCTTAATTCTTTGCTGCTTTTTCCTGACTCATTGCATTAGATAGGCTTTTCAATGCAATGCTGAATAGTAGAGGTTAGAGTAGACGCTGTTATTCCTCACATTAATGAAAAAGCCTCAAATGTTTCTTTTTTTTGTTTTTTTTGTTTTTTTTTTTTTTGAGACAGAGTCTCGCTCTGTCGCCCAGGCTGGAGTGCAGTAGCGTGATCTCAGCTCACTGCAAGCTCCGCCTCCTGGGTTCATGCCATTCTCCTGCCTCAGCCTCCCTAGTAGCTGGGACTACAGGCGCCCGCCACCACGTCCGGCTAATATTTTGTATTTTTAGTAGAGACGGGGTCTCACCGTGTGAGCCAGGATGGTCTCGATCTCCTGACCTCGTGGTCCATCTGCCTCGGCCTCCCAAAGTGCTGGGATTACAGGTGTGAGCCACTGCGCCCGGCCAAATGTTTCATTTTAAGCATAACATCTCTTATAGGTTTTTGGTAAACGCCTATGTCACATTAAGAAAGTTCTAATCCTTTCTTATTTGTTATCATTAACACGTGCTGAAATGTAATGCATTTCCTGTGTCTATCCAGATGATTATATGATTTTTTTCCTTATCTGTTAATATAACAAATTAAATTAACAGATTCTCTGGTTGTGAATCACTTTTACATTCCTAGGATGAATCCAACCAATTATAATATACTATTATTTGAGTATGCTGTTGATATGATTGCTATCATATTATATTTTTGCATTTGTTGTTTTACTTTTTTTTATGTTGCATTTCTCTGGTTTTGATACCAAAAATACTGCATTCTTAGAATGTGAGTTATCCTTACCTCTTTTTTTAATCCTTGGAAAAGATCTTATATAATCATTATATAAAGTAGGATCTATTGCTTAATGATAAAACCATTTAGTCTCAGGATCGTGGTGTGTCTATGGATGTTAGGAGATGCATGGAAATGTATGGAAATTGTAACTAATGAATCATTTTCTATAATGACTATTCAGATTTAAATTTTTCTAGAATTTTTAATTTTATCAAAGTTTGCAAATGTATTGGTAAAAAATTATTCCAAATATTGTCTTATGATTTTAAATGCTAAAAAACATGGAGGAAACTTAAATGCATATTACCAACTGAAAGAAGCCAACCTGAAGAGGCTACATATGTATGATTCCAATTGTATGACGTTCTAGAAAAGGCAAAACTATGGAGACAGTAAAAAGATCAGTGGTTGCCAGGGATTAGTGGGAGGGATGGATAAATAGGCAGAGCACAGAGGAATTTTTGGGCTATGAGTCTATTCTGTATCACTCACTAGTTACCAAAATAGTTGGTTGATTTTTTTCTTGTTTTATTTCTTGTATTTCTGTGCTTTTTTGTGGTTATGTTTCTTTCTACTAAATTATGTCTTTCTAATGCTAGAGATCTGTAGTTTACGATGCTTAGTTTAGCTGAGCATATGATTCTATTTGATGGTTTTTCTCTTTTCTTTCAACTCTTTGAAGATTGACCTCTGGCATTAATTGTTGGTGATAAAAATTTTGCTGTTAGTCTGATTATTGTTCCTTTATAAGTAACTTGTCTTTTCTCACTAGTTGCTCTTAAGACTATGTTTTTATCCTTGATTTTCTTAAATTTTCTCTTTAATATATCAGAGGATTTGAGCCTTAAATTCTGGAATGTCTCAGCCATTATCTCTTCAAATGTTTCTTCTCTGACATTCTTTCTGTTACCTTCATTAAGAAAACACACACACACACACCCACACACACACACACACCCCAACCAGTGTGTGTATATTATATATATATTATATATATATATTCTTGTACTATCCTACATGTCTGTTTTTATTTTACTTCTCATATATATTTTTCACCTCTTCATCTCTCTCTGTTGCCTCTTCAGTATGTTTCAATTTGCAAATCCTGTCTGATTTTGGCAAGTCTAAAGTTTATTCCATCTATTTACATTGGCAGTTTAATTTTAATGACTATATTTTTCAATTCCAAGATTTGTAATTGGTTATAGCCGCTTATTCTTGAGTCTTACCTCACTGCTATGGTTTCACAATCTTTGTTTTATGTATATTCTCCTATTCTGTATCTCTTTAAGAATCTCGGGTGCATTTTCTAATCAATTTCAGTTTGCACTATTGATTGTTCCAGAATGAATTCATTACCTGATTGTTTGCAGCTGTTCTTCTGAGCATTTGGAATTTTAAATTATAAATCAATCTGATATGGAGGATGTTTCTTTCTCCTTCTCAGTGCTCACACCTTCTTTTCTAGCATTTTTACATTTGCCTTCAGCCTAGACAGTGACCACTAATCCAGAATCAAATTTGGGCTTCTCCTCCCATGGGGATGTTGGAGAAATCACAGATTCAGTCACTGCAGTGGCCAGTGGCTTGGCCTCAGGTTTGTCTACATAGCAGTCTCTACTTTAACACCACCACGTCCACCACCACTGGCACAGTCTGTGTATAAGGTATAGCTTCAGGAACATCACAACTTTGTTCAGCCTTCTTTCAAATGCGGGGAGGCTGTCTTAGCAGGGGACATTAGGCCTCATTCCTTGCTTCCTGCAGGATCATTTTCGTTCCTGTTTTTCTTTCTCAAGCTGCCTCTACTGGTTTCAGAACCTAGAGCCCAGTAGGTCTGTAGGTTCGGGCCTCTCTATTGTTTCTGTTCTACTTGTGGCCCATATGATGTTTATCTTGGTTTGGAGTAAAGCTATACCTAGTTTTTCATTTTTTCAAAATTGCGCCTCTTTTTCTATGTAAGGGACATGTTTTAAAGCTTCAACTCGTTGATTTATAGTCAGCCCTCTTAACTACTTTTTAGTGTTTTGGGTATTATCACATGAACACTTACAAAAGGATGGTAAAATGTGTTTTCAGTTGGCATAAGAGAGCAGAGTTCTTTTTTTAACTTTTACTTTAGATTCAGGGGTACATGTGCAGGTTTGTTATATAGGAAAATTATGTGTCGTGGGGATTTGGTGTACAGATTATTTTGTCACCCAGGTAATAAAATAATACCCAATAGATAGTTTTTTGACCTTCTCTCTCCTTCCACCCTCCACCTCAAGTAGGTTCCAGAATCTTTTGTTCCCTTCTTTGTGTCTATGCGTACTCAATGTTTAGCTCCCACTTACATGTGGTATTTGGTTTTCTGTTCCTACATTTTTTATCTTTGCCTTAATAGTGAAACATCTATAAAAGAAACTCACATGCATATCAAAACAGTGAGATAGCATCTCACCCCAGTTAGGATGTCTATTATTAAAAGGACAAAAAATAGCAAATACTGGCAATAATGCTGAGAAAAGTGAGCTTTTATCCACTCTTAGTAGGAATGTAAATTAGTACAGCTACTATTGAAAATAATATGGAGACTGCTCAAAAAACTAAAAATAGAACTATCCTATGATCCAGCAATCCCACTACTGGGTACTTATCCACAGGGAAGGAGATCAGTGTTGTAGAGATGGCTGCACCCACATTCTTACTGCAGCACTACTCACAAAAGCCAAGATGTGGAACCAACCTAAGTGTCCATCAACAGATGAATGGATAAAGAAAATGTGATATATATATACAGTATAATACTACTCAGGCGTAAAAAGAAATGAGATCCTGTTAATTCCAGCAGCATAGATGAGCCTGGAGGATATTACATTAAGTGAAATAAGCCAGGCACAGAAAGATAAATACCACATGTTCTCACTCATATGTGGGAGCTAAAAGAAAATTGAGATCATAGAAGTAGAGAGTAAAATTGTGGCCACAGAGGATAAGAAGGGTAGAGGGGAGGTGGAGAAAGGAGAGGTTGGTTAACAGATACAAAATTACAACTAGATAAGAGGAATAAGCTCTAGTGTTCTATAGCACTGTGGGGTGACTGGTTAACAATATTGTATTGTATATTTTCAAATAGCTAGAACGTGAATGTTGTCAACCCAAAGAATGATAAATGTCTGAGGAGCTGGATATGCTAATTACCCTGATTTGATCATTGCACATTGTATACATGTATCAAAGTATCACTCTGTACTCCATAAATATGCACAATTATTACATGTCAAATAAAAAGGAAAAATATATCATTTAAAAAAGAAACTGACAGGAATAAGGGAATAAGAAGAGAAGAAAATTCTAGTTTATCTTGGTGGGCATCTATTCTTTTGCCACATAAAAGTCATGGTCATTCCAAAATGGATTGGGTTCTTCCTGAGCCATCTGAAGTGACCCGTTTAGTGCCAAAGAGGATAACAGTGATACCAGTAATAATAGTATTAAGAGACTTCCAGAAGCAAAGGTTTGTGCTTAACAGAGAGCTGTGAGCCCCTCACCCCCACCCCCAACCCCACCTGAGACCTTTTTCATTTTGCCAAAGCTTAATGTAAAACCCAAAAGATAGATTCCAGCAGTTTATATTGATTATAAACCACACTGAGAGAAAGAAAGCTATTGATAGAGTGTTACTTAACATGATGATGGGTCAGCACCTTCCTTGAATTTAGAATGAAAGCTCTACTGATTGAATATGATTCATCTGAGAATAATATGAAGCCAAAATTAAAGGAGGGAGTTTGGTTTCCTTGTCACTAAGGGCTGTTCAGAAGACAAAAGGAAAATACCTTGGTCTCCTGCATTCCTTGCAAGCCTGTCCATCTTCATTTTGTCCATCTCAGCTCTTAATTAGTTTTTTAAAAATATTTTTTCCAACTAAATTATACAGCTAGCACCTATCATTACAAAAGGAAATTAAGGTAAAACTTCCTTTTATGGATCTGTTGTGGGTTTTATTTAAATCCCACCTTCTCTCCCCCATAAAAATTTATGTTTCTTCCCCATTACCAGCATCATCATCAACTCGATTTATGTCCCTTTTAAGAGATGGCTGTCATGGTCATTATCAACTAAAGCATTGACTCTTCCTGTTTTGTGCACTGATAGTATACAGTCATATTCAACATTAAGCCAGTACAAAATCAAATAAATGTTTTTATGTAATGAAGAAAAACAAGAAGAAATACATTAAGTAGCATAGTATAGAGATTTATTAATGATATTAAATCCCCTACACACATCCATCTAGATTATATGATGTTTATCAAGGAAAAAATTTTATTCTACCTCTGTTTCGTTTTCTCTTCCCTGTCACAAACGAAAGGACAGAGACTGAAGAAGTGTATGTGACATGATAAAACTCTTTGTAGGATGGCACCTGGAGTATGTCTTCTTTTAATGTCAGTTGCAATGAAATTGCATGCAACAATAAGTTTTGTGCTTTGGAAGGAAAAAATCTCCCTCTGGGGTGTTAGGACATTGAATTGGGATGCATCCGGGAGGGAAGGGCAACATTATATGAGGGCAGACATGATCATGTGCCATGCACAGTTGCCTTACATATGTAGTCATTCAACAAGCAGTTATTCAGTGTATGAGTACTGAGATAGTATACTGTACCATCAAAAGTGAGGATGTTGTTTTCAGACAGATCTGAAATTGTCCTGGTTCTGCATTCACTAACTCTAGGCAAGTTATTTAACCTTTCTGAGCCTTTGGTTCCTTCTCTTTAAATGGAACTAATAATGGCATTTAGGAGATTAAATATGCAAATATATGTAAAAAGTACCTGTTGAAAAAAAGCATTCAACAAATGGTAGCTTTGATTATTAATGTTGACAGACAAAAAGAGCCAAGTGAAATGGCTTGTGAAAAGACATAACTTTTTGTGACACTACATTTGAAGGTCTTTTATTTTTCTCAGATAAGGAAAAGGAAAAGAAATAAGGGACACTCAGAGAGGCCTTAAGGTTTAGAACAAACTGATCCACGTAGTACAGATGTCTGTGAAATGGGAGCTCTAATGCTGTCTTTTCCATACTCTTGACTTGTTTCTCTTAATTTTTGACAGTGAAGCCATCTTATAAAATATAAAACATCTGTATTGATGAGTGTACATATGTCCTTCCATAACAAAGAAAATGGGTTTATTAAGAAATAATTTGCTATTTAGAAAATTTAGGTCCATTAACTTTCTGATTTTCTATCTTGAAGCTTACTTGTTTGTAAAGATGCTTCCTAGCACTGTGTAAATCATGCCTGTGTGCTCAGGAGCTGTCCTGTTTCCTTTTATTTAACCATCTTTCCTTTTATTTTAACCATCATGCCTTGCATTTGATCTGACACCTTTCACTGAGTCTTGAGAAGGTGATGACTCTCAAAAGATGATGGTCTTTGTTCAAGGATGCTAAGCTAGTAACCTAAAAGATTATTGGTACATATTACTTGAAAACAATATGAATTAGATATACTTGCCTCCCCAATAATCAAAGTCCATTAACCTCATAATTTTTACAGACTACTTTTTCAACAAATAGAGAAATCAAGCAGTAGAACAATTGCTTGACCAAAAGGGACTCTTAGCACATCAGGGTTCAAGGCCTTTCTATTTAATCTGTCATTCCAAACTATTTCCCTCTAAGAACAAGGAGAAAAGCTGGACAAAATGAGAAAATCATGAGTTTGAGAAACTGGGGAGCAACAAAGCTAGTGACAACACAAAAGGAAAAAACCAAGAGATGTATGCCCAGCATTTAGGACTGCTTTTCCTATATGGCTCCAGAAGACATTGAAAAGTTAAAAGTAGCTTTCTAAAGACCTACATGTCCAGGGAGATAAAAATTGGAGTCAAGTCAGGCTAGGGAGATAAAAATTAGAAGAGGATGGGCTCTGGTAAAATGTCTGGACTTTTGGTTGGGACTCTGAAAGGATGCACACTAGGAACAAGGATAAACTAGAACAGACCCTCAATTCAAATCATGCCAATCTCTGCCTGAAAGATGGAAATTCTAGTTCCCCCAACAGCTTTCCCAGAAGCAAACCTGTATCATCACCGGAAGAAGAAAACTTTATTCTAGGCCTCAAAGTACCTCTACAATTTGTATATACAATATCCAATGGTTAGTCTTAAAATAACCAGGCATATAAGGAGACAAGACAACTTAGTAGAAAACTAAAATATGCTCAATATGTTCAATGAAATAAAAAGTAAATTTTAGAAATGCGATGGCGTTCTGGAGACTATAAAAAAGAACAAATGAGAATTATAGACCTGAAAAATATGATTGAAATTAAAGACTCAATAGATGGATTAAACTGTATATTAGACCCAGATGAGTAGAGTCTTGTGGAAGTCAAAGATAGGTCTGAAGAAACTACCCAAAATGAAACCTGCAGAGATAAAAGGATGAGAAATACAGAATAGATGATAAAGCAAACAAACATGGGGGGTATGGTTATTGGAGTTACCAGAGAAGAGGCGAGATGAGGAAGAATAGATAAAGGCTGAGACCAAGCTATCAAAATGCATTATGAAAACCAGGCAAGATAAAACCACAAAACCACATCTAGGCACATTCTTGTAAAGATGCTGAAGACCAAAGAGTAAATCTTAAAGCATCAGGGAAAAAAGGTTTTTTCCCTTAAAAGGAATAATATTAAACTGAGAGCTGATTTCACAGACACTGCTGAGGGCAGGATACCATTATGAAAACAAATGAACTACAAAAAAGTCTTCACACTGAAAGGTACAATTCCAGCGCCCTTCTCCCCCAATTCTCAGAATATGGCCAGAAAATTGGAAGGTTCTTCTGTGGGCAATTTGACCAGCCACAAGGAAGGGCAGAAATAAACTGTTAGTTGGGCATCTAAAATGTCTGGTGGCCTTTGGTGGGCTGGCACCCAAGCACACAGAGGCAGGCAGGCTTCCTTGCTTGCTTGCTTTCTTTCTTTCTCTCTCTTTTTCTCTCTCTCTCTCCACCTCTCCCTCTCCCTCTCTCTCTCTCTCTCTTTCTTTCTTTCTTTTTTTTTTAGATGAGGTCTCACTATTTTACCCAGGCTGGTCTTGAGCTCCTGGGCTGAAATAATCCTCCCACCTTGGCCTCCCAAAGTGCTGGGATTACAGGCATGAGCCACTGCACTCAGCCTTAGTGCTTTACTCTTAAACATAAATACTTAACCAGGCTCCACCAAGAAAACCTGTAATGCAGAAGAAAGAAACCAAAAACATAAAAATGAGAACTTGGAGAAAATAAATACAATACAAGAAGAAAGTTTAAAATAAAACAAAATGACAATTAAAAATCTCAGGAAAGTAAAGATGACTTTGTATCCATGAACAAGAGCAGAATGATATTTTTTAAAAGAACAAGAACAAAAGTAAGCTCATAGATACTAAAAATATAATGCCAGAAGTTTAAAATTTGATAGAATATCTGGAAAATAAAATTGAGGAACTATCAGAAAGTAGGAAAAGAAGAAAAAGATTAGGAGAAAGACAAGAAAATGAGGCAGTTTGTTCAGGAGTTCTAAGACGCAATATGTGCTGCAAAAGAGCAGATTCTTAAATGCAGATGAAAAAGTTACCCAAGAAATAATTGAAGGAATGTTTTCAGAACAGAGGAAAGGAATTTACGGAGAAGGTTCATCAAATATGCTGCACGGTGGATGGAAACAGGCCCATGTCGAGGCACACCATAACTAAGTTCCAGAACACTGGACACAAAGAGAAGGCTGCAGAAACTTCCAGATTAAAAAAAAATCATGGTCAAAACCAAAAAAATTATGAACCAGAGTGGCATCAGACTTCTTGACAGAAACACTAGAGGAAAAAAAAAATTACTTTCTGAAGGAAAATAAATCCTAATCTTAAATTCATCATCTAGCCAAAAGACTAACAAAATCTGGGGATAAAATACATTTCAGATATAAAAAAATCTCAAAAAATTTACACTCCACATACCTTTTGTCAGGAGGCCGCTGAAGAGTGCTGTACCACAGTTAGGAAGGCGCGGATTCAGCAAACAGGGGCTCAAACACAGGAGAGAATGCTGAGGGGTGCACAGGATATTGCTGCCTGCCAGTCCTAGGATGCCAGCCACATTGCAGGCCCAGAGGGCAGCCTGTCCAGATGGGAGTTGGAGAACAGGCAGCTCCAGGAGAGATTTGTCTCCAAGAAGATGGAACCTGTGTAGAAGATGCTTCTGAAAGTATTGAGAGGCAATTTGCCTCTTTGGTTGAGAGTTTGGGGATGAGTTTGGATGAATGTGATGTCCATGATAGATACATGAAAACCACATGAAAACAATTCCTGGGAACCTGAACGTTGTATAAGAAGGGAAACGTCGTCATAGACCATTTTTTTATAGCTCAGCTGAGTTTAGTGTTTGCATACTCATGATGGTGCAAGTGCAAATATCTATCTCACCAAAAAGTAAATGTTAACTATATTGGGAGGATGAAGAGAAGAAAGTGAAAGAGAGAGAGAGAGAGAGACATGGAGAGTGGGCAAGAAAAAAGCTATTATTATTTACCATGGGGAAAAATAAATGAATAATGTGCAAACTGAAAACTTAAGAAGTAGCAGTAGAGTACTTAGCAATATAGAGGCAAATCCAAAAAGCAAAGGCTAAAAGAACTGACAGTGGTGGACTGTGTTGACAGGTAAGGATTCGTGCAATGGGAAAAATGGGAGAGTGGATTCCAAGGGCTGCTGCTTTTTACAATATAACTTTTCCAGAACCATTTGGCTTTTGAAATTGTGTGTATGTATACCTTTGATACAAACTTTAAAAATTTAAATCACAGTGCAGAACAGTCTGTAGAGTATTGCACCATTTATGTAAGAAACAACGTATGCAAATATTGATCATAAAGTATATCTGGAAGGATCCTTAGAAAACTGTAACAATGGCTACCTCTGGGGATGGTAACTAGTGACCATGCACTGGCAGAAGAAAAACTCTTCACCCTTTGAATCCATTTGAATGTTACACTGTCTACATGTATTATTTATTTTTTTAAAAGCTTCTAAGAAACAAAGTGGGAATGAGACTGCAGCAAGAGAGCAAACAAAGTTAAAATTAAGTGAGCTCTAAAAAGAGTGACCATATCCTTTTAAGTTGAGTTATTTATTCAATAAATATATATGTGTGTCTCCTTGTTACACAAGTAACATTATCTTTATAGAACAAACAGAAGTTAAAGATAACAAAAAAAATCACTTGTCATCACATCATGCAGATAACCACTATTAAATTTTTGTTGTGTATCTTCTGAATTTTTTATGGTGTGTGTGGTCTGTCTGTATTCCTACTCCCTCCCATGGGACAATACTATTTTGTTACCAGTTATTTTCACTCAACAATGTATTGTAGTCACTTAATATGAATTATTAAGGAATATTCGTCTACAGATCATTTTTACTGGCTAGTTTTATTGCATCATTTGACTCTACCACAGTTGATTTAACTAATCCCCTACTGATAGATTGTTCCCAGTTTTTTACTACTATAAGCAATGCTTGTGTCTTAATTTTGCTGACATCTGTAATTGTTTTCTTTGACTAAATTTCTAGAAATGCCGTTGCTGGGTCAAATGACATGTATGTAACTAAAAGTCTCGATACATCTTGTGAATTCTGTCCCAGAGAACTTGTACAGTTTATGTCCTACCCCCTAGCAGTGTTGAAAAATATCACTCCTAGATTCTTGCTAACATTTTTGTGGATTTTTTCGGCCAAGTCTGACAGATGAAAAAATATTTTGTTGTTATTTAAGTTTGTGTTTATTTGGCTTACTGGTGAGGCTGGACACCTTCCATATATTTACTGACCAACAAATAAATACTACTTTTGAGCCCTTTTCCTATACCTGGTACTAAGGGGAGAGATAAAGGGTAAACAAAATAGTTTCCTTCTTCAAAGAGTTTATAATCTCATAAAAGAAACAAATATACAAACAATACAGCTGGGTTATAATGTGAAGCGCAGAGGAGGACGTGATTCATTCTTCTGTCAGATTTAAGTTTTTCGTGGGTCGGAACATTTGAGTGGAGACTTGAAGGCCAAGGAGAAAAAAAGCAGGAAATGGGGATACGCTTTCTGAGAGCAGCATATTTAAATGCAGATGACACTTGGGACACTTGGGAAAGGTAAATGACCTGGTGTCCCGGAAACTAAGCCTAGAAAATGCAGTGGGGCCCTAAGTCTTATGAAGATTTGGGAGTAGATCCTCCAGACCAGAAGCTCATCTGGTACACCAGTCTGGATTGTGGGCCGCCATGTTTGCAGAGAGTCTGGGTGACTTCTCAAATGGCAGTGAGAGCCTGCCTCCTACCGAGATTCACACAAAATCATGGATTCCCCAGATATAAAAAGTGAGTCCACGTATGGATCAAACAGAAAAAACTGGGATCCCTGAGCTCTGGAACTTGTATGTAAAGTTGTGTGTGTGGGGGGGAGGGGGGTGCGGGGAGGGGGGGTATGTGCATTTTTTGATGAAGGGGTTCCTGGCTTTCTCAAAGAGGATAAAAAGACTCAGTGCCTCTGATCCAGACACTGGAGAGCCATGCAGAATCCCCAGCAGGAGAGCAGCAGGATCAGATCACTGAAAGATAAACCTGTTGAAGCAGGATATTTCCCTGACCCCTTCATGGGACTCACGAAGGGAGTGTGTCCCTTACTCAGCTGCTGCTCTCAACACCTTGCTGGAGGGAGCACGCAAGCGAATGAGGTGGGAACTGGAATGCATGAGTGCTGAAACCAGCCAACCGCATCGGCACCAGCAAGATCAAACTCCACTTACTGGGACCTGCTGCACTCCACCCCTCACAGGTGGGAGTGCACAGGTGAGTGGGTGCAGGAGCCAGAGTGAGCACTCCTGGGTGCCAGCAGGAGCAAACTACATGCAAGCCCTGTGGCAGCATCTTGGGGGCGGTGGGCGGGGGCGGTGCCTGCAATCCCTGAAGCCCCAGAGGGTGTGTTACAGTGCTGTTTCAGCTCTGCCGTCTGTGGACACCTTAGGTGTTAACAGCTCAGTGGGCCCTTTGCCTTGTCGCATGGGGCAGCTGCCCTCTGCCAATGAGGGCAAAGGGCCAGTGTGACAGCCTTTTGTATCTGCACTCAGGGATCCCGAGCTCTGGTCCTGCAGCCAGGAAAAATGAGGTCACATGAACAAATTTAAGGATGGTAAATGTGGGAGATTTAATTGCCGATGAAAGTGGCTCTCAGGGGGAAAGGGATCTGAAAAGGAGATGAGGCAGGTAGGTGATCTTCCCCTGAAGTCCGGCCATCTGCAGCCAGCTTCTTCTCTGAAGTTATGCCATCAAAGTGTCCCCTCTGTAATCCCCAACATCCAGCTGCCTCTCCTCTCTGCTGGCTGAGTCTGGAGTCTTTATAGGCACAGGCTGGGGCATGGGGTGGGGCCATGGGTGGTTAAGGGAAAGGCAACATTCAAGTAGGAAAACAGAGATATAAGTTCTCACTTTGGGCCACAGGTTCCGGCTTTTCAGCTTAAAGGTAGGGTTTCGCCAGGGACCCACCCTTTTCTAGAATTCCTCTGCCCCCCGTCCCTATCACTGTCAACAGTGTAGACTGGGGAGGGTACCAGCAGGAAGGAGAACTGGATGGGAAGTTTGGAAAATAACATTAGTAATGATCACCACTGACTGAGCATGTAATCTATGATAGACGAGGTGCTAGATGCTTAGCACCCTTTTATTTTATCTTCAAGTTAACATTTAACATAAAAGGAAACCGAAACCTAGATTTTAAAATTAGTGCAAGGTCACTTGGCTATGAATGGCAGAGTCCATAGTTGACTACCAGGTCATGAGACTCTCAAGCCCACACTTCTGATTATGACCTTAAATTGCCTCCCGTGTAAAGCTCTACACCATTTCTTCTGCATCTCATCTCCTAATTTTCAGTTAACTTTCTTAAGCAGCAAAGTGACTCGCTTCGGGGAAAAGAACTATGTGACCAGAGACCCCATTTAGAAGACGAACAGGAGAAAGGGCCTGTAATCCCAGCACTTTGGGAGGCTGAGATGGGCAGTTCACTTGAGGTCAGGAGTTAGAGATCAGCCTGGCCAACAGGATGAAACCCTGTCCCTACAAAAAATATAAAAATAAGCCAGGCATGGTGGCACATGCCTGTAATCAGCTACTCTGGAGGCTGAGGCAGGAGAATTGCTTGGACCCAGGAGGCGGAGGTTGCAGTGGTCCGAGATGGCGCCACTGCACTCTAGCCTGGGTGACAGAGTGAGACTTCTTCTCAAAAGAAATTTTTTTAAAAAAAGAGAAATGCCTTGGTGACCCTTCATTGTTCTTGTTCCACATAGTGCCGGTCATCTGCTGAGATAATAGTGTAACTCCAAAGAAATCCCTCACTCTGCACATTGCTTCCTATTGTTATTTGCTCTCTTTATTTCATGGAAGGAGATTCTTGCAGATTTCAACTGGCAAATGAGTTATTTGGAAGAAAAGTGCACAATGCTATTTTCTTCAAGCTTCCTAGTTATTAGCCACACTCCCGGTGATTGTTGCGGTGACATGTGCAAACAATGGTGTTCACTTCTGCCTTTTGTGGCAAATATTAAACACACAATAAGGAAACCTATAAAGCTCTGGCTGCTTTACCTTGGGAGCTGAGCACTGCATAAGTGTGCTGCTGCCGTATTGTCAAATAAAAGGCAAATGTTATCCTTAGATATATGAAACCTCAGAGGGGAGGGCTTAACACTCATCACCAGTGGTCACGGAATTCTGAATTACAAAAGATCGCAAATATTCCATCTTTCGCACAGTCATATTCCCTGCAGGCATGCACATACCTCCTGTACATGTTGTTTACGAGCTGCTCAAACGACTCTGGCTTTCAGGCCCCAGACTGCAGAAAAAGCAAAGGCAGCTATGGCTGACATTTTCATGGAAAGCTTAGGAAGGCTCATTTTTTATCATCTTTGGAACAAATAGATGGAACCCTGTATTAGGTTTCTCTTGCTGGGTAACAAATTATCACAAATATAGCGGCTTAAGGCAATGCTAACTTATGATCTCAGTTTCCGTGGGTAAGGGGTCCAGCCATAGTCAGGCTGGATTCTCTCCTTAGGATCTCAAGAGGCTGAGATCAAGGTTAGCCGAGCTGCATTCCTTTCGGGAGTCTTGGTGAGGGAAAGATCCACTACTGGGCCCCCCAGGTCATTGGCAGAATTTTTTTCCTTGCAGTTGAATGACAGAGTCCCTCAGTTTTTTTGGTGGCCCTCGGTCAGGGACTGCTTTCAGCCACTTTGGAGCCGCTGTTCCTTGCCATGTGGCCCCTCCCATAGGCCCTCTATGCTTGGAATCTTTTCACCAGGAAGAGTATAGTCTGGTTAAGTCACGACCGCTGAGGATAATCTCCCTATCTGAAAGTCAGCTGATTTGGGACCTTACCTACATGTGCTAAATCCCTTCACAGCAACACCTGGATTTGTGTTTGACTAAGTAACTGGGGGAGGATAATCGTGCTCCAAGAGGTGGAGATCCTGGGGGCCAACTTAGAATTCTGCCTGTCACAACCCCATAGCCGCTCCTTTTCTGGCAAGAGTCTTGTATGTTAAATGCTTCCTTAGCATCCATCTTTGTTTTCTGTTTTGAGCTGATAATTGTATGTCACGTGGGGCATTTCAGATTTGGGGAAAATGATGACGATAGCTTTCGTTCTTGAGGACTTGCTTTGTGCCCAACATTGTGCTGAGATTTTACCTGCACTGTCTCACTCATCCGTCCCCACAGCTCTATATGGAAGGTACAGTCAATATCCTGAGCTACGGATGAGAAACCTGAGACCAGGCATACATAGTTAGGAGACATCCCCAAAGTTCCACAGCTGGAAAGCAGCAGAGCAGGGACTCAAACCCACATCCCTTTCCTTCAGCGCCCTCCCTCCCACCCTATTTCTATCAGCTGCTATTTCGCCCTATTGTGGTTTTGAAAGAATTACGGAATGCCCTCCATAGCTATGATGATTATCATTCGTCCTTTCCTTTTTTAGTCAAATTTTCCATTTAATAACAGGAAATATCACAATGACCAAGCCCTCCCTAAAAGCAAAGGATAGCCCTAAAAGTCAACCACCAAAGAGACACAAGGATGATAGAGTAGTTTCGAGGCTGACTCGTGTAAGGTAAGAGCAGTCCAGTGCCTTAACATCTGGCATTTTAATGTGTCTTTGTCTTGCATTCTATGATATATTTTGCTGTCTGGTTTTATGCCAAGCATTGATTAATAAGCTTCATCAGAAAACTCACCAATTCAGCCCTGAAGAACAACTTCAGGTCTTTCCAGAAGAGCCAACCTGTGTCAGCAGGAAACAGAAGAGAAATGGTACACATCCATTGAAAACTAATGTCCCCTGACTTGAAAGAGCACTTATGCTGATGACACCCTCACTTCATCGTGAACAGAGGATTGGCCTGTGCTACCAGCTAGAGGAGGAAAACAAATGATTGGAATAGGAAAGATGACATTGACAGTACTCTCTCTGCAAGGCATTTTGCTTTTTGATAAAATGACAAAAATGGCATTGATTTATGTTTTCGTTGTAAGCTGAGTCTCATAAATGAGCAAAGCTATGTAGGATGCTAACAGGCCATCAATTTGGGAAGAAGGGTCAACAAAGTGAGATCTTCTTGCCCAGAACTTTCTTAGTTTCTCTCTAGCTGCCCCTCCATTTGTCCTAAAAGCAGATGGATGTGAACTCTAAGCCTGCAGTTCCCAAAGGATCTGAAAGGCAATTCCCATAGGATCTGTGTTCTGATGGAGTAAGCTCTTCACCTTTCAAAATCTGAGATCTGGGAGAGTTGGGGGAAGATATGAGGATGTGGCAGTAAAGTGAACCAACAAGGAAACTTTGGCAGAGAGCAGCTAGCAGCTCGGCACACTCAACTCTCTTTACTGTAGACCCAGGGCTAGACTACATTTCCTAACCTCCACTGGGGTTAGGCTGCATTGACTCAGTTCTGGCCAGTGGAAGTGAACAGAAGTGATGTGCACCACTTCCAGGCATGGTGCATAAAATCCTAGCACACAACCCTCCTTTCTCTTTCTTCTCTTACTGGCCAGCTGGATGTCAATATGGATATCTTAGAAACCAAGAGTTAAATATGTCAGAATCCGTTTAGTAGAGATCTTTGCATGACTAAATGGAGCAGAAGCCCATCCTCACACCTGTCACCAATTGGAATTCATGTGGGCCCAAAATAAGCTTCTGTTGTATAAAGCCATTGAGCATCAGGGGTCTTTCTGTTACAACAGCTACCATAAACTTATCTAAAATAATAGCCTAGAATTTCAAAACAGCAAGTAGGGAAAACAGTTATAAGAAAGGAGAACGTCTGGTTACTCAAGCATGAGAAATCCATTTCCATGTATTGCTTTGATTGTGTATGCCAACTGAAAATGATAAAAGTCAAAGATTCCTATCTACTGTAATATAAATTCAAGATGAAATGAAGCTACCTTGATCCATTTTAAAATGTCTATAGAAAATTGAATTTGCACTTATAGCTCTTTTAGAACATATTTTATGTCATTTTCTATGATTAATGTGTTAGAGGATTTTAGTGTTGTCACTTTAAGGCTGTTAAAATGTTTCTTTTGATAAATTAGGAAGATGCATCAGAAATTATTTCTTTGAACCTAAGTATGGATAGAACATTGTAACATTCAATCCTTATAGTTTCTCTTGGCAATAATAATTGAGCTACAGTCCTGAAAATTAAATTTAATAGGATTATTATCTTTTACTAATATTTTAATACAAAATTATAAACAAATACAGATTAATGCTCTGGAGAGACAGAGACTTTGTTTACTGTTTTCTGATTATTTTAGTACTCTACTAGAACCAAGTTACTACGAATAGGAAAGTTATCGAGAAAATTTTGAAAAATAGATGCCTCTTGCAAGATTCAGCATTTTTTTCATGCGCATCCTTTGAATACAGACAATGATACAAACATCTCCATCCAGGTCCTACTTTATCTAGTGTGGTATTTAATGTTTAATTGTTTTTTTTTCTATTTCTATGTCTTTTTGGGATTTTCCATATTTGAAGATTATGAGTAATAATAGGACTCTTGACTTAGAGTTATATCTATAGTTTCCATTAATACCAAAAATTAAAATTTCCTCATTATCATTCATCTGCATCCTCATTTATATACAATTTAAAACCTTGAAAAATGTTCTTCTTTCCTTTATTTAATTCATTTAAATTTTAAAATGCAATTTACTTATTTCCCATGTAGATTTTCAAACCAGGAAGAAATATAACTAGCTTTCTGCTCTGTCTTACATTTGTCCTCAATTATAAATTGGGAAATTGACATTTTGCTTTAAATATTAGATTTTCCTTATTTAAGTACCTGTGAGCCTATTCCTAAGAGAGTGACCATCGGGCCCACTGACTGAATCTATTTTTTTAATCTGCAGTGGCGCCAGACCAGGATTTTGGTGACATTCCAAGGCACTGCCACCCTGTGAGATTCTGCCTGGCTGAAATCTCTAACTCTTGCTTTCAATCTGCAATGTACGTTTATGTCACTTACAGAGATCATCAGTGCAACTCTGACCTAAGTTTGTCAGGAGGTTTCCAGTCCATTGTACCTGAGCCCCCATAGAGCTACATGTGTTTTTACATTTCTCTTTTTTCTCCTTTTGCTAGAAGAAGTATATCATAGAATTAAATGAAAGGGTAATCTTAGACTGGAATGTCCTCTACAGCCCCGCTCAAATAGTAAAATTTGCATTTGTTTTCAAATCCATTGTTTTCTACTGTATGCGTTACTTTGGAGGGCTTCTTCTGCGGTACCAAACTCAGGGAGCTTCACGAAGCTTCCTGGGAGATTCACAAGGAAGATTCATGAAGGAATAATCAAACTCTTTTCTGATGAACTGGAGAGTGTGGCTTTTCCTCTCCGTTATTATCCTGGAAGCATCTAAATACTCTCCACATCTCTTCTTTTGCAGCTTTTTCTCAGTGCATATTGGTAATAACTAAATATTTTCTATAAAGATTAATCCACATAAGTACTTCTGAGTAATGTCTTTCCCAAAATAAAACAGGACTTTCATAATTGATCTAAATGACAAAGCAATCAAAATGGGGAAATGATTTATTTTCTTTTAAGTTCTAGGGTACTTGTGCAGGATGTGCAGGTTTGTTGCATAGGTAAACGTGTGCCATGGTAGTTTGCTGCACCTATCAACCTACCATCTAAGTATTAAACCCAGCATGCATTACCTATTTTTCCTGATGCTCTCCCCCCTGCCCCCCGACCCCTGACACGCCCTGGTGTGTGATGTTCCCCTCCCTGTGTCCATGTGTTCTCATTGTTCAGCTCCCACTTATGAGTGAGAACATGTAGTGTTTGGTTTTATGTTCCTGTGTTTGTTTGCTGGGGATAATGGCTTCCAGTTCCGTCCATGTCCCTGCAAAGGACATGACCTCATTCAAAAGGATGTTTTTTCTTTGATGCTTTTTATTAACTTTGAGATAATTGTTTATATAGGCAATTAAACAAATTAGAATTTTAGTAGTATTAATAATATAGTACAATATAATTAGGAATCACATCACCTGATAATTAAGCCCAATT
Organism: Homo sapiens; assembly: GCF_000001405.40. Taxonomy (NCBI): domain Eukaryota; kingdom Metazoa; phylum Chordata; class Mammalia; order Primates; family Hominidae; genus Homo; species Homo sapiens. The sequence goes on along the minus strand of NC_000016.10, from coordinate 71,033,312 downwards.
TCATATTTGGAGGGAAAAGAAAATGTGTGTGGTGCATTTGTCAGACATTCCAAGGGTTTCAACATCCTTTGCTCTTGTTCTTTAGATTCCCCTGAAGTAGTTTCACTCTGGCCTCCTTATGAATTCCATTTTTGTTGTTGAAATATTGGTCTCACTAATGTCATTGCTGTCAGCTCCTCGGGGTGTTTATGTATTTCCCACAACACCTGGACCTCAGAGCCGTTGAATATGTATTTGTTATATTTACTTGAAAAGTCCAAAAACAATTTGCTCATTAAATTTGTAGAAGACTTGGAGGGGCTAGGAGGAGTGGTCCCTAATTATTAGTTGTAGTAGCTAGTAAGTTGAATGTCATAGTCAGAATTATAAAAGTTGTCAAAAGATGAAAACCTTATAAAAATCAAAAATACCAACACCTGAATTCAAAAATACAGAAATCAAAATTAAGGAGAGAATAGATGTGTTTAATAGCATATTACACATAGCTGAAGAGAGAGCTAGTGAATTGGAAGAGAGCTCAAAAGAAAGCATCAAAAATGAAGCACAGAAAACAACAAACAGAAAATGCAGATGAGGCTCAGAAACAGAGACAGGTTGAGAAATACAAATACTACTGTGTTATAGTTGCCTACAGTATTCAGTACAGAAACATGCTGCACGGGTTTTCAGCCTAGGAGCAACAGGTTATACCGTATAGCCTAGGTGTGTAGTAGACTCCACTGTCTCGCTCTACAATGTTTGCACAGCAACGAAATCACCTAATGACACATTTCTTAGAATGTTTCCCTGTCATTAAGTAACACATGTCTGTATTTCAGAATAAGTTTGCAATTTTAGCTAATGAAATTCTGATGAGGCTAATTATTAATTATTATAAATTAGTAGAAATCCAGATGACTTCTTATATTATATTAATGAAATTGGTTCATCCTCACTATAACACTAGAAATTTTGCATTTGAAAAACGTTTCTTTTAAAAATTTCAAACTCCAAAAAAAAAAAAAACAAAAAGGAAAAATAAATAAGAATAAAAAATAAAAATTTCAAACTCCATAAAGAGTATTGTGCCTTCTGTTGGTATCTCAGAATCTGGAGATTATAGTAGATAATAATTATAAGCTTGTTTGAGAATTGGACGGTTATCTTGCGAAAGAGATGTAAAGAATCTTCACAGAGAATTCAAAAGTAAAATCGTAGGTTTGCTCTTCAGAATCAGATTGCTTTTTGAAAAAAAGGAAAACCAACAAACATCCAGCTGCTTTAATTCAAAAAATAATGTTTGTCTCTGATGTTGAATTCCACAATGCCACCCATTTGAAGTGTAGAGGGCTTTGACATCTATAGAACAAAAAGCCAAGAATATCTTCCCTGTTAACTTGTACTCTTGTGTTGCAGGCACACAAAAAATCCCTTTGGACGATTGAACCCAATGAAGGCATGGTTCCTCCAGAAACTGATGTTCAACTGGCACTGACCGCCAACCTGAATGACACACTGACATTCAAGGACTGTGTTATTTTGGACATTGAAAATAGCAGTACCTATCGGATTCCTGTTCAGGCTTCCGGAACTGGTTCCACTATTGTTTCAGATAAGCCCTTTGCTCCAGAACTCAATTTGGGGGCACATTTTAGGTAAGGAAATCTCATGGACCAGTTTTTATAGATATCACATATGTTACATATGCTGAGCATCACCTCTACTTTAGAAAATTATTTTAAGTAATTAAAACTAGCCACCTCAGTCCCTCTCCTTTCCCATCCTCACTCTTCCACCTCCTGATGTGTATGTCAGCAACAAGAAGACATTTTCTAGCCATAACTTGGTTGCATTCTCTAATCCGTGTCCCTCTACATCCGAGAAGAATATGGTTTGTAGGAAATGCATTCTTTTCTCAAACTGGCTACTCTGTGATTAATTTAGACTCTCAACCGTAATTTCTCCTCTTTGATTCCAATACACTGTTAATCCCTCTCCACAAATGTAGAAAATACAGATACAGCTTAGTGGTAACCTAAGCAGAACATACCTAGGAAGGTAAAAATTTATTGCAAGTGTATTTTATCAGCTATTGCAGAGCCAGCAGCTTTTTTTTTTTTTTTTTTTTTTTTTTGAGATGGAGTCTTGCTCTGTGGCCTAGGCTGGAGTGCAGTGGCGCGATCTCTGCTCACTGCAAGCTCCGCCTCCCGGGTTCACGCCATTCTCCTGCCTCAGCCTCCCAAGTAGCTGGGACTACAGGTGCCCACCACCACGCCTGGCTAATTTTTTGTATTTTTAGTAGAGACGGGGTTTCACCGTGTTAGCCAGGATGGTCTCGATCTCCTGACCTCATGATCCACCTGCCTCGGCCTCCCAAAGTGCTGGGATTACAGGCATGAGCCACCGTGCCCGGTCACTAGCAGCTTTTGCAAAGCTTATGTCCTCTACTTGACTCCCATAGTACCGACAACTGAGATGGTTTCCATTGGCTTTGCCTGATTACCCAGGAAAAGCTAGAGGGTCTAAATATTTAAATAAGCTGTGGTACAGTATAGACACCTCTGAGCAGAACAATCTAAATGTGGACATAAAAATCAGGTTTGGACCAGGCACAGTAGCCCACGCCTATAATCCTAGCAGTTTGGGAGGCCAAGGCAGGAGGATCACTTGAGTTCAGGAATTCAAGACCAGCCTGGACAACATGGTAAAACCCCATCTCTACAAAAGTACAAAAAATTCTGGGCATGGTGGCAGGTGCGTGTAGTCCCAGCTACTCAGGAGGCTGAGGTGGGAGAATCACTTGAGCCCAAGAGGCAGAGGTTGCAGTGAGCCAAGGTCGTACCACTGCACTCCAGCCTGGGTGACAGAGTGAGACCCTGTCTTAAAAAAAAAAAAAAAGAAAGAAAAGAAGAACAACACACACATATACATATACACACACACATATATATGTATACACACACATATATAAGGTTTGGGCTGGGAGCAGTGGTTTATGCCTATGATCCCAGCACTTTACTTTGGGAGGCTGAGGTGGGAGGATTGCTTGAGCCCAGGAATTGGAGACCAGCCTGGGCAACATAGGGAGACCCCCCTATCTCTACGAAATAAAAAAATTAGCCTCGCATGATGTCACATGCCTGTTGTCCTACCTACTTGGGAGGCTGAGGTGAGAGGATTGCTTGTACCCGGGAGGTTGAGGCTACAGTGAACCAGGATCACACCACTGCAACTCCACCATGGGCAACAGAGCAAGACTTCATCTCAAATTAAATAAATAAATATATATATGAGGTTTGAGTGCTAAGTGTAGAGGGTATGTGTGGGGATTCTTGATTCCTCAGGAGAGTCATGTCGCCATCACTAGTTGGCTCTTGGGGGCCAGTTGAATTTGAACTTATCTGTTGCAGTACTGTGAACAGATCTCAGAAGGTATTCCCCCTGCCTTCTGGGCTCACAGGCCCTGAAATCAAGTCATATATGCTGTGCTTGGAGATGTGACTGACATTAATCAATTAGGAGCCCTCCCCAGAATCCTTCCCTCTGCTCCATCTACAAAATATGGGACTTGATTGAAAATACCATAAACTAGTAGAAAATTAAGTAAAAAGCAAGTCACATGGTTGAATTGCATGCTTTTAGACAAGTATCCAATTATATTTTTCAAGTCGACTAAATATAAGAATTGTCCTCTCTGCCTGTCTATTGGCCGTAAGCGAGGGTAGTTTGTCATTGCATACCAGTGCTTCTAGTTTCAAATTTCTTTTCGTGCACTCAAATATAATTGTAGAAAACAATATGTGGCAAACCAGACCTAATTACATGTTCTTTTAAATCTACAAATAGTGTCAAGTAGCCTTCAAAGGATATTCTGACATATGGAATTGGAGGGTTAGCTAACAGTTTTCTATGAATATAAAAGCAAACTGTAGCTTTAGTTGCTAATTTGCCCTCTGCCTAAACTTTTTGACATAAAATCACTATGCCTGCAGTCTCCAGAAGAATTGTCAAAAGCAGGGCTGGGTAAACTACAACCCTCTGCCTGCTTTTGTAAATAAAGTTTTATTGGAACACAGCCATGCCCATTTCTTAACATATTGTCTATGGCTGCTTTCACACTACAAGGGAAAGTTGAGTAGCTGTTACAGAGACCGTGTGGCCCAAAAAGCCTAAAATATTTGTTGTTTAGCCCTTTAAAGAAAAAGTTTGCCAACATCTGCTCTAAAGAAATAGCCATACGCTGCCGCTTCTAATTGCATATTTTTAGACAACTCCCTTAGGTTTTCAGAGCTTCCATTTCTTGATCTATAAAATGGTAGTAAATATACTTATCATGACTGGATTGCTGTGATGATTGAAAGATATACTGTGAATAAGTAACAGACATCCTGCCTAGTCTTTATAAACAGTATGTGTTTTTTATAAACAGTATATGGTTTTTATAAACAGTATATGTTGTTTATTATTTCCCCCAAAAGCCTACTGTTAGCCATAAACTACCAAGTAAAGAAGCTCCCTTGAGCGTGCCCCGTGGACACAGATTCACAACATATGTAGCTAGAAATGGTTATACCTAACAACTAGCAAATATTCCTTCTGATTGTTTATTTCATGGTTCAACTTACCAGGCATGATGTCATTTCCTAAGGAGGAACAGATGGGATGAAATCTCAAAGCCTAGTAAAATTTAAAAAATAAAAAACAGTCCCGAGATGAGTTTTTCCCTAAGAAAATATTTTAAAGTAAGCCTGTGGGGAAAAAAAAAAATCCCAAACAAACAAAAACACATTTGAACCATATCCGAGATCTTAGAAATCCCAGTTTTTTTTTTAGCAAATAGCCAGGCAGTCGGAACGTTCTTAGTAAATATTTGTGGAATATATGAATGCATGATGAACAAATGAATACATGAAATTGCAACATCTTTAAAGCACATTAGTCTGAGATGGGTGACCAATCCCGGTGGTGTTCTGGCCCATTGCAGTCCCCCTGGCCTCTGTTAAAGCTTAGAGAATATGCATGGTTTTTCTTCAAAGCTTCCTTCAAATTGAGCCCATTGTTATGGGACATTCCACTCAGTCACTAGTAATTTTCTCAGCACAGCTTGAAACTCGCTTCTCCTTCAGTAGGTATTTTGCTTTCCTTTCACTCCTCAGAGCTATTTTTCTAAATGGGATTGCTTTTCACATGAACTGTGTGTGTCCTGCAGTGTGTGGGGCCTGCTGGGGAAGACTTACGGGGAGTGGAGATTTTCCACAGCCCCTTACCTGGTGATGCCAACGCTGTGTTAGTTCCTAGTGGCATCGTGACTTAGTCTTCCTACATTTAAAAAAAAAAAAAAGTCTTATATTGTTGCTCACCATTTTAAATACTTCCAGAAGAGTAAATCCCAAGGGTGTAGAGCTGAACAGAACATCCCTAAATGGAATCCTCTCAACACCTGCCTCGTCTTTTCCAGCCTGGATACCCACTATTACCACTTTAAGTTGATCAACAAGGGACGTCGGATCCAACAGTTGTTCTGGATGAATGATAGCTTCCGACCCCAGGCCAAGCTGAGTAAGAAGGGCCGGGTTAAGAAGGGACATGCTCATGTCCAACCCCAGCCCAGTGGCTCTCAGGAGCCCAGGGATCCACAGAGCCCCGTGTTTCATCTCCACCCCGCCAGCATGGAGCTGTACCCAGGCCAGGCAATTGATGTGATACTCGAAGGCTATTCTGCTACTCCCAGGGTAAGGGGATAGCACATTTGGAAGCTATTGTTTTTTCCTAAATAAATCTCTACTGTATCTATTTCTTAGGAAAGTCCCTTGACATTTATCTGAGGAAGGATATGGTTTCTCAAGGATTGTGTACAATCCTGAGTTACCATAGTAGCATCCGTTGCTTTCGGGGTGCAGCTCTGCTCAGTCTTCAATTTGTTTCTGTAGCTACTGTGAACCCAATCTTAAAGGAGGTTCTCATGCCCAGGGTCCACAGTGACCAGCCAGCAAGTCTCTGGTAGAAAAACACCCAGTTTTTAGCCAAAGCAAATTCTCCTATTAACACTTAGCAGGATGAATTTAATATTCATTCAAAAAGGGTGTTTATATCGACACTCTGGGCTGCCTCTCCTATTCAGGTATTGGGACATCCCTGTTCCTTTCTTTCCAGCCTGACTGCAACTCACATTTCAAAACATCTTCTTTTTATGCATTAATAAAAGAGCCACATTTATCTTCAGCAACTCTGATTCCCTGCTTTTATTTACATGATCTCCATACACTCTACGTAAAACATTTCAGTAGATCCAAATCATGAGTGTTTCTTTATCCCTATTCTCTCACAGAGTGTGGAAACCATTAAAAACCTAAAGGAAAGGCTTTCAAAGTCACTTAAGAGTCTCTCCCTCCCGACAAAATGCAGACCTTGTAGATGAGAAATGATGCTTGCTTAAGATCCTGCTTGTGTTGCCAAATTTGGAGGTGATACTGACTTTTCCCCACATTAAATAGGAAGCAAAAAGAACTTTGTCTCCCAGTAGACACAGCTGGAAAGCTAGTCCCTTGCTTAGCTTCTCTAAGGTCACAGATTCTACTTTATTTCATTAGATTATTTCTTCATAGAGCATTTTCAGGTAAAACGCATCCTCAGTTCAACAAAAGGGGAGGTTATCTCTCATTGTGGAAAAGATAATGTGTTCCTTCTCTCTGTTATTCAGGTGATCAGCCAACTTTTATTGTGTGTATACCATGTGACAAATACTGTGCTAGGCACTGAGGATGTAAAGATGAATAGAACACAGGCCCTTATCTCAAGACACTGACAGCTGTTGGAAGAGCATATTTATAATGTGGTTATCAAGAGTTGTCCATATTTTTGAAGGCATTAATTCTGAGCTGCTGGGGGACTAAACTCAGCTTAAGCTTTACTAAAAGCATCCCCGAATGTTCTTCTAAATCATGCTACATAATTGAGAAGAGACTGGAATGCATTAACATCCCTAACCTGAGCACTCTTCTATATAACCTATTCATGCTGTAAATTCACTTTTGATCCTTTCTGCTTTATAAAAATCTAGGCTTTTTGAGTCCAAAGAAATATTAATTCCTAATGCATGATTTTTAAATGTTTAAGTATAAAAGGCAAAAATTTGGCCGGGCACGGTGGCTCACGCCTGTAATCCCAGCACTTTGGGAGGCCGAGGTGGGTGGGTCACCTGTGGTCGGGAGTTCGAGACCAGCCTGACCAACATGGAGAAACCCCGTGTCTACTAAAAATACAAAATTAGCCAGGCGTGGTGGCACATGCCTGTAATCGCAGCTACTTGGGAGGCTGAGGCAGGAGAATCGCTTGAACCGGGGAGGCAGAGGTTGCAGTGAGCTGAGATTGCACCATTGCACTCCAGCCTGGGCGACAAGAGCAAACTCCATCTGAAAAAAAAAAGGAAGAAAAAGACAAAAACTTTCCAACTACAGTTTTCAATAGTTTATTAAGAAATCATATAACCACCTTTGAACTATAAGCCCCATGAAAGATTTTATCTGTCTTGTTCATCAATGTTTTTACTCCCAGAACTGAATGTAAATCAACTGCCTCAGGGCAGTCAGAAATAAATACAGAATCCATCAAGGCCATGTGTAACTAACAAAAACATAATCATGTGACAAAGAGCAGTCCCTGAAACGTGCTGTTCAGAAAAGTGTGCTCTTCCTTGTGTCCCCAGGCAGGTAGTCGGAAATCCATTTTCTCTCAGTGGGTAAATAAGTATTCTGAGTAAGTATTAAGTTATAGTTGTTCCCCAAATGCTGGCTTATCTCACTGGCAGATAGTGAAAGAGAAGCTGGTGTGCCACGCCATCATCGGGGCACAGAAGGGGAAGAGCTTGGTGATGGCTGTGAACATCACCTGTGAGTTCGTCGCACCTCTCATCCAGCTCTCCACCAAGCAGCTCATCTACCGACTGGAGAAGGTCAGTGAGGTGTGCTGGCGAGGGCTGGGTGCTTCGACTAGGGTCAGCATGTTTACATTTTCATTTTGAAAGCTGAATTAATGGGCATCCTTTTCCACCCATTACTCAGCCCATGTTTTTTAAGCTTCAGAGGCCAGTACACATTCAACTAAAAATTCTGAATCTAAACCTACAATCCTTTGACATGTAAGTTGCTGTGGAAATTCTATTTCCATCATTCCTGATGTCTAAGACCTAAGGAAGTGGTATTCCAGTGCACTGAATATGCATTTTAGTCAATCATCTTACTTTAATCAGGTAAAATAAACCCAAGGCAGAGGAAGGATTGGAGTAGAATTATTGATAATTATAATTATCAGTAAGAGTATCTACCACTGATTGATTAGTACTTGCTAGACATGGAGCCATGTTCATTACATACATTTACCCAGTAGTCCCTCACAACAACCGTATGCAGCAGGTTCTGTTATCACACAAGGAAATGACGTGTGATGTGATGCACACGAGGAAACTGAGATACAGGTTAAGCTGGAGAATAATCAACTTAAAGTATTAGATTCACACTCTTTAACTTAAATGGCTCTACGTAAGGGTAGACAGTAAATGTCAGAGTCAGGGGACAAGGGAGAGAAGGTAGTGGCTGCTGCTCAGGGCGGGGGGTCAGGATAGTGAAGAGATGGGGTGGAGGAGATATCACAATAGGCTTGACCTGCCCCTAGATAGGCTTCCATCCAGAATTAATTACCATTCAAGACATGTAAGGAATGTCTGTTCTGAGTTGGGGATTGAGCTGGTACTGGAAATCTAGTGAACCAGACAAACATAACCAAAGCTAAGCTGGCTGACTTTAAACAAATTATTAAAATTTAATTGTTGAAGTCACCATTATAAACATTGCTATTAAGAAGAGGTGCAAGGTGCTGGGAGGGCATGTATTAGGAGACATGATCTTGTTCGTCCATGTGGTCATGAATGACTTTCTTGAGCAAGTGCCTCAAGTTGAGACTACAAGTAAAAATAGAATCTAGTCTGGTGACAAGGGAGGGGGAGAGAATTGTAGGCAGAGGGACTAGCTCACATGAAGGGCTCGAGTTAGGAAAGGCCACCTTGGACAGAGAATGTGCCAAGGATGGCAAAAGTCCATCTGGAGACGTGCAGTCTGCCTGGAAGGCATTATCTGAACTTTGGGTTTTGTTCTGGGTGGCCATTGGAGGGCTTCCAGGAAGGGAGTGACATGGTCAGATTCACTGAAACCATCATGCTGGCCACTGAATGGAATGTTTATTAAGGTCTATCATGTGCTAGGCACAGTGTTGGGGGCTAGAGATACAACAGTGAGAACAGTCCTCCCTGATAAATTTCACAGCCTGCTGGGAAGACCAAGCATTAAGTAAGTCACTGCCCCACAGTGTGATCTTTGCTGTCACACAAAAACATTGGGTGTGGCAGTGCCTAACCAGTCATGAGGTATCAACTGGGGTTCCTTTCATTACCTGGAGGTTTGCAGAAGAATGTTCAAGACCATTTATTTTGGTAGTGGATTCCATCATATTTTGTTCATTAAAACAAATTAGTATCTGTTGATTATCACCATGGGAAAGATGTTCTGCTAGGAGATGAAAAAAAGAGCTTGTGGTCCAGTAGGAGAGGTGAGAGGTACAAGTTCAATTCAAATCAACAAGTAACTTTTGAGCAGGTGTATCGGTCACCTACAATATATAAGGCAGAAAAGACACAGCAAAGACCATGGTTTATCAGTCTCAGGAAACTTACACAGGAACAGAAAACCAAACACTGCGTGTTCTCACTCATAAGTGAGAGTTGAACAGTGAGAATACGTGGACACAGGGAGGGGAACATCACACACTGGGGCCTGTCGTGGGGTCAGGGGCAAGAGGAGGGAGAGCATTAGGACAAATACCTAATGCATGTGGGGCTTAAAACCTAGATGATGGGTTGATAGGTGCAGCAAACCACCATGGCACATGTACACCCATATAACAAACCTGCACGTTCTGCACATGTATCCCAGGACTTAAAATAAAATAAAATAAAATATCCATGGCTTGGCTTAATAGATGAGTGGGGAAGGTGGACATTGTTAGTTTAGCTTCCCGTCACTGAAACCCAAGCTAAACCCGAAGCCAACAAGCTCCATGAGACATGTAAAAGGAAAATACGACAAGAGTTCCTGCTACAGTTATTAAGCTTTATTGCTCTATTTTAAATTCTTCATTTTTAAGTAATCAGGAAAGATATTTATTGGCAACAGCTGCACTGAAGTTGGTGGCATTGTATTTTCCCTGAATGCCATTACTGGGAGAAAACTCAGTGAATATTTATTGAATAGCTATTCTGGGCAAGACGTAATATATGTTAAATATGCAGCCTAGTTTCTTATTAGATTTCTCTAAGCCCATAAACACTAATAAAAATGTGTGGGTAGTGCTCTTTTTCTTCTCTTTATATCCTTATGCCTTTTGGGGGGGCATGTTTTTATTTAAATGTCTACTGTTTGAATTTATTACTAGATTAAAATATGTACATATTTGGAATATGGCGGTAACTTCTTATTCAATCAAAAAGTGAATTGAGCTACAGTTCCCTGCTTACTTTTTTCCACCCTTCTCTCCTTCCCCACAAAGATGAGAAGTTTGAAATCTGTCCTATTACTGTATTTTTCATTTTCATTTCCTGCTCACATTTAATCCACATCAGGGACAATGAAGAAATGCAACTTCATTACCCAGCATATGCAAGAGACTTGTTAGGTCTCAGTATTCAGATTTAATTGTATAACATCCAATTATCTGTTCTGTCTCCCTGATTTCAGCTCAAGGGCAGTGGATCTGATTTGGTACATTAGAATATAATGGTAACAACCCTGTCTATAGGAAGAATTTTTCTATAGCTGTTTCCTCAGATTTGGTCTACTTTATAACTATCGTACCATTCATAAGCCACGGAGATGAAACCACATCTCTGTGGGATTGAAAAGGTCAATTGAAACTAGCAGCCACTTTTCTTCATGAAGTTCCAGCAGCACATTCTGTCTGCTGATATTTGGAGAGACGAACAACTCAAAGAGAAGGGGTCATTTTAAAATAGAATGGCCTCTCTGTGCTTGACTCCTTCTCATCAGTAGCCTCTAAATGGCCTCTTGCCAAAACCAACCAAGTGTGGCTTCTGTACTTCAAAGCCATCTGCAGTGACACAGCAGCCTTCAGGGAAGGTCACTGGGTGGACAGTTCTCCATGCAGCCTTAGTAGGGCCCAGAGTACTGCTTCATCCCTCCCTAAACCATAGTATACAACCCGCAGAGGCAAGGTGAGTCCGCTTCCATGCTACCCCATATTAGAGGGAGGGAAACAAAGGCTGGTATCTCATGGTAAACTCCAGACCTAATCCCTAAAGTCACCCTGGGAGTGCACAGGGAGACTCATAGAGTACAACCAAGGCATGAGGCTCGAGCCAAGGGACACTGGTCACCTGAGCTCACCCAGGAACCACAGTGGAAGGAAGACTGTGCTAGGCATAGAACTGGAAGACAGAGTCATATCAAAGTATGAAATTAGGAGGGCTTAACTGATATTGGCACAAAGAGAAAAGGCAAATGAAAACAAGGAGGCCTAGGAAAGACAGACTAGAGTTGTCAGAAGACCCAGGGGATGATTGGAGGGAGGTTCTTTTTGGAGGCCAAAGATTGAGGCTCCTGGTCACCCCCTGATGATACTAAAGAACCCTCTTTCTAGGGAATACAAGAAATAATGTGGGCCCCAACATCAGAATGAGAAAAATCCAGTCTGGCCAGAAACTCTCAACTCGAGATTCATTTCTGATGCCTTCTCTAGTTGAAAAATTAAATCTGGGCCGGGTGCGGTGGCTCACACCTGTAATCCCAGCACTTTGGGAGGCTGAGGCGGGTGGATCATGAGGTCAAGATATCAAGACCATCGTGGCCAACATAGTGAAACCCCATCTCTACAAAAAATACAAAAATTAGCTGGGCATGGTGGCACGTGCCTGTAATCCCAGCTACTTGGGAGGCTGAGGCAAGAGAATCACTTGTACTCGAGAGGCAGAGGTTGCAGTGAGCTGAGATCACACCACTGCATTCCAGCCTGGGCAACAGAGCAAGACTCTGTCTCAAAAAAAAAAAAAAGAAAAATTAAATCTAATGTATCTAACAGAGTAAAAAGATACTTCTAAATCAACTATCCTGGTATTATCAGGAAAAGTTTACAGGAAATAGGTCTGATCATTTGTCAGTATAACAAGATATAGGCAAATCAGGTATTTTAAGCCTGGAAAAATATTATACAAGGGAAAAATGTTTTATTCATTATAATGATAGCTATATTTATGCATAAGATATAACTAACTTTTTAGACTTTGTCTTATGACACTGTGGAAGGCCCTATAATAATAGTTCTATCCAGAAGCATGGCTTCTGTAGGTTTTCTCAATTAGGCACCAAGGGGGTAAAAAAATCTAATCTGTGTTGTCTGGGTTATGTAGGTCCACTTTTCAGTAGTCCACTATACATCACATGATTTATCTTTTTTTTTTTCCTTGAGACTGAGTCCTACTCTATCACCCAGGCTGGAGTACAGTGGTGTGATCTCGACTCAGTGCCACCTCTGCCTCCTGGGTTCAAGTGATCTTCATGCCTCAGCCTCCCAAGTAGCTGGGATTACAGGTGCCTGCCACCATGACTGGCTAATTTTTGTATTTTTAGTAGAGACGGGGTTTCACCATGTTGGCCAGGCTGGTCTCAAACTCCTGACCTCAAGTAATCCACTGGCCTTGGCCTCCCAAAGTGCTGGGATTACAGGCATGAGCCTCTGCACCCGGCCTCCACATGATTAATCTAAAGTTCTACAAGGGAGAAAAATGTATGTATACATCTACATATATATGCATATATATATATACACACACACACACACACAAAGAAAAAGAAAGATTGCTAAATTTGTTCTAAACAATGAACCTGAGACTTGTTGCTAAAAGCTTACTGTATTTACCATAAGTTGATTTGTTTCCTCTTTTTCTGTTTTTGCAGAAACCTAACAGTATCCTGAAACCTGATTACCAGCCCTTGGCCATAAAGAACATTTCCACCCTGCCCGTGAACTTGTTGCTGTCAACATCTGGACCCTTCTTTATATGTGAGACTGATAAATCCCTGCTGCCGGCAACTCCTGAGGTACCTTAATAGGGGTCTGTTCTGGCAAGCTGTCTGGGGTGGGGCGGGGTGTGATAAAGGAAGAGAAGAGTAATGATACACCACCCAACTTCAGCTCAGAAAGATGTAAAGGATCCAGGAAGCAAACAGGGAAGACTACAGAAAATTTAAAATGAGTGGTAAATCAGATGGAGAAACTGAGGCCCAGTATTTTGCCCAAGGTCTCACAGCTAGTAAGTGGCAGAACCAGGATTTGGACCTAACTACTCTGGCTCCAGAGCCTTTAATCTTAGGAATTAATATCCCTTGTATACGAAACATTTCTTCAAGTCTTTTTTGAGAAAAAATTCAAATATGGTGTTTTTTAGAAAATAATGTAGTCTAATTCCATTTTTGTAAAATCCTATTATTCCTCTCTCACGTCTGGACTAACATCTACCAAATGATAACTCTGAGAAATAATGTATTGTGAAATTTGGGATAAATTTCTCGTTTCTTCTTTGTGCTTTTATATATAATGTAAATTTTTGTATCATTTCTACAAAACAATAATGTCATTTTCCTGGAAAAAAAAAAAAGTTAAGTCAATCTTCAAAACATTTAATCACCAAGCATGGCGATACCGAGTGCTACAGATGCCATGATCTACAAGGGTGGGTCCTAACTTATGCCCAGCCCCTTGTGCCAGTGGTAAGATTAAAGGCCCAGTGGCTGGCCTGGCTTTCAGCTGGGATTAGGCCAATGCTGAAGAGTCATTACTCTCTCTCTGACTGTTGAATCAGGTGAGTGGCTTTATCAACCGAAACCATCTAATCATGTCATTAAATGCACAGTTAAATACCAGAATCGTTTAAGCCCAGTGGAAAGATGAGGTGCACTGAAAACAGATTCATTCCTGTGTCCATTCTTCCCAACTGCCTTAGGGCACTTGCTGCAAAACCACGAGGTGGCTTTCATGCCCATTAAATGTGGGAATTGAGCAATGCCTAAAAAAGCCAACTCATAGCCAGCCTTTCTACGGGAAGGTGTTACTGCAGACACTGGCATCAAGGAACACATAGGGATTGGAATCAAAGACAGAAAAGAACAAATAAAATGTACTGAACAAATGCTGTTCAGCTCTGGACTGTCATTTTAAGTTGAATAGAAAACAGCAGAAAGTGGATGACACTGTGCTTAAAAGTTAGGATTGCTGACATTAGAAAAGAAATTAAATTACCTAATCTGTCCCTTTCTGGGTCACTCTCTACAGAGCCCCCCACCCCCAACCCCACCCCCCAGTGCTTTAGAAAACCCTTTTAAAAATTTCTTAAGCAAAGAATTTTTCCCACTTGCCTAAGGGCATTTCACAACGAAATTTATTTTTAGTTAAGAATATTTTATAATAGTTATTCATTGTAGACTTTTCCTTTACAACTCCTCAATTCTTATAACCCCACACAACACTTATCAAAATCTCTTCCTTTAAATAATTCCAGATTTTCCTTGCTTTCATTTTCAACTAATAAAATGTGTATCCATATACATAAGTGTCTATACTTAGATGTACTAGCTGTTTACATATGAATGTGTATGTGTATGTTTTTCATACTAATATGTGTGTTTATATGTGTATGCACAAATATGCGTGTATCTGTGTGTGCATAAATACATGTAATGTGTATGTGTAAATACCTGGCTGTCCTGTTTCATGTACCAGGGTGGAAATGCATAGTACAAAAGTTAGTAATTTCCCCATTATCTTGTTTGTAGCCTATTAAACTGGAAATTGATGAAGAAAAAAACCTGCTGATCAAGTTTGACCCTTCCTACAGAAACGATCTGAACAACTGGGTGGCAGAAGAAATTCTAGCAATTAAGTATGTGGAACACCCTCAGATAGACAGCCTGGACCTGCGCGGAGAAGTGCATTACCCCAACCTCAGCTTTGAGACAAAGGAGCTGGATTTTGGCTGCATCCTGAACGATACTGAGCTCATTCGCTACGTTACCATCACCAACTGCAGTCCGTTGGTTGTGAAGTTTCGCTGGTTCTTCTTGGTGAATGATGAGGAAAATCAGATAAGGTACCCCCAGCACAGAACTCTCACAGAACTCTGCTTTTCATTTGTTTTCTCTTTCAGGCTTTTCATGGGGTTTTCTGTATTCCATGTACTGGCCATTCATGAATATTTTCCATTTTGACCACTAATTATTGACAGAATTAACAAGGAGCTTAAAATCACGATCCATCCTCGATTTCCTAACAGGAAACATAGATAAAACATCTTTGAAAGTCCCAATCACCACCGAATTAACAAAGCAATATCCATAAGCCCACTTTAATTTTGAGTCTAGTGATAAGACCATTAGAAATTCATCACTAAAAAATAAAGTCTTTGTAGAATTGTTTAAATTATTATTTTATTGTGGTAATATATATACAACTTAACAAATTTTTAAGTGTACAATACAGTATTATTGACTATAAGTAAACCAGATTTCTAGAACTTATCTTGCTGCACTGAAACTTTATGCCTGTTGCCCATTCTCCTTTCTCCCCAGCCCCCGCAACCACCATTCTACTCTTTGATTTTATTAATTTAACTATTTTAACTACCTCATATAAGTGGAATCATGCAGTATATTAGTCTTTTTCACACTGTTATAAAGAACTGCCTGAGAATGAGTAATTTATGAAGAAAAAAGTTTTAATTGACTCACAGTTCTACATAGCTGGGGAGGCCTCAGGAAATTTACAATCATGGCAGAAAGTGAAGGGGAAGCAAGGCATATCTTTCATGATAGCAGGAGAGACAGCAAGTGAGAGGGGAACTGCCAAACACTTTTTTTTTTTTTTTTTTTGAGACAGAGTTTCGCTCTTGTCGCCCAGGCTGGAGTGCAGTGGCGCTATCTGGGCTCACTGCAACCTCTGCCTCCCAGGTTCAAGCGATTCCCCTGCCTCAGCCTCCCAAGTAGCTGGGATTACAGGTGCCTGCCACCACGCCTGGCAATTTTTTTTTTTTTTTTGTATTTTTAGTAGAGATGCGGTTTCACCATGTTGGCCAGGCTGGTCTCGAACTCTTGACCTCAGGTAATCCGCCCGCCTCGGCCTGCCAAGGTGCTGGGATTACAGGTGTGGGCCACCGTACCCAGCCCTGCCAAACACTTTTAAACCATCAGATCTCATGAGAACTCACTCACAATCACGAGAACAGCATGGGGGAAACCACCTGCGTGATCCAATCACCTCTCATCAGGTCCCTCCCTCAGCATGTGGGGAACACATTTTGAGATGAGATTTGGATGAGGACAGAGAGCCAAACCACGTCATGCAGTATCTTCCCGTGACTGGCTTATTTCATTGAGCATAATGTCCTCAAGGTTCATCCATGTCATTACATATTGCAGAATTTCCTTCTTTTTTAAGTTTGAACAAAATTCTAGCCCCTTGTATGTATATAACAAATTTTCTTTATCCATCCACCTGTTGATGGACATTTAGCTTTTTTCTACATCTTGGCTATTGTGAATATTGCTGCAATGAACATGAGAGTGCTAATATCACTTTGAGATTCTGATTTCAATTCTTGGATAAATACCCAGAAGTGGGATTGCAGAATCACATGGTAGCTTTATTTTTAGTTTTTTAAGGAACTTCCATACTGTTTTTCACAGTGGCTGCACCATTTTGCATTCCCAGTAACAGTGCACCAGGGTTTCAGTTTCTCCGCATCCTCACCAACACTTGTTTATTGTTTCTTTAGTAACAGCCGTCCTAACAGGTATGAGGTGATATCTCATTGGGGTTTTTATTGAATTTCCCTGATATTTAATGACGTTGAGCATCTTTTCTATACCTGTTGTCATTTGTAGATCTTCTCTGGAGAAATGTCTATTTAAGTCCTTAGCCCATTTTTAAATTAGGTATTAGTGGTTTTTTGCTATTGAGTTGGAGTTCTTATGTATTTTGGAGATTAACCCCTTATCAGATATATGGTTTGCAAATATTTTCTCCCTTTCCATAGGTTGAATTTTCACTCTATTCTTTCCTTTGCTGCGCAGAAGCTTTTTAGTTTGGTGTGGTCATACTTGTTTACTTTTGGTTTTGTTGCTGCAGAATTTTCTTGAAAAACATTTCAAACTCAAAGCACAGACTGAGTAGGACCCTACATTGAGTATGTGTAGCACTGAGCTCCATGTTGCCTGTTTTACATATTTCAATGGGTTTCTGTTCTGGTTCATTTATGTATATGTATAGACATACACATAATTATAAAATAGTGGGAGGCAGCGATTGCTGCATTTTCTTCTTAGTTGGCAACCAGAACTAATGGGCTTTGTATATTTCCTTATTGGATGTTGTGACACTCAGTTGTTGGCATGTGAATATTGGACGGCCATTCTTAACTGAGGAAACCTCATGTTGTTTCCTTAGGGGCTTGTCAGTGCTTCCTGTCCATAATCCTCATCTTATGTATGACAGTCACCCTCTTCTCTCCTGCACTTGTTACCACGGTAACGATGGCTCGCTCTGAATGTTTTCCGTAGACATCTAACGATGACCTAGCGAAGCACTGAAGCCGGCAGCCGGTCCTGGGCCTGAGCATTGGAGTCTGCTCATTAAGTGCCAGGGACTGTTTGGGTTTGGAATGAAATTCTGTAGATGGTGAACATTTAATATAATTATGGAAAAATCAGCCAACCCGACCTAATGCACTTCAAATGCCAGATTTTGTGAAGTGATTCTGATGTAACATAGCTAAATGAGTTTATTCCATCTGGGAGCAAGGACATGCTTCATTTATTTTTTTATTTTTGAGAGGCTACTTTCATAATTAAAGGGATGAACTTTTGAAAATGTACTTGGCCACTACTGAAGATGATACACTTAATTTTTCATTGGTTTAAGCATTTATTTAACCGTTTTTCTCTTTCTTCGGCATCTTCCTATCTCTTAATATTGAGCCTCTGCTTATAACTTGTTTGTTGATTCATTTACTCAATCAGAGAGTCAGTCAGAAAACATTTGATAAGTGATTATTGTGAGCCACATATTGAGGAATCAGCACTATAAAAGTGAACAAGACGTGACCCTTGTCCTCAGGCTAGTGGAGAAAGCAGACATGTACCAAAGTGGACATGTGGCCATGCTGGGCTCTGTGGGTGGGAGGCCTGTGCCCAGAGAAGTCAGAAAAGGCTACATTGAGGAGCCACAGTTAAATATTCCAGATGGAGAGGCAGGAAGACATTCTGAGTAACAGGAATAGCATGTATCTATTAGTTAGAATTCATGGGTTCACTCTATGGCAAGTCATTGAAAACCTGACCCTAAGCGAAAATTAAAGGAAAGGAAATTCATTGGTTTTCACGACTCAAAATTCCAGATTCGCTTTGGCTTCTGGCCTGGCTTAAAGCAAGGATCATACAATGTCATCATTGGAGCCAGGTTCTCTGTCTCTCAGCTCTGCTCAGTTTCTTGTGTTAACCTCATTCCCAGATTAGCTTTTCTCTCCTAATCACCCAGTGGCTGCCAGCACTGCTGGGGCCATGTCCTTTTACACTCCGATCCACTGGAAAACAATATGAGGTCTTTCTCCCACAACTTCCAGGAGATTCACTCCGATCAAACTAACTGAGTCACATTTCTGTCCCCACTCCTCATCAGTCACTGTCAGGGGAGGGTGATGCACTCATCATGGTTGACCTGGTCACATGCCCGCCACCAAAGGCTGTGGATCATGATCTCTGAACCAGATGGACTGGAGGGGGTGGGAACGGGGTCACCAAACAAAAACTGACAGAGGGAGAATCGATGCTGGAGAGCAAATGACACGCTTCTACCATGATGTTGGCGGAGGGTATGTCAGCGTGGCTGGTGGGCAGACCTCACTGGGTGGGAGAAGTTGTGGGAGGTGAGTCTGGAGAGGTATGTTGGCAGAAGTGTGTGAGAGACCTGATATTCCAGAAGGAATTAACGCTCTTTCTTGGAGGCAGTGGTGGGATTTGTAATCAAGAAGGTGACAAAGGTTTTTGCAGAAAGGTAACGCTTAGCAGCATTCAGCACAGCGACCAACCCCACCTTCCTGAAATACATTCCTTTCTCGCCTTGCAGAACACCGTATTCTCCTGATTCTCCTCTTGTCCCCTCAACAACTTCTCAGTTCTCTGCCAGCAACAACTCCACTGGAGTAGAAGGATGGAGGGCTCCATCCTAGGCTTTCTCCTCTTCCTGGAAATTGATGCACCCCCATAGCTCCAGTCAGCTTCTTTTGCTAAGGCTTCCCAGTGCCTGTCTTCACCGAGCCCCCTCTGCTGAGTTCCAAGTCTGTTGCCTTCTTGACGTCTCCTCTTGGACATCCCTTGGATGCCTCCCAGGTGATTTATGCCTAGCGTGTTCCACATAAGCTCTGTTCCCTCCCTGCTCACCCCCAGACTCTCCTCCAGGGCACCCTGTCCCAGTAAATGACATCACTGCTCTCCTGGGAGGCATTAGGATTTCTTCCTCTCTCTAACCCCACCCACCCTATCAAATCCACCACCAACTTCTACCTATTCTGCCTTCTGAAAACCTCATTCCCATTTCCACTGCTGTTACCCTGGCTCAAGCCACCATTGCCTGTTACTGTGGTCACAGCCCTACCTGGGCTTTCTGCTTCCACGCATGCACCACAGCTCCTACTCCCCTCAGTAGCCATGCCACTGCCTTGGCGTTAAGCCTTTAGTAACTACCTGTGCTTCTTGGAATAAAGTACAGAGCACTCACTCTATTCTGCAAGGCTCAGCATGTGCTGGTCCCTGCGTTCCTCTCCAGATTTGCTCTGTGCTTCTGGCACTGACCTTTCTGTTTACCCAACACACCGGCCTCTGTCCTGCCCAGTGCTGTTCCTGTCCAACTGCCCCCTTCTTTGCTGGAAGCTCCTCCCCAGCCCCACCTAGCTGTCCCTGCCCCTTCTTCAGACTTCAGCTTCACCATCCTTCTGCAGGGAAGCCTTCTCCAAGATCCATCCTTAGGCCAGATCCCCTGTCATGGACATTGGTACTCCCATCTCCTTGGTGATTCACATCACGCCTCTGCTTATGGCTTGGTGTCCATCTTCCCAGCATCTCTTAATCCCTGTGAGGCCAGCAAGCACACCTGCCCTATCACCTCTGGAGCCCCAGAGCCCAGCACAGTCCCCAGCACAGAGTACATCCTCAAAGGGTGTTTCTTGGTGAATCAGCTGCTCCCACCTGGGTATTTGTAGAGAGAAGGAGATCATTTCATACCTGGCTTGAGATTCCTCTCTCTCAGCTTCCTGGCACCCGCCAAAGAGAAAGGTTCCAGGCATAAATGTCACCTAGAATAGACAAAAAAAAAAAAAAAAAGCCACCTGGTTTCCAGACAGACTGTCTCTGTGTAGGACGTCTGAAAAACATAAACCACATAAAAGTGGCTAAAGGTCACTTTTATCAGACATACACGAACACTAACCTTTCTTATCCAGTTAGGATTCTTCTAAGCCTTACAGTTAGTAAAAGAAACAGAAGTGTAAGAGAGGGTTTTCTTTTTCTTTTATTAGATAGGTCTGAGGTCGCCTAGACACTCTCATGTTCCTTCACAACACATGTACATCTGCGGTGCGTGTGCATGCACATGTGTGCATGTGACTTTGTAGGCAATTCTCACTCATCTATTTAAAGCATCCCTCTTGTTTGAGCTCACATTTTTTTCCCCAAGTTGGCCCTCATGTCACATCTAAGAACAAAGAAAGAAGTAAAATGGACAAGCATGCTAAATAAGTCCTCGGTAAGAGGAAAAGGCAGCCATTGCCTTTGAAGCCTGTGAGTTTGTGCCCGTGACAGGAAGCTGGGTCAACCATGGTGGATGGTGGTCTCTCCCCCTCCCACATCTGCATGTAATGAGAAAGCTGGCAGGAAGTGCCGGGGCTGGCCATTCATGACCACACAGCTGTCGCTGCAGGAGCCACCCTTTTATTAGGTCCATCTCTTCAGTCTAACTGATCAGCTTGATAACAACACAATGCTTCATGGCACCTGTGTGAAAGAGAAGCACAAGGAAACGGTGCACTTGAACCAGCTTTTACCTTTAAGAGGCCAGACTAGAGAGCCAACCGTCAGGGAGCCGAGCAGCCTCTGGCTTGGCTGGCATCTCTGCCCAGTCTCAGAGCGGGGAAGCTGAGGCCGCACTAGAACTTAGAGCATGTGGGCCAAGTGGTCTCCACGGACAGCTTTGGCTCTTCGTTTGTGAATCAGATTATAAATAAATCGAATACAAGGGCCTAAAGGGAGCCAAGTCCTGCAGCAAAGGAACATGTTATTCTCACACTGATTTTTCTATGATGAGCGCCAGCCAGCCAATATGGAGATTGGAAGAGGAGGGTGGAAGGCCTGGAAGGAGGCTGAAGAAGGAGCCTCATTTTCTGGATGCTTCCATCTATGTCTTCATCATTCCTCAATTTCTGTTGCTTCAAAAGTAGATTTTTTTTTTTAAACAAAGTCTCGCTCTGTCACCCAGGCTGGAGTGCAGTGGCACAATCTTAGTTCACCACACCCTTAAACTCCTGGGCACAAGCCAAGGACTACTGTAGCTGGGACTACAGGCGTGCACCATTATACCTGGCTAATTTCTGGTTTTTTTGTTGTTTTTTGTTTGTTTGTTTGTTTGTTTTGTAGAGACAGGGTCTTTCTATGTTTCCCAGGCTAGTCTCAATCTCCTAGGCTCAAGTGATCCTCCTACCTCAGTCTCCCGAAGTGCTAGGATTACAAGTGTGAGCCACTGTTCCTGGACCAAAAGTGGAACTTTTCTAAGATGTGGTGTGTTAGTGGTAGTTGGAGTCCTGGGCTGCCGAATCAGATGTGGCTGGTTAGAATCCAAGCGCTGTGCTCCTCCTAGCCATGTGACCTTGTGCTGCAGTTGACTTACCTGTAAAATGGTAGTCTAAAAGAGTTGCTGTGAGGATTAAATGAAGTGTATCTTAACATGCATATGTCCCTGAGACATGCCAAGCACTCCCAAATTGGTGGCTGTTTTTAGGTTCTCTAAGGGTCTCTTCCTTTGTACCAAATGCTGCTAAGTGAAGCAGCCCCGGAATCCTATAAGGGCTCCTACGGGTCCTCCTACGGGTCCTCCTACAGGAGCTCTAGGGTCCTTAGACAACCACAGATGGACCCAGATTCCTTTTACTTCCAACAAATGATAGAAAATCCTTTTCTTATACCAGGCTGCATTCATCAAGGCCAAAGCCAGGCTTTAGCCAAGCTTTGCTGTGGCCTGTGTGTGGCTTAAGGGGGCCAGGGCCAGGCAGGCCTCCCCTCCCTACCTGTCACTCCTCCCTGCAGCCAGATAAGCCCAGACCTTGGCTTAGAGGCAGTTCCTTGTTCTGCCCAAGGGCCCAATAAGAAAATAAAAATGTTTAGGGGAAATGTGATTATTTTTTCTTTCAGAATAAGCATTACTTTATTGAATCCCACAAGGGCAGGCACTAAGTACCCTTAAACCACAGCTGTCCCTGGGTAGCTCAGGGTGCTGGTGTCCGAGTCAGACTTTGGCTCAGCCACCTGCCCCATGTGACCCTGCTGGGTGGCTGAGCCTCCCTGAGCCTCGGCTCTTGTGTGAAATGAAGGAGGTTAATAATGGTGCCTTCCACAGAGGAATGTGGTGAGGATGCTAAGGCCGCTTTGTTATTGAAGAAATTGAGGAGATGGGTGCCTCTCTGATGTTGATACCAGGCCATATTTGAGCACTCCAGAGGCAGCTTTGAGATATTTTCTCCCACAATCAGTCTGAGGCCATTTCAGGAGGTGGGGAGGTCTCACAGGGTCCAAGGGCCGCAGGTACCTCTCACTGATCTAAGCTTTTGTCCCTTCCATAAACATCCTGTCTTCCTCACCAGCTTTGTACCTCTCAGAACGCTGTGAGCTCAAGTATTTGCGTTTTTCTTTTTCACTTCCCAGGGAAAAGTTTGGATTGGAGCCAAAAGTAAGCATTTAGCCCTGGGGCCAGAGGGAAGACAGGCCTGAGGAGGGGGCAAAAAGGTCATGAAGGGGAAACAGAATCAGGGGCCACAGCCTATTTTCTGCCCCCTCAGCCCCCTTTCTTCCCCGACTCTCTCCCTACTGTGTCTGAGCTAGGATGACAGACTTACAGCCCCAAGAGTGAACCCAGTGGGAATGGGTCCCTCCCCCTAGCAACTTCCTGTGGCTGCTGTAACAGGTCACCACAAGCTGGGGGTATTGGAACAACACAGATCTCTTCTCTTCCCATTCTGGAGGCCGGAAGTCTGAAATCAGTTTCACTGGGCCAGAACCAAGGTATGGACAGGGCCACTCTCCCTCTGCTCCCTCCGGAAGCTGCAGGGAAAATCCCCTGCCTTTGCTGAATTCCAGAGCTTTGTTCCTTTCACTGTTTGCATTCCTAGTCTCTGGCCCTTCCACCACCTTCAAAGCTGACTGCATACCATCCCCTTCTCCCCTCTCTGGAAGAACATGGCCCTCTGCCTCCCTCATATAAGGGCACCTGTGGTTAGATCACTGGGCTGACTCATATACTCCAGGATAATCACCCCTTCTCTAGATCCTCAACTTAATCACATCTGCAAAGTCCCTTTTGCCATATAAGGTAGCATTCACAGGTTCCAGGGATTCAAACATGGACATCTTGAGGCTGTCCCTTATCCAACCTATTCAGAGCCTCTAACATTACTGGCATTGAGTTCTTGTGCTCCCTTTACTCTCTTTAAAAATGGATCCTCTATTAATGACCATATCATTAGAAGCTTTGGTTGTAAGCAACGGTAATCCTGACTCAAACTTACAAAAAAAAAAAAGAAAAGAAAAACAGAATTTGTTGGTTCATGCATCTGGAAAGTCTAGGTTCAGGCTTCAGGCACAGCTTGATCCAGGACTTGAATAACATCACCTGCACCTAGTGTCTCTTCCATCATCCCTCGGCTCTGCCCTCTGCCATATTACCTCCATTCTCAGTCGGGTCCTATATGCACATGGTTGCAAGATGACTCAGCAGCTCCAGCTCTTCATATGCCAGGTTCAAGTCTAGTGGGAGGAAGTAGAGTCCTAGGAAATTTTTTGCTGTAACTCACTGGCACTGGTTGAATCCTGTGTCCCTCAACTATGGTCTGGGGAACTCACTGCTACTCCTGAGCCAGGCTGAATGTCAGAGATAGGCTAGTTCCCAGAGGGAAATGGAAGGTACCTGACCAAAGAAAGGGAGAATGGATGCTGGGCAGCAAAGAACAAAGATTCCACCTTCATGACTGATCAGGCTCATTGCATTTCTCTTGCTAGTCCTAAGCCAAAGAGATGGACATCTAATTGTGAAATTAGGTACCACCTGCATGGAAGGGTATTTGAGGAACAAGACCACCTTACCAATGCCCTGAGACCTGATAAGCTGGTTTACTCCTCAGGCACTGTGGAAAAGCAACTCACAACCAGACTTCATTCCCAGAATAGCCCCGTCACCATGCAGCCCTAAGCACCAGCTGTGCAGGCACCTTCCCGTTTTCTGTATGAAAGGCAACCTGCCTATTTTTGAAGCCTTAGAGTAAGACCATCGGTACAGTGTGAACAGTTCACATCTTTACATTGGGAAAATCTCTTTTAACAGCTTTCCAGACCACAAAGAATATGTCCAAGTAGGAAATATTTCCTGTAGACAGATGTATATGGCCAAATCTTCAACATGGAGCTATTGGGAGCAATGAAAGGAAGCTGCCGTAATCTTGACCAATAGCAGTAACTATGATTGAGTACCCACCATGTGCCAGGCATCATTCTAACTCATTACATGTCATACAGCAACCCCAGAGAGTGAGGATGAATACCCGCTTTTAGGGGTCCAGGCACCTGAGCCCACACAGCAGATCCCAGACCCCATTTGTTTTTGTTAATCATTTCAACTTTGATTTTAAATTCAGGGGATACATGTGCAGATTTGTTACATGGCAATATTGCATGAGGCTAAAGTTTGGGGTATGGATCCCGTCACCCAGGTACTGAGCATACTACTCAACAGGTAGTTTTTCAACCCATGCCTCACTCCCTTATTACCCCCTCTAGTAGTTCATAGTGTCTGTTGTTCCCCTGTTCATGTCCATGTGTGCTCAGTGTTTAGCTCCCACTTATAAGTGAGAACATGTAGTATTCGGTTTTCTGTTCCTGCATTAATTCATGTAGGATTATGGCTTCCAGCTGCATCCATGTTGCTGTATGATTTATGGCTGCATAGTACTCATGGTGTTTATGTACCACATTTTCTTTATCCAATCCTTTGTTGATGGGCACCTGGATTGATTCCATGTCTTTGCTATTGTGACTAGCACTGCAATGAACATATAAGTGCATGTGTGCATGTGTCTTTTTGGTAGAATAATTTATATTCCTTTGGGTTTGTACCTAGTAATGGAATTGCTGGGTCAAATGGTAGCCCTGTTTTAAGTTATTTGGGAAGTCTCCAAACTGCTTTCACAATGGCTGAAGTAATTTATATTCCCACCAACAATGTATAAGCATTCCCTTTTTTCCTCTGCCTCACCAGCGTGTTATTTTTTCAATAATCGCCATTCTGACTGGTATGAGACATTATCTCATTGTGGTTTTGATTTGCATTTCTCTGATTATTAGTGACAATGAACGTTTTTTCATATTTCTTGGTCACTGCTATATCTTCTTTTGAGAAGTCCAAGACCCCATTTCTGCACTGACTGCAAAGCCCCTGTTTTAACCACTGTCTTCTACTGACATATCAAAGCCCAATTTTTCTGTATATCTTATTACTATATATCTATTTTATATTTAAACGAACCTTCTCTGAACACTCTACCTGAATATTGTGCTATGTGTGATGGGGACTACAAAGATAAATAAGACTTACTGCTGTGCATGGAATTGATGAGCCCCCAAAGACAAACATGGAAACCGTTCATGGGGCACAAGGTGGGTGGATAAGCAGTGACTGTGTGCCAGACATTTCCAAAGATGGCTTCACTTCATATTCTCAGTAAGCTGATTTACATGGCAGCTGTTTAGGAAACACTGTTATTATTGTGATTTTACAAATAAGGGAAGGGCAGCACAGTGAAGTAAATAAGCACTAGATAAAAATGGGAAGGAAGGAAGGGAGGGACGGAGGCAGGGAAAAGGGCAAGAAGAAGAGAAGAGAGGGATAGAGGAAGGGAGGGAGGGAGGGAGGGAAGAGACAGGGAGAGAGGGAGAGAAAGGGGTGGGGTGAGGATAAGTAGGAAGCACAGTCTTTTCCCATCAAGAGTTTATAAGCTGAATGAGGAAACAAGAGGTTCATACAAATCCACAGCTACTGTTTGTTCCACAGTTCAGCACTTTGCCCTCTACTCCTCAGCCTTGCAAATATTACCCAGTGAAGAAATCTGGTGGGAATACTGACGGGGTCTGCTGGGGCGGGCTAGATGATCAGTCCCAGCAGGGTGAAGAGACGCCTGCTGCCCCTAGAGGGCTGAGTGCAGGGTGGAGGGAAGGATCCTCTGGGTGGTGGCTCCCAGCCTTATCCTGAGTCCCTGAATCAACATGTGAGAGCTGCTAGAGGTGGGAGCTCTCATCCTGAGACTGTGCCCTACAGGGGATTTTTAGTGATAATCATACCCCAACTGCCTGTGATAGCCAGTGGTTCCTGATTCAGGCAGGAACTGAGGATTTCCTTGGCCTGGCTGGCTCCATACCAGAGTTATCAGGAACCTCAGGGATCCTCTTAGTTTTTGCCTTAACTGGGTGAGGCCCCACCAGGGAGCATGTTGGCAGCAAAGCCTGCTTCCTGCTACTCTTTCCCATTGACCCTCTCTTTTGAGGCCACGATACCATCACAGGAGGGCAATATTCCCTACTTGTTGCCACAGACTGGGTAGACTGTTCCTGTGGGGCTGTTGCCTTGCCATGGGATTCTGCCCACAGGTTCATCACCAGCTTCTAACTGACCATCCTTTAGGGGAGGAAGTAGGTAGCTCTTGGAGAAGCCATCCTGCATCTGTTCCGAAGGGCTTGAAACCTCTGACTCTGTCCTTATATTAACAGGTTTGGAAATTCAAGTTCAGCCCCATGTCATAGGGGTGGAATTGTTTTTTCTTCTAGACATCATTCCTACAGTTTGGTTCACTGTCATTGAGGGAGGGGCAATATCAAATATCTAAGATCTATAGGTTTACTTTGCTCCTTGAGAAGGAATATCACTTATTTAAATAGACTTGAAATACATGTATAATTATAATTAAATATAATAGGTGTATTACATATGATATATAAATTAATCAGGTTTGCTATAAAGCAAATTCTCAAATAGACACACAAACATATATATGTATTATTTAACACAGTTGTGTTCAGGCTTTTTACAGCAGAACACTTTTTATGTAAATCACTTCAGAACAGACATGCTGAGTGAAAGAAAGTGTAAAGGAGTCCTTCTTTCTCCTTCTTCCCAGCCCCATTAGTTCCTGGGCTTCCTCCAAGGAACCCTCACATCTGTAGCTAGGGCTGAGTTAGCTGATGCCTAATTACTATTTAAGAATTACATTAAGTCACAAAGCAATGTTGAAATTTCTACACTTAAGTGTAATGTATTATACTATATTACTGAGCTCAGGCTGCCGTAACAAAATATCATAGAGTGTGTGACTTAAACAAGAGATATTTATTTCTCAGTTCTGGAGACTGGTAGTCTGAGATCACAGTGCCAGCATAGCCAAGTTCTGATGAAGGCTATCCTCCTGACTTGTAGACAGCCACCTTCTCACCATGTGATCGTATAGCAAAAGGAGAGAGAGAACACTCTGGTGTCCCTTCTTATAAGGGCACTAATTCCGTGAGGCTGGTCTCACCCTCATGACCTCATCTAAACCAAATTACCTCTCAAGTACTAGTTGGCCACATGTGGCTAGTGGCTATGTATTGGACAGCACAGATAGAGAATATTTCTATCATTGCTTAAAGTTCTAGCAAACAACTCTATTATAGACAATTTGAATGCATTTAATAGACTTACTATAATTGACATATGTAGAACACTGCACTAAAAAAAATCTTCTGGTCCCATGCTACAGTTATGAAAAATTACTGTATACTAGGGCTTAAAGCAGATCTCAACAAAGAATCTGTTCTGTCAGAAATCAATAGCAAATAGATAACAAGAAACAAACAAGTAAACAAAAACACAGGCTTAGACATTTTAAAACATACTTCTGAATAGCCTTAGATAAAATGGACAAATTCTTAGAAAAATACAACTTGCCAAAACTGACTTTTATAAAAAAAGAAATCTAAATGGTCTTATAACCATTAAAGAAATAGTTTCAAATATCCCCATTTTTAAGAACCCGCTAAGTCCTGATAGATACAGAAGAGTTCATCCAATGATTTAAGAAATAAATAATTTCAAACTTAAACTCTTTTCAGAGAAAAATATAAAAGACAATATTACCCAACTTATTTTATAAAACTAACTTAATTTTTATACCAAAACCCATTAAACCAGGTCACAGACATAAAGATTTCAGGCCATTTCACACTCATTAATTCAAAAATATAAATGTAAAACATTCACCAAAATATTAACAAACTGAATCCAGCAAAGCATAAAAAGATAAGATATAATGAGGTTGAGTTTATTCCAGGAATGCAAGGTTGGTTTAACATTACAAAATCCAGTGATTCAATTTACTATACTACCCCATTAAAGAAGAAAAAACATATGATCATCTCAATAAATCCAGGAAAAATTTCAGTAGAACCAACTATTCATGTGAAAATTCCTTAACCTGATCAAGGATAACTTTTTAAAATATGAAGACATGTTAAAGTCATTTCCTTTAAAAATCAAAAATAAAACAAGAGTTCCTTTTTTTTTTTTTTTTTTGAAATGGAGTTTCGCTCTTGTTGCCCAGGATGGAGTGCAATGGCATGATCTCGGCTCACTACAACCTCCGCCTCCCAGGTTCAAGCGATTCTCCTGCCTCAGCCTCCTGAGTAGCTGAGATTACAGGCATGCGCCACCGTACCTGGCTAATTTTGTATGTTCAGTAGAGATGGGATTTCTCCATGTTGGTCAGGCTGGTCCTGAACTCCTGACCTCAGGTGATCTGCCCACCTCAGCCTCCCAAAGTGCTGGGATTACAGGCGTGAGTCACCGCACCTAGCCAAGAGTTCCATTTCTATTCAACAATTTACTAAAGATCCTAGCCAGTGTAGGAAGATAGGAAAGTAAATAAAAGAGACTAGATTTGGAAAGGAAGAAACAAAAGTCATGTAATTATTATCTACATGGAAAACGCAAAATAATCAACAGACAAATTACTAGAATTAATGAAAGAATCGAGTGAGGAGGATGGATTGATATAAAGTTATAAAATTCAATTGCATTTTTTTTTTTTTTGAGATGGAGTCTCGCCCTGTCCCCTGGGCTGGAGTGCAATGGTGCGATCTTGGCTCACTGCAGCCTCCGCCTCCTGGGTTCTAGCAATTCTCCTGCCTCAACCTCCTGAGTAGCTGGGATTACAGGTGCCTGCCACCACGCCCAGCTAATTTTGTATTTTTAATAGAGACAGGGTTTTACCATGTTGGTCAGGCTGGTCTCAAACTGCTGACTTCAGGTGATCCACCCACCTCAGCCTCCCAAAGTTCTGGGATTGCTTACAGGCATGAGCCAACACACCCAACCTCAATTGCATTTCTGTATAGCAGCAACAACTAGAAAATAGAATGCGGTAAAAAAAAAAAAAGTACTTAGAAATAAATGTAACATAAAAACACAATATTTATGGATAAATGATAATTTTATTTAAAGTCATTAAATAAGACCTAAATAAATGGTGAGACATACTTGTTTCATTGATTTAAAAGGCTCAGTTCAGTAAAGATGTCATTTTTCCCCAGAGTGATCTATAGTTTAAATGTACTTCCAATCAGAATCCTGACAGGTTGATCCTAAACTTTATATAGAAGAGGGATAAGACTAGCCAAGCTCCTAGATATCAAGCCTTATTGTAAAAATATAATAAAGTTTAATGTGTGGTATTTGTGCACAGATAGGCAAATAGAATAAAGGAACAGAACAAAGACCCCAGAAACAGGCCCTTACATGTATGGAAACATGACAAAATTGAAATATTTGAATAAAGGAGAAGGGATGGCCTATTCAGTAAATGATCCAGAAACAATATGTCATCTATATAGAAAAAGGCATAAACAGATCCTTAAACTCACACTATACAAAATCACACCTGTAATCCCAGCACTTTGGGAGGCCAAGGCAGGTTACACAAGGTCAGGAGTTTGAGACCAGCCTGGCCAACATGGTGAAACTCCATCTCTACTAAAAATACAAAAATTAACCGGGCATGGTGGCATGTGCCTGTAATCCCAGCTACTTGGGAGGCTGAGGCAGGAGAATTGCTTGAACCCAGGAGGCAAAGGTTGCAGTGAGCCGAGATTGTGTCACTGCACTCCAGCCTGGGCAATAGAGTGAGACTCTATCTCAAAAAAAAAAAAAAAATTAATTCCAAATGGGTTAAAGATACAAACGTGAAAAGTGTAAGTCAGTTTTTTTAATTTGAAGAAAATGTAGGGTAATGCTTTGATGATCTCTGACTCTGAATAAGGAAGAATTTTTTTTTTTTTTAACAGACAGGGTCTCACTTTGCTGTCCAGGCTGGAATGTGGTGACATGATCATGGCCCACTGCAACCTCAAACTCCTGGGCTCAAGTGATTCTCCTGCCTCAGCCCTCCAACTAGCTGGGATGACAGACACACACCACCACACCTGGCTAATGCTCTTTTTAAATTTTTTGTAGAGATGGGGGTCTCATTATGTTGCCAAGGCTGGTCTCAAACTCCCAGCCTCAGGCAATCCTCCTACCTTGGGCTCCCAAAGTACTGGGATTACAGGTGTCAGCCACCTTGCCTAGCCTCAGAATTTCTTAAACAAGATACAAAAAGCACAAAATCATAGTGAAACTATCCGTAATCTCTATGTTGAATTTGAGAACTTTCTGCATCAAGAGATACCATTAAAAGAGTACAAAGACGAGGCACCAACAGAGAGCAGTTTTGGCATACAAACCACCTGCAGATGATCAGTCTACATACTACATAAAGAATGCCCTTGAAGGAAAAGACAGAATTCAACTAAAACCCAGGAGAGAAGAATGAGCAGGTATTTCACAGAAGAACAGATATGAATGGCCAATAAAGAATAAAAAGATGTTCCACCTCATTAGTAATCTTGTAAATGAAAATTAAAACATTTACAACTAGACACCATTACATACCCACCAGATTGGACAAAATTAAATATGATCGTACCAAGTGTTTCCACCAGCATTTCCTCCACAGTGTTTCCTGGATCTGCCTTGCCTTTCATCATCTTTCCCAGGAATCCTCCCTCCAGGCTCCCTACCTCACTCTGCTGGTGGCTTTCTTCCCTCTGGTCTCCCCTGGCTGCAGACCAACCTGAGATTACTTTTCTTTGAGCTGTTGCTTTCACCACCCCATTTCCTTCCCTGTGACTCAAGAGGAAAATGAGCCTTTCACTTTTTAGAAATACATGAATGTTTTCAAATCTACAGTTGTCTTTCAGGTATCCACTGAAGGTTGGGGCCCTTGAGAATACCAAAATCCACAGATGCTCTAGTCTCTTAGATAAAATGGTGTTCTATTTGCCTATAGCCTTCCAACACCCTCCTGTATACTCTAGATTACCCATAATAGCTCATGTAAATCTATGTAAATAGTTGCAGTATTGTATTCATTTTTTATGTGTTTTTTTTTTTATTGTTGTGTTGTTGGGTTTTGTCATTTTTCTTTTCTCAGAAGTTTTTGATTCCTGGTTGGTTGAATCACTGGATGCGGTACCCACGGATGCAGAGAGTGACTGTACAGAAAAAAAGCATCTATTGCCTTTCCAGGCCAAGCTTTCTGTCTGTTCTCCTCTCTAGCAATAATCTCCTCTCACTCTCAGTATCTTCAAGCTTCCTATTCCTTTGCCTACAGCACAAGTGCTTCACCTCTTAGAAAGCCCTTCTCTTAATCCTCTTGCATTAATTACCAACTCTCTACCAGGCAATGGAAGAAAACAGAGTACCCTAGTTGCCTCCATTCATTCCCCAACCCAATTTAAACTGGCTCCTCACTTGACTGAAACTGCCCCTGCAGAAGGTCAGCAATGATTTTATTATGAAACTACATTGTATGTGCAAAAGTATTTGTAACATAGATACATAGTTTGAGAAGCATAATCAATGTCCGCGCTCATGAGCCCCATTACAAATACGATACTGTTAGTAAATTTGAAGTCCCCTGAGAGCAGTAGACCACTTTACACTCCATCTCTGGTGTCCCCAGAACCTTCCCAGGGCCTTCATCATCCAGGCCTCCTATAGCCTGTTCATCTAGAATCTCCTCTTCTGCTGCGGTGGGTCAGCTAATTTATCTGACCGGGGGGTCAAATTACCCACTGAGGCTAATGAGAGGACTGTCTGCCATCTCTGAAATCTGAGCTTCCAGAGACAAGTTTCCTGCCTTTGTAGTCGACCTGCAAGTGACTCAGGGCCAAGCACAGGGAAACTTATGGAGCGGGGTAGGCCTTTAGCTCTCTTTATATTTAACTTAAAAGCTATCTCCATGTTGGGGCCCATACAGTCTACTTCTATTTGAAGCTATCTCCATGTTAGGGCCCATACAGTCTACTTCTATTTGCAATTCAGCTTAGTCTCATTTCCTGAGTTACCATATCCATTACCCCATAGGTAACTGAATTGGACTGTTTTTCATTTCAATTGTGAGTGTTATAAAACTTTTTCTCCTGCTTTTGTGTTGTTATAGAACTCTAGTCACCTTATTATAGCTTCTTTCTTTTTAAGGCATTTTCCCGATGTTTCCAGTATCAGTGGAGGGCATCAGACTTCCAGAGATTCAATGTGAGCTAAGCCAGCTTCTAATGAAATCAGCGGAAACTATCAGTACATATCTGAACCTAAGTCAGGGATGTGTCCGCTTGGTTCATGGAGTGATGTTCGTAAAAAGGGCTCATTTGGTTGGTCTACATGTTCATATTAATTAAAATCCTCCCAAAGCTAGCTACAATCTACTGAAAGCCAGACATTAAAAGAAATTGACTTTAAAAACCAACCTGTTTTGAAAGTATTTCTAAAGAGCTATGAAGCTGATAAGGGAGATTTCACAGCCTACCTGTTTGGCAGCCTTTCTAAGATCATGTAGCAGTGGGGACACCTTCTGGAGCGTTATAGAAGTGGCCTTTTTACACAGAAATCCATCTAGACTAGAGAGCTTCGAGGTAGATTCTGGGCACATTTCTCCACTACTCACCTGACAGCAAAACTGTTTCTGCAAAGTTACTTCAAGGGCAAGGTCAATGGTGTCTTGCTTTTGCTCATTCAGATTACAATCAGAATGGGTTCCTCTTCTTCCAAAGGTTCTAGACAACACATTGTATATTCCTTACGTTGTGGGTTCCAGTTACTTTTGGAATGAGAAGACCTGCTTTGGGAGTCGCTGCCCTGGGTATGGCATGACATGAAGGGACCCGGGAGAAACCCTCACCTGTGGATTGGCTAGACTCTCCAGCAAAGTCACTAAGAGCATGAGCTTTGGTGTGGGTCTAACGCAGCCATTGACCTGTCCTCTGAGCCTCAGTTTTGTCATCTGAAGACAGGATAATCATAATGGCTTCTTCCTCAATCTGTTGTGAAGATTAAATTAGGCAGTGCTTATCAAGTGCTTCATAGTTCCTGGTAGGGAATAGTGATGATAAGGTCAGCTGCAGTTACTTAATTGGGGCTCTTACTTGATACAGTTGCTTTACCACTATTCATGACCTTCTCACTACCATCTTCTAGGTCAGTGGTTCTCAGCCATGAATGCACATTAGAATCACCTTGGGAAGTTTCAAATAGATTGAAGCCAAGTAAATCAGAATCTCTATGGTTGGGATTCAGGCTTCAGTCTTTCTTAAGGTCCATGAAGGATCCCAATGGCCAGCCAACACTGAGAACCACTGTTCTAGAGGCTCCAATTGCAACTCCTTTTGAGAACCTTTTAAAAAGATGGTATTCATCTCCTAAGCTCTGAGTAACTTGAGTTTCAGCCTCTCAGCGATCTCTCGTCAGTTTCCACCTTAGCACACGTGACCAGTTGGAAGTATTCTGTGGTATAATAATGTCAGAGGGCTAGGGGAGGCTGCTTTCCATAATAGAGACATGTCTTTAGTTGGCTTCCCCTTCTCACGTGGCATAGCTAGACCATGCTGCTAGAGAAGGCACTGGGCCAGCCCATCTGTTTCCATCTGTCATTTGCTTCCCAATGTAGGATGATCAGCAAGTGTAGGACCACAAATCTAGACAATAAATATGGAAACATGGCAGGGACTTTGTGTCTGCACCCAGAGGGGCTTAGAAATATGCCCACTTTTAATATAATTTAAAGCAATATTATAATCTGCTCCCTTTAGAAACAGCAGTCAGGGGCTTGCCTAATCTGGAGCAGATTTGCGATGTGTAGAGTCAGAGGAAGGAAGGAAGGATGGATGAGAGGCAGGGGGTTTACAAAATGAGAAAAGCAAAGTTAGATAGCTGAGAACAAGAATAGGAATTTGGGAAGCCACCTGGTAAGATCTGACAAGTAAAGATGCATGGTTTGCATCAGATTATAAATTAGGAACAATGGAAATATGAGATTGGAACTGCAGGAGAAAATAATCTCAGCAATGAAATTAATTCACAGAGGCCACTAGCGCACACTCAGACCTTTGAAGTGCTGGATGTTCTCATAACTGGACCTCTGACCATGCAAGGCACCAGTGGCTACTGTGGATCATTTTCTCATTTTGATATCAGTGATTTATAAGGGTGATGACCAGCTTGCACCACTAAGAATATTGACATTTTCTTTCCATATACTTGAAATGTTTTCATTCCACTTGTTCATTCTGTAGTTGTTTATTGAGGGTAATTGTGCAGGGCACTGTGCTAGGGAGAATAAAACCAATCTGTATATGTTAGCTTTCATCACGCAACAAAGTACCCGAAACATAATTGTCTAAACAGAAAATATGTGTTAGTTCTCATGAATCTGTGAATTGCCTAGGTAGTTTTCAAGTTGCCGTTTGCATCACATTTTTGAATGCCTCATTGGCCAAAGGAGTCAAGCCAAGCCCAGATGCAAGGCCTGAAGAAAATAGACTCCATCTGTTGATGGGAGGAGAAGCAAAGTTGTATTACAAACAGTTGTGCTTACTGGAATTGGACAGATTACTTTTTTACAAATAGTAGACCATCTGATACAACATTTGAGCAAAACAAGATCTTTATAACCCTTTTTACTACAGGGAGTTAACTACAGTACTCTTGACTAGAATTTCATTCAACAAATGTTAGGCTTGACTCTAAGCTTGGTATGGTGCCCAGTGCTGGAGACCGTGGTGAGACAGACAGACATGGCTTCTGCCCCTGCTGATGAGTAAATTACAGTGTGGGATGTAGAAGCATGGAGATGACCCCTGAACCTGGACCTGGGGGTCAGGGAAGATGTTCCGGTGAAAGTAACATCTAAGCTAATGCTTAAAGATTAGGTAGATGTTAACGGCTCACTGCCAGGAGGAAGAGGTGCATGAGAGCAGTCAAAGTGACTGCTGGGGTCAGTGCTAGTCCCCATGGCTACTATCCCCCTTCCTGTCATGCCTGCCCCCAGTGCTGACCATCACTGGCCCCACCTCATTGCTTCTGTATTCTGCATCATCATTGTCATCACCATCACCTGCTTCCGTTTGGCACCTACACATACGCTGCTCCCACAACAGACTTCTTCCCTGTCCCTGGGGAATCCTATTTCCTTTACAGCAGGGGTTCTCAACTCCCCAAGGAACAGTACCAGTTTGTGGCCTGTTAGGAACTGAGCCACACGGCAGAAGGTGAGTGGCGGGTGAGCAAGCGAAGCTTCATCTGTATTTACAGCCACTCCCCACCACTCGCATTACTACCTGAGCTCTTCCTCCTGTCAGGTATCCAGCGGCATTAGATTCTCACAGGAGCACAAACCCTATTGTGAACTGCACATGTAAGGGATCCTGGTTGCATGCTCCTTATGAGGATCTAATGCCTGATGATCTGTCACTGTCTCCCATCACCCCCTGATGGGACCATCTAGTTGCAGGAAAACAAGCTCAGGGCTCCCACTGATTCTACATGATGGTGAGTTGTATAATTGTTTCATCATATATTACAATGTAATAATAATAGAAATAAAGTGCACAATAAGTGTAATGTGCTTGAATCATCCTGAAACCATCCCCCCCACCACCCCACCCAGTCCATGGAAAAATTGTCTTCCATGAAACCAGTCCCTGGTGCCAAAAAGGTTGGGGACCGCTGCTTTGCAGGCACGTTTCCCCCACTCTTCTTCCATTCTTTCTCCCAGGCATAGTTAGACCATATCCTCCTCCATGAAGACTTCTGTATGCATCCAAGAAGAGTTAGTACCTCCCTCATTTGAATTCCAAAAATGATGGTAATCCTCACCAACCCCACACAAGAGCAGCTCACATTCATTATTGGACATTTGCTATGACCCTGGCACCATGGGGCTCATTATGTGAACTATGGCTCACAGCAATCAGATGCGGAGGGTTCTCTTACTAACACAGCCCCCAGGCCCCATAGTGCACAAGTGGGGAAGCCGGAATTCAAACCCAAGCCCTCTGACCCCACAGCCATGCTCAGAACCCCTGTGCACTGCCTGGCTCCCTGCTGGAACACTTGTACCCTAAAGCACAGCCACTCCTGTGGCTCTGACTCTGATCCACTGGCCTCTTAGCTCCTTGAAGCAAGGGTTGGGTTTCTCATCTTTAGAATCCTACAACACTGTAGTGGATTCCCTAGGAGAGCCCGAGAGTGTGGTTCTTGAGGTGACTTATTGAGGGAGGGCTCTCAGGAGAACTATAAGAAATTAAGGGAAGCAAGATAGGGCCAGAAGAAAACTAGGGGAAGATGTGATTTCAGAAGTCTCACCTCTGCCTGATCCCGTGGGGAGCTTTGGAGTGTAAATTACATCACAGTTTGTCCCACTCAGAGACAAGGAGGCTGGGCTCTCATAGCTGCCACCCCTATCAGTCACTCCTTCCTATAAGTCATACCCTAATGAGAGGGAAGGCAGCTCAGGGTGAGTGAGACATCTCCCATCAGGCCAGGGCAATGCTCCAGAGGAAGGTACAGCCACACCCACAGCACCTGGGGGCATCACCCTAATGAAGTGCACTGGCAGCATCTGCTGCAGTCATCAGTTTTAAAAAAATATTAAACAGCATATGCAGGCCCTTCTTGTCCAGCTGATTTCATCCTCTGTAGTGGACGCTCCCAGAAGCCAAGTCTAATGAATCAATGAATTAGAAATCAGTGTGTCTCCTGCAGGGCTGCCCACCCCTCCCTGCCACCTTTTCCCACAAGACTACACTGCGCAGACTTCAATGGGTGTCCAGCATCCACCATCCCATCTGCAAAGATCATGGAAGCTGCAACACAGAACATTAACTGAAATACAAGCTTGTTCATCAGGGTTTTATTTTAGCGCCACACTGCTTCCAGTGAAGAAAGGACAGGAAAGAAGTATGGTGGATTTTTTTTTTAACTTTGTAGCACAAAAGATTGTGGTGATCCTTCCCCAAGAGTTGAAAATAAAACATGAGGAGGGAAACCACTGCCCCCAAAGCCAGTGCTGCTGATGAGCGGGTGTCTGACATGCATGTGATTCTCTGGCAGCTACAGGGAACATTTCTTTCCTGGCTTCTCCCATGATTCTGATACGGGGAGCTCTGGAATTGGAACAGTATCGATTGTTCTTGTTTGCTATGCACTCCCTTTTAAAAATAACTGAATCTACTCCTGTTTGGGTCAGCATACCAGGAAAGTAATCACCTGTTCCTGAGGGTAAAAGGAAATCTGATCCAAAAAAACTCTACCAGCGTTCTATTTCAATATTTTGGAGCAGGTTTTCTGGTTTTAATAACGTAAAGTCCTCATTACAGTAAATGTTTCACTGTCTCCTGTGGCTCAGGGGGCAAGCAGGGAGGGCGGCTCTGCCTTCCTCTATTGATTTCCAGAAAGACCTCTTACTTCCCAATTGTCCAGGTAGCATTGTCAACTGAGGTGTTGTTTTTCCTCAGGTATGAAGACCCTCTACAGCTTTGTATTTTTCCATTACAGAAATTCCCATTTGTTTTCTCTTTATGCAGCACATCCCACAGGGGTGCAAAGGCTGGATGGGTGAGTGCTATTATGTGGGGCAGCGAGCCGGCAAAGCCTCGCCAGGCGTCTCTGCTGACCTGGAGTGATTTCATAAGTGTTCAGAATTGTCCTCGGCTGATTTTCACTGTCCCTAGCTGTTAAGGCTGCAGTGATAGCCCCATATTAATTATCAGCTCCATTCTCAGCTGTCATGCTGCCATTCCTACCCACGGCAGCTCCTAAATCTGGCTGCCCATTAGAATTGCCTGGGAAGGCTGTTAAAAATCTAACTCCTGAGACCTGCTGAATTGTAATCTGTCAGAGGACAAGGTTCAGGAATCTTTATTTTAAGGAGCTTCCCGGGAGATTTGTTAGCACCCAGCCCAACATGCGTTCTCTGCCCCTAATGGAGTGGTTTCAGCCAGAGGTAAAGTCAGCTAGAGACATCTGGTCTGGAACAAGTCAAATGGAAGCTCAGGCCAAAAATGAAAAGCGCTTTTCCATACTCTGTGAATTCTCCATGCTTTCCCATCGCCACTCTTTATCCCAGGTTGACAGACAAGGTGCAGAATAGTCAGATTACCCTCTATGCTATTCAACTGTTCTCATTCAACATTCCACACACCCATCCATCCATCCATCCATCCATCCATCCATCCATCCATCCATCCATGCATCCATCCATTCATTCAATCAACCAAACATCTGTTGAGCTTGGGCTGCATGTATAAGACCCTGTGCAATAGGGTATGTAAAGAGGGGACACCGTGGATCCTCCTTCCATACAGTAATAAGCCCAGCCAAGATCATGCCAGCCCAGTGTTTTCCCTTCTTAAAAGAGCAACCAGAGCTCAGCTCAGAGCCTTCACCAGGCAAGAAAATAATTACATTGATTTTTTTCCATTGTGTTGATTTTTCTAAATATGCTAGATAATCCTGTGTTTTCATTTATAGTAAATGAAATAGACATAGACTATATCATTTACTATATTATATAGTAAATGACATAGAATTTTCCTTTAAACTAAGCCTATTAATGAATACCACAATGTGATATCACCGTATGCTCATTTGAATGGCTAAAATGTAAAAGACTAAATACCAAGTGTGGATGAGAATGCAGACCAACGAGAACTCTCATACAATGCAGGTGGTAGTGTAAAGTGGTACAACAATTTTGGAAAACTGGTTGGCAGTTTCTTGTAATGTTAAATATACATATACCATACAACCCAGCAATTCGCTTCCAAGGAATTTACCCAAGAAGAATGAAAACATATGTCTACAAAAAGACTTGTACACAGATGTTCATAGCAACTTGATTCATAGTATCTAAAAGCTAGAAATAGTAAAGGTGTCCATCAACAAAAAGATGGGAAAACATCCACACTATGGAATACTGCTCCAAAGAAAGAACAGAATCATTGCTCCATGCAAAAACATGGACAAATCTCAAAAACATCATGCCAAACAGAGGAAGTCAGACACAAATTTGTACATGTTTCCAATTTCATTTCTATGAAAGTGTGGGCAAATTAATCTCTAGTGATATTAAGCAGATGAGTGTTTGCACAAAGCAACTTTTTAGGATGATGGAAACATTCTGTTTATTAATGTGGTGATAGTTCCACAGATGTGTATACAACTCATCAAACTGTGTGCTTACAAATCACGAAGATGGTAGTGGGATCCCTGAAATTTAGGAAATGATACTCTAGGATCCCTGAAATTTAGGAAATGATACTCTAGGACATGGTTAGAGTGGACAGTGTCCTAAAAGAAGTGCAGATGAAATGCTCTGAAGCTTCCAAGGGAGGGAGAATTTCTTCCGGTGGGAAGATAGGCCAGTGGTGGGAGCTTCACATAATAGATGACATTTGTGCTGAGCCTCTGAGTACAGATGGGGCCAGAATGAGTATATAAGTGAAATAGATTGAAATTAACATCAAGGGCTTGAGATAGGTTGGGGAGGGTCAGAGAGGGGTCCAGAAGAAGCCATGCACCAAGGGGAAACAGGAAGAATGGGGGTGACCCCACAACCTTGGCCTTTGTGACATCCAAAGGCCTTTTTAATCAGTGGAACCTGGACATATGGGCTTCAGCACCAGCCGGTACAGTTGCTTTTCCCCTGGGTTCCTCTGCTCAGAGAACTTGAGTGGCAGCACAGCTCATTGGTGGGACCAGGACTAGGGTGTGGCAAGCAAGGCACTGAGGTCACATTGTAGGAGGCAAGGTCATGTAAGAAACCCGAGCCTGCACTTCCAGGCCCCTAACAGAGAGTGCTTCCCAGGCCTCAGCTGAGTCTTAGCCCTGCTTTCTGGTGAACTGGGAGCAGGATCCCCAGTGGCTCATTCATTCATGACCATGCCGACTACTTATTCCAGGCCAGGCACTGGATTAGACACCATATTGGATACCAGTCCTCAGCGAGTCCACATCTAACAGGGATGGTAAAAATAAGTGTGAAAGGGGAAGCCCAGGGGGCTATGGACACTCAGAGGAAAGAAGTTGGGCCTAGACTGGTAGTCAGAAAACTTTTTAAGAGCAAGTGAAATTTTAGCTGAGATTTGAAGAAGGCAAGTTCAAGGGAGGGTGTAGGGTGGTCCCTACTAGATCTGCCTGGTCTAGGATTTGGAGTTTGGCCTTAGAAACTGAGAGCCCACTGAACACTGATTTGCAAAAACTGATGTCTCCTGTCTCCCCCTATTCCCTGTCCCATGCTTTGGTAGGTTTGTGACATTGCCGAAGAAGCCCTACAGTGCCCCAGTGTCCCAGATGGAGTCCATCCCAGCAACCTCAGAGGCTGCCAGCCCACCAGCAATCCTAGTTACAGTAGAGTCCCCCGAGATGGATTTAAATGATTTTGTTAAGTAAGTGCAAAGCCAACATAGATTATTTGTAGTAGCTTTTCTTTTCTTTACACGGACTTACATTCTCAATACTCATCCCTCATTGGTTCATTCATCCAGTACCCAGTCAACAGTTTAATAAATGTCTTCTATGTGTAGGCCCCAGACTAGACATCTGGGATAGGGAGAGGGTACCATCATGAGTCCTGGGGGACTGAGCCCTTCCTATCATATTGTCCTCTCTGTATGTCCAAGGTCTACAGTCAGGATTGGGTCCAGGGTAGCAAGCAGGAAAGGATATATCAATTCACCAAACATTATGTCCTCACAATAAAATGCTCCAATAAATAGGGAAACAACATTGAGCACATAGAACACCCACATTGTCTGAAGAATTGCTGGAGCTTCCTAGGACTTTTTGTAAGTTGAACATGGGCTTGGTGGGCCAGTAAAAAAGGGTTGAGCCCCGTGAAAAATTGACCAGTTCAGTGGCCTAGACCACATGTTTGGGGGCATAGGGCAACAGGGCCCTGACCAGCTGACCTCTTGAGAAAGGTGTCCCTTGATTGAGAATCCCCCTTACGTTTGGGGGTGTGGTAGAGGGAGAAGAGGAAGACAGGGCTGTTATGCACCTGAGACTGTGTGGCGATGACAGCCCAATGAGTGAATCTCTGCATTTCATTAAACTTCCTAGGACTGTCCTTGTGGATGAAGATGCCAGGCCTGAAGAAAAAGAACTAAGAAAAACGAAAGCTTCCAGTGTGATCTCAGATGTACGGTGTCCTTTCCATGGGGAGGGTAGGCAGGTCAAGGGTCCTTCCCATAAAACAAAGGCAGAATCAGGAGCAGAGTGGCCAGTACAATGCTTGGGTTTAATTGGGACAAAGCCGTACAGCT
This sequence comes from Homo sapiens, assembly GCF_000001405.40. Lineage (NCBI taxonomy): Eukaryota > Metazoa > Chordata > Mammalia > Primates > Hominidae > Homo > Homo sapiens. The sequence continues at coordinate 70,991,193 of NC_000016.10, read as the reverse complement.
TTACCCACATTTCTTCCCAGCCAAACACCCCAGAGCCAACACTCAGTGAGAGCCTACACTTGTGATGTTCCTACACCCTAGATAGAGGATACTAAAGGAAAAATATTTTCTTAATAATTCTGTAGCAAAAACAAAGGGGGCTTAAAAATTAATACCCTTAAATTCTCCTTCTAGAATGACGGCCTAAGTAAACTATTGGAGATACAAAGATGTGCATACAAAGATGCTTGTTACAACATTTTAGAAACAGCAAAAAATGAAAAACAAAATGAAAGATAAATTGCTGTATGTCCATGATGTGATGCAATCTTTTAAAATAGTGTTGAGTGGGATTTTCCTACAGTGTGGGTAGGAGTATGAATTGGCATAACCTCTATAACATACAACTTTGCAAGTAGATCAAAATTTAAAATGCATTGTCCCCCTTCTAGAAATTATCCTCCAGATACACCTCTGCACTTGCATAAAGCATGTAACCATCCTTGTACACTGCAGCTTTGTTTGTAAAAGCAAGAAATATTGGAAACAACTTAATTCCACCAATAGGAGACCGTCTGAATAAACTAAATTACATCTGCACAAGGCAATACTATGAAATTCTTTTTTAAAAATGAGAAAGTTCTCTACATACTAATTTGGCACAATCTTTGATATATTAAGAAAAAATACCCAGTGCAAAACAAAGTACACTGTGTGCTACCATTTGTATAAAGAAAAAAGTCTATGAAAGCAACCAACACTTAACTGAGCACTGACCTAAGCTTTTTTTTTTTTTTTTTTTTTTTTTTTTTTTTTTTTTGAGGCAGAGTCTCACTCTGTTGCCCAGGCCAGAGTGAAGTGGTACCATCTTGACCCACTGCAACCTCCACCTCCTGGGTTCAAGCAATTCTCGTGCTTCAGCCTCCCAAATAGCTGGGATTACAGGCACTTGCCATCATGCCCGGCTAATTTTTGTATTTCAGTAGAGACAGGGTTTCACCATGTTGCCCGGGGTGGTCTTGAACATCTGAGCTCAGGCAATCCACCTGCCTCAGCCTCCCAAAGTCCTGGGATTACAGCCATGAGACATCGCCCCCAGCTAAGCAATTTTTTACATTAACTCTTTTACTTTTCCCAACACCTCTGTGAGGTGGATACCACTATCTTTCCCCATTTTACCAATGCAGGGACACGTCCATCAAGCAGTGGAGCTGGAAGACTCGACCATCTTGCTTGCTCTTAGCTACTGTGTTATCTCTCAAACAGTTACATAGATATCTTTGCTTGTGCGTGGAATATCTCTGGAATTTAATCTTCATGAGGGCAGGAATTTTTTTTCTGTTTTGTTCATCGTCATATCCTCAGGATATAGAACTGGTTCTTAGTAAGTCCCCAGTAAATATCAGCTGAATTAAGAGGAATAACTAAATTCAACATATAGGAAACTGGACAGTGGGTACCTCAGGAGGGGAGAACCGGAGAACTGTAGGGATAGAAGTCTTTTTTTATCTTTTTACCATATATCCTTTTGAATATTTTAAATTTGTATCATGTACAATCAACTTTCTAAAATACTTTAAGTGATGTTTGTGAAGAATATTCAGTCATATGGGAAGATGGCACTCATATTAGGTCAACTGAAAAATCAGAATACAAATATGTATGCACACATAATACACTATATATACACACATATATATAATAATATTTATCTACAGTATAACCTGAGATGGACTTTTATTTCTTTCCTTGGAGCTTTCTATATTTTAAAAATTTTTTAGAATGAGTATGTGTGAGTATATAAAATATTTGTCTTTTAAATATTAATTCTTCTTTTTCTGTTTTCAAAGATGCGTGTCATAGAAAACTCAAGAATAGGCCAGAAACAGTGGTTCACGCCTGTAACCCCAGTACTTTGGGAGCCAAGGCAGGAGGATGGCTTGAGGCCACGAGTTCAAGACCAGCCTGGGCAACATAACGAGACTCCAGGGTGTGGTGGTGCACGCCTGCAGTCCTGGCTACTTTAGGGAGGCTGAGGTGGGAAGGTCACTTGAGCCCAGGCATTCAAGGCTGCAGTGAGCTCTGATCATGCCACTGCATTCCAGCCTGGGTGACAGAGACAGACATCTTGTCTCAAAAATAAAATATATATGTACATATATATGTACATGTGTGTACATATAAACTCAAGAATACAGAAAAATTAAAGCAAACATCCTCAAAATTCCCATCTTCTTTCTACCCCACTGAGAAAAATGCTACGAAATTCTTAGCAAACAACCTCCCAGATATTTCTATTTGCCAATGCAAATCTCTGAAGGAATTTACACACACACACCTTCAGACACATGAGGCATATGTAATTTTACATGAATAGAACTGCTTTTCACTCAATAATATGTTGTGCACATCATCCCTATCCATAAATATACATGCATTATCCTTCATGGATAGGTGTACCACACACACTTCATTTAAAGTGACCCCCTATTGATGGGCACTGAGTTGGCTTCCAAAGTTTTGCTGTTATAAATAATGCTGCAGTAAACATCCTCGTATGTACATTATAGTCACTTGCTCAATTATCTTCCTGGGAAAAAATGTACTATTTTTATAATCATATACAACATACTTTATTTTTCTGTCAATTGATGATCCATTTTGAATGCTTGCCAGCTTTTCCTCACATCTTTAATTTCTAGGAAATAAAAATTAGCTCTACTGAAATAGAAAGAATATACTCAAGCCAGAGCCAGGTGGAGGATCAGGAATCCCTACAGACCTGTGAACAGAATGAGATGCTTTCCATTGGGATAGAAGAAGTAAGTGACACCGTGTGATTCCTGACCTTATCAGACACTAACTTTACTTTCTAACTGAGCAGCTGCCCCACATTAGAAACTTAAATCTCACCAGAGCACTGTTACCATCATTACCATTATGTGTTTTCAGGGTGCTGGGCTACCTTCTATCAAATGAGTTAAAGACTGGAATTAATGTGTAAATTGACATAACTTTCACTTATCCTTGGCAGGCATTCATCCCAACAGCTGCTCTCTTACAGAATGACTTTCTCTGCAGGTGTTTGATATTTTGCCCCTGTTTGGAGTGTTGCAGCCACACAGTAGCCACCAAATATCGTTCACCTTCTATGGACACGCTAACATCATTGCACAAGCTAAAGCTCTGTGTGAAGTGGAAGAAGGACCCACCTACGAAATAACACTGAAGGGAGAGGCGTCCCTGGTCAACTATTCCTTTGACACCAAGGATATTCACTACGGATTACAGGTATCACAAACCATCGGGTAGAGATTTTCTGGTTTTGTCTTAAGCATCTTAAACAAATCTCTCCTGAACCCCAATCATCATAGTCTCGCCATCACCCCGTCCTTGATCTCCCATCAGCCTCCCTAACCCTGACCATCCTCCTGCTGCCAACTGTTTGCCAGATACTTACACTTGCTTTTCTTATCGTCTCCTGAAACTCAGCATGTTAGATGCTCAAGGTCACTTCTTCCCTTTCAATCCAGGAGCCTGTTCCAACTTCTGCATTTCTTTCAATAGCATTACCATTTTCTCCACCCTTGGGTTCACAATCTCCAAGGCTTTTCCGCTGCACTCTCTCCTTCACCTCTCCACATCCTTCTAAGCCTCCAGGGTTTGCTGACTCATCACCAGCGTCCCTCTCTGAGTCAGTTTTCTCTTCCCATTGCCACTGATATCACATTACAGGGTCTCATCAAGCCATGCCTAAATTATTACAGCAGTTCCTCCCACACTGTAATGTGCCTATGAATCACCTGGGAGTTTTGTTCAAGTGCAGATTCTGATTCAGTAAGTCCAGCGACATTTTCCAAAATGGTGTTGTCATCCTGTCAGTCCCTGACCAATTAATCCCAGCAGCATTTGGCAAAGCAATGTGATATTGACCAAAGAGCGTGGTTTCGTATTCCGGTTTTACTTCCTCTTTGTATTCCGGTTTTACTTCCTCTTCCTATTCCAGTTTTACTTCCTCCCGACTGCATGACCTTGGGCACATCACCTCTCCAAGCCTCAGTGTCCCTCATCTATAAGGTGGGAACGGAGTAGCAAGCCCATCCCACCAGGAGTTGTCATTGCTTAAAGCATCTATCTGGTCAGTGCTGTGCTGGGTCAGAGTTGGCTGTCAATTGTCATGAGTTCCTTTGGGTCAGAGCCCATTCCTCACCTGGGTGAGGCTATCCTAAGCCTCTCTATTAACTGGTGATCTTTACACTGGAAGTTTCACTTCCCATAATTCCCTCTTGTAGTCCATACATTTCACTGTGGCCAAGCTGGTCTACCCACCGGCCCCAGTGCACCCCAGCGCTTCATGCAGCTACACTTTGTCTTACCTTATCCCTCTCATCCTCCACTCTGCCAAACCCAAACCTTTACATCCTATAAGACCCAGCTCAGCTCCTTCTAGGGTTATCTTTTACTTTACATTCCCTTGGCACTTAATGATAGTCTTTGCCATAATATAATATACTTTCCCATTTTTGTTTTGGAATAATTGTCAATTAATTCCATCAGTACACATTCTCTTCCCAATCAGATTTTGTGTTATGCACTCGGAGACCATATCTCCTACCAAATTTCCATGAGGATTGAATCTCCATTACATAGCTCCTGCATGTATCATTACTGAATTGTGTGCATGCATGTGTGTTTATAGATCAAAGATTGTGCCTAAAATCTGATTCACCCAGCACCTACTGAGACCATCTCCATGATGCTGACCAAATAGAATTCTCTTGCCTTCGTCGTCTCCAGGGTCCTTTGGGCACTTGGTTTCGGCTCATGTCTGAGTATAGTCTTTGAAGCAGTCAGACCTCACCCTAGCTTTTCCTAAGGACCCCCAAAGTGGCCTGTTTGTGGTTATTGGGCCTGCTAACCCAGCTGGTGAATTATGTTAGCAAAATTCCAGGAAAAAGAACATGACTGGCCTGTTACACCCATGGTTCTCCATTTGAATGGAAAAGTTCATTCTAGAACATTCTAAACTCAAATCTTTTGTTTTTCTTACAGGACAGAATCCAGAAGGCAAATCTTTTTTTTTTTAATTTATTTATTTTAATTCTTTTTATTATACTTTAAGTTCTAGGGTATATGTGCACAACGTGCAGGTTTGTTGCATATGTATACATGTGCCATGTTGGTGTGCTGCACCCATTAACTTGTCATTTACATTAGGTATATCGCCTAATGCTATCCCTCCCCCCTCCCCCCGACCCCACAACAGGCCCTGGTGTGTGATGTTCCCCTTCCTGTGTCCAAGTGTTCTCATTGTTCAATTCCCACCTATGAGTGAGAACATGCGGTGTTTGGTTTTTTTGTCCTTGCGATAGTTTGCTGAGAATGATGGTTTCCAGCTTCATCCATGTCCCCACAAAGACATGAACTCATCATTTTTTATGGCTGCATCTCGCTGGGGCCTTACGAGCTTACTTTCTCACTATTCACAATAGCAAAGACTTGGAACCAACCCAAATGTCCAACAATGATAGACTGGATTAAGAAAATGTGGCACATATACACCATGGAATACTAGGCAAATCTTTTTAATGTAGAAAGCTTACTTTAAGATTCTCTATTACAAGTTCCTGTAGTGAAAAAACTGAGACCCAGGAAGGTGAAATGCTCAGCCCCACAGCCATACCTAAACTGAATCGGTTCTTAGAAGAACTAAGAGCCAGGTTTCCAGAGTCTAGTGCCCCAGTAGGCATTTGTTGTGATGCTGAGATGTAGATTGACCAGTATTTATATCAGGAGCTGTCACACCCTTATCCATGAGGCATGTTTCTGCACCTTTGTCACTATCAAAGCCGCATCCCAAGATGGAGTCACTCTTCTCCTTCTCTTCTCAAGCTGTTTGACCATGTCACAGAGAGGGAAATCACGCTGACGAACATGGGGAAAGTTGGCTTTGAGTTCAAGGTTCTGACTGACCACCAGTCTTCTCCAGACAACCTTCTCCCTGGAGTGCCACTAATCCTGCCTGTGTCTGTAAGTAAATGGTGGGAGGGGCCCGAATTCAAACCTACGAGCCCCACTCCGAAGCAGGTGAGTATTCACGACCAGGATTACAAGTGTGATTTTTTCTTTTTGTTAAAACTAAAGAACTCTCGGAAGCAGAAAAAAAAAATAAATCCAAGCCACTTCGCTCATTTATTAAACAAATATTTATTTAGTCCCACAGTAACCAGTTTCCAGGCACCAGGGATACAGCAATCAACAAGACAGATGCAACCCATGGATTTTTTTTCCATGATAATGAGACTAATTTATTTCCACCGATGTCTTCACGCTGCCCTTGTAATTCCCGAGGGCTTCCTCTCCACTGACTTCAGCAGGTGTGAAAACACTAGCAGACTGCGCTGAGCCAAACTGGTTTCAGAAGCAAACAGAGAAAGTGGTTCCTTGTTCATATTATGTTGATCTACCAGTTTTAAGGAACATTTGTTGAATTTTTCTCATTATGAAAATAGCACATAATTGTTATTAAAAAAGGAAAATATTTTTAAAGTGTAATTATTCATAATCTTGTAAATCCAAAGATAATGAGCACCATCATCTTTAATGATAAAGTCTGTTCTTCCCCTAAATCATCTCACATATTTGGGTTTACTGCTGGTCTCTTTATTCTTCATTGCTCTGTTTGTCCCTACATTAATACTGTACTATTTTAGCTGCTATGGCTTTAGAAATACATCTTAATATCTGTTAGGTCAACTCCCCTTTTGGTTTTTTTTCCCAATTTGTCTTAGCTAATCTTTTGAATTCACTTTTTTTTTTTTTTTTTTTTTAAGACCATGTCTGGCTCTGTCACCTAGACTGGAGTGCAGACCTCAACTCACTGCAACCGCTGCCTCCTGGGCTCAAGCAATCCTCCCACCTTAGCCTCCCACATAGCTGGGACCACAGGCATGCACCACCACACCCAGCTAATTTTTGTATTTATTGTTTATTTTATTTATTTATTTTTTGTTTTTTAGAGACAGGGTCTTGCCATGTTGCCCAGGCTGGTCTTGAACTCCTGAACTCAAGGTGTCTGCCTGCCTTGGCATCCCAAAGTGCTGGGATTACAGGCGTGAGCCCCATCTCGCCCAGCCCAAATTCACTCTTGTGTTTTGTTTCTCTAACTTTGTGACTTGAATGCCTGCTTTTATTGTTTTTCTTAGTTAATAATGAAAAAATGTAAGACTATTCATTTGCCTAAGGACACCTTTAGCCTTACCCCTTATATTTTAAGAAAATTACAGATAAAAAAGTAGATGACAATTTTTGTGTGTTTTATACATGTTAATATTTACTATTATGATTTTCATTATTTTCTAAGTTGTCTTAAATTATAGTTTTACTTACAAATGTAATTTAAAATATATTTTTCTTTTTTTAATTTCCAAATGATTATGATTTTTGCTTTTGTTACTTATATTGTTACCAATATTGAGGTTTTTTTGAATCACGATCAGATAATATGGCCCTCTAAATTCCTACTTAGTGAATTTATTAATATATTTTAGTGACCTAAAGTAATTTTTAATACTAATAAATGTTTGAAAATAATGTTACCTGGGCTATAGAATCCAGATTATCATATCTGGATTCTCTACTAAATTAACCCAAATAATTATAAGATTAAAATCTTCTATATCTTTTTCTGTTTAATTTTTCTAAGACTCAAGAGTGGTATATAAAACTTTTGTCCATTTCTCTATTGTTTTCTACAAATACATACACCTTTTTGTTTATACCCTTTCGTTTCTGTGTTGACACAGAAGATCTCATGACTATTAAGTGTTCATCATGGACTGTGTGTTCTGTCTACCTTCAATTGCCTTCTTGTTCCCTTTGAATGCTCTTCTTTGAATTCCCCTTTGTTTGGTCTTAATATTGTGATTGCTGCTTTCTTTTTGCCTTACATAATTTGCCCATAGTCTTATTTCATTTTGTTTTAGGCTTATCATTCATAAAACATACTTATTTGGATTTTATTTTTTAATCTTCTCTGAGAGTCCTTAAGTTTCAATAGGAACATTTAACACATTCTTATGATTAGCAAAACTGAAATGCTTGCTATTATTTCTTTCATCGTATCTTGTCTATTTTTTAAATTTACTCAGTGTTTTCTTTCTATTCGATCTTTTTATCATAATTGCTATGTTTTCCTTGCCCTTTTTCTAAAGATTTTTAAGCATTTGAATTTACATTGCTGCAGTTATTGTAAATTGATAACAACTCTATAGAGAATAATTTGGCCTTATCTATCAAAATTATACTTTGACCTAGAAATTTCATTTCTAAGAATTTATTCTACATACACGTTCCCACATTTGCAAAATGATGTGTTTATAAGATTATTTCCTGTATAATCTGTAATGGCAATAGCAAAAGACCAGAAACAAACTAAATGTCTATCAGTAGGAAACTAGTTTTTAAAAATATGTTAAAACTATGTAATGGAATAATATGTAGCAACTAAAAAGGATGGAGCAGCTCTAGATGTACTAATATTGAATTAATCGTAAAATATATTGTTAGGTAAAATGAAAAGAAAAGGAAGACGAAAAACACTCTGTATGCTACCATCTGCATTTAAATATTATATATATATATTGCTGGATTCACTCAGCTAACATTTTACTTACAATTTTTGCACCTTTGTTAAGTGATCGTTGGTTCATAAATTTCCTTCTTCATGCTGCATTTGATCAGTTTGGATATCAGAATAAATAAATGGGCATTTCTCTCTCTTCTATTTCCTGAATGGGTCATAAACTGAAGTGATTATCTGTTTTTGAAGGAATAGCAGAACTTGCTTCCAATGCCATATATTCCTTTGTCAGGGTAATTGTCTTCATTTTTCAGCTTCTGTATAGGATACAGATCACTCTAAGGTTTTTGAGTTTTGTTATTCATATTTTTCTAGGAAATTGTTAATTTCACAAAAATGTTTTAATATATTGACATAAAGTTTTCTCATAATTGTATATGATTTATGTACTATTTTACTATATATTTATGAACGATTTTTCTTTTTTTTTTCTTTTTTTTTTTTTGGAGACGGAGTCTTGCTCTGTCGCTCAGGTTGGAGTGCAGTGGCGCGATCTCGGCTCACTGCAAGCTCTGCCTCCCGGGTTCACGCCATTCTCCTGCCTCAGCCTCCCGAGTAGCTGGGACTACAGGTGCCCACCACCATGCCTGGCTAATTTTTTGTATTTTTAGCAGAGACGGGGTTTTACCGTGTTAGCCAGGATAGTCTCGATCTCCTGACCTCGTGATCCACCCACCTCAGCCTCCCAAAGTGCTGGGATTACAGGCGTGAGCCACCAGGCCCGGCCGAACCATTTTTCTTTTTACATTTTTAGTGACTTTTCTCCTTATCTTCTTAATCAGTCTTGCCAGTTTTGTGTATTTTATTCGTCTTTTTTCAAAGAACCAGTTTGTGGATTTACGAACCTCTTCTGTTTCTTTGCACTCATTTCATTAAATCTCTTACTCCTTTCCTTCTTTTTTTAGGTTTACTTTGTCATTGTTGTTGTTGTTTTAAGTAATTTAATGAGTTGAACCTGTACTGTAGCACATTCGTTTTCCCTTTTCTGGTCTTTCTACCGCGTAGGGCTTTATCAGTTCACATCAAGAGCAGGTATTAAAAGTTTACTACCTACCTGGAGTACCTGAGGTCTTTAAAAGGAGTTTCCAGATACAGATCGCCCACCTGGACCCAGAAAATATCACTCTGAGCGGAGAGGGAATCTTTCCCCAAATCTGCCTCGATCTCCCCAGGAACCTCACAGGTAGTACTTCACACTGGAGTAGTTCCCCACTGGGGACAAAACAAGCATTTTAGCTTTGCTTATTGGAAGATTGCTGGCTACTTACTTTATTTGCTTGGAAATGCCCTGTGGTTCTCTTCCACGTTATTCTGCAATTGCCAAATTGGTGACCTGAGTTTACTGCGACAAGAAATCGTCTATGGCAGCCCCAAGTGAAGAACCCTGGCCAATTTGGCCATTATTGAATTACTGACAGAGGGATCAGGAAATTTACCTCCAAAAGCTTTTCCTCCCCCATGCACTTTCCTTCTGGCCCCAGTCTTTCCCCGAGCTGTCCTTTCCCTGTGACATTCTCCTAGATGCCACTGGGAAGGTAAGAGCCAATGAGCTTCCAGGAGTAGAATTCTCAAAGTATAAACTGCACAGAAAGGCGGACACAGATTCTGAGCCCTTATTTTGGCATTACACAGGGTGAAGGCTAAATTAGACTTGAATAATTGTCTTCCCACTTACATTTCCCAGTTACATCTGGCCCCCAGGACTATCCTTTTGTAGCAGAATATTTCTGTCTTGGCAGATTCCGAACCTCAGCTGAGCAGCCCTTTTAGCCATAGACTGTCTCTGGCTCTTTCTTCCTGACGTCAGGTACAGGACGATGGATCAGGGAAACCTCTCACTCTTTATGAATCTCTATTCAAGCTCCTTGAAATCTACTTTCCCTAAAAAGCTTCAGACTAAGTCCTCCCACCCAGCCTTTCCTGTTACCCCATTCCCTGAAGTTACTAACTCTCCTGTTCATAATCATCCACTGAATTCTAATTGTCTGCTCCCTGAAAACTTGCATATATATATATATAATTTATATTTATATTTATATATATATATAGGCAAGACCCTGTCTCTTTTTTAAAAAGGTCTCGCTCTGTTACCCAGGCTGAAATACAGTGGTGCAATCAGAGCTCACTGTAATCTTAACTCTTAGGCTCAAGGGATCCTCCCGCTTCAGCTTCTTGAGGAGCTGGGACTACAGATGTGCACTGCCATGCCTGGCTAATTTTTTAATTTTTTTTTTTTTATGATAGGATCTTACTTTGTTACCCAGGCTAGTCTTGCATTCCTGGTCTCAAGTGATCCTCCCATCTCAGCCTGCCAAAGCACTAAGATTACAGGTGTTGAGCCACAATGCCTGGCAATAAATGTCACTAATGCTAAGACCATGTTACACTCTCGTATCTAGAGTTCCAGCCAGATGAGGGTTACTCCAGCTCTACATATAATTTCAGGAAGGAAAACCTTTGCTATACGGTTGAAACTGGGCACCCAGCTGGCCTCATCAGGGCAGTAGACATGGTTTGGCCAGTAAGGGCTTTAAAATAATTTAAATTTGAACACCATTAGTTGGGTCTTCTGTTCTCCAGTTCACTACACTCACAGCATTTCCTATTGTTTTATAATAGGCTTTTTGTTTGTTTGTTTGTTTGTTTGTTTGATACAGAGTCTTGCTCTGTCACCCAGGCTGGAGTTCAGTGACGGGGTCTCAGCTCCCTGCAACCTCCACCTCCAGGGCTCAAGCGATTCTCATGCCTCAGGCTCCCCAGTAGCTGGGATTACAGCCACACACCACCATGCCCAGCTAATTTTTTGTAGAGACGGGGTTTTGTCATGTTGCCCAGGCTGGTCTTGAACTCCTGAGCTCAGGCAATCTGCCCGCCCTCAACCTCCCAAAGTGCTAGGATTACAGGCGTGAGCCACCACACCTGGCCTATAGTAGGCATTTTAAATGACTTTCCTACCTTTGCCTTTCAAAGGATTTGAATTTGCACGGGCGTAGTGGTAAATTCGGGTGGGAATCTCTCCACCGATTACCTACCCTCCCTGATTCAGGATAATGTGGCATATTTAGTGTTAATTAAAACAACTTGACCCAAACATATCTTTTGTTAATTGAGATTTAATAAACATAAAAAGTGACTTAAAGGGTGACCGGCTGTCTGGGTTTGTCCAGCACTGGGAGAGCTCCAGGGTGTAGGGGTTTAAGTGCTAGAACCAAGAAAACCCCAAGCAAGCCAGGATCAAGTGGGTCACCCTATGAGTGTCTTCAAATGTAACTAACTTCAAGTTCTGGAGAACTAGCCAGTCCTTCACTAAAGCACAATCTCATTGAACTCAGTGAGGTCTCTAATACAGATTCAACTCTCACATCACCTCACCCTCTGAAGCAGGGAAAGCGGGGCAGACAAAGTATCCAAAAGTCCACTTCCCTTCCCACCTTACCAGGAGCTGAGGGTCTGTGTTTGCGACATCATTCATATTTTTCTGACCTTCCTGATTCTGCTCTCCTTCCAACCCCCACTCCCCACCCTGGTACAGCAAATGAAAAGTATGAAATGTTCTTGAATCAAGCCAGGAAAAACACAGACAAAGAGTATAACAAATGTGAAATGCTCGATCACTTTGACATAATAACTGAGGAAGTGCCAGAAGACGAGCCTGCTGAGGTAAGACAGCTCCAGCCTGCACGGGACGCCTGTGCAGGAGGGTGGTGCGTGCAGAGTGCATAGGAGTTGTGTGCAGAGGGCACTGTGTGCACAGTGTGTGGGGTGTGTGTGCAGAAGGGCACTGTGTGCAGAAGCCCAGGGGCAAGGACATGGTCTCTGAGGTACAGAAAAGAGAAAGACAGAGATAAGGCAAAGAATCAGGAAGCTAGGAGAGGCAAGATGAGCCCAGGAGGTGAGGTATCAGATGGCTGATCTATTAAGGTTTTTGGACTTCATCCTGAGGGCAACGAGAGGTGTGGCCCAATCGACTTTGCATCTTTAAGAGATCCCTCTGGCTGCCATGTGGAGCTTTGAGGGGACAGGAACTTGGGGATGATGAGAGTAGATTCGAGAGATCAGTTTTTTTAGAAGCTGACGGAGGGCCAGGTGCAGTGGCCCATTCCTATAATCCCAGTACTTTGGGAAGCCAAGGATGGCCTGAGGCCAGGAATTTGAGACCAGCCTGGACAACATGGTGAAACTCCATCTCTACAGTTTTTTTAAGCTGATGGAGTCATTCTAGGTGAGAGATGGTGGTGCTGTAAGCAATGGTGATGACAGTGGGGACAGGGCGAACTGGGTGGGTTCAAGGAATATTCCAGAAGTGGAATGGTCAAGACTTAGGGATTGATTGGATATGGGCATGGGGTGGAGGGGACCTCTAAGTCTTGCTTGGATGACGGGGTAAGGAGGGGGACTGAGACAGGCAACTCAGGAGGAGAAGCGAGGTCTTGGTGGGAGGGGAGGGGAGGGAAAGGAGTTCAGCTGTTTCCCGTGGCTACCGAATGTGAGATTTCTGTGCATCATCTGCGTAGAGCAGCCAGTAGGGAACCGGAGCCACTGCTGGGCACCTCGGGGAGAGAGAGAGGTTGGAGAAGGTGACTTGAGAGTCATCAGATGATCATTGCAATCACAGGAAATGGGGAGATTCCCTAGGAAGTATGTCTAGTGAGCAGGAAAAAAGGCAGATTCAGAATGTAGCCCCAAAATACCCCAGCATCTGAGTGGGGGAGAGGGGTGGCCAAAAGATTCTGGAAAAGTCAGGAGCATGTGGTGCCACAGAGGTGGGAGCCAAGCGAGGGTCTCTGGAGGAGAGAGCTTCTCAGCTTGTAAATAAAGGCTGGGATAGGAAGACAAAATCCCAATATATCCTCCCTCATCACCCCTGAAAGTCCTGTTTTAAAAGTCTATTCCTGACCCTGACAGCTGCCAACCCCGCTGCTGTTCTTTCCAAATGCAAATGTGCATGCGAATATTGTTCTAAGGAAGAATCATATATGTGGCTAGAGAGCCCTTAGGTTGGTTAAGAGGGGGCTCTAATGTGGGGGAGAAAGGTGTCATGGGGGAGACAGGAAGCACCAAAGCCCACCGGGGATTATTTGTTTTGCAGAAGGCTGGTTCAAGTACAAGATGCTAAAAGTGAACCTTAGCACCAAGGATGATCATAATTAATAACATCAGTTACCATTTATTGGACTCTTATACTAAGCCTGTGCCATACTGTTAACCTGTACTGTTATCTTGTTAAATCCTCCCACAATGAGGGTGGGGGGAGAATGGTGCTGCTGTCATCTAAATTTTAGTTTTACAGAAGTGAAGTGCATGTCCCAAGGCAAGCACAGAGCTAGGATTTGAAACCAGGCCTGCCCAGCTGCTAAGATGGTGCCCTTAGCCTCTGCCTTCTCCTGCCAGCCCCGGGCTGCCCACTGGACGCAATGATGTGTCTCCACCTGCTTATTGGGTTCCCAGGCTGCACCTTATCAAAGCCTAGGAGAGCAGTGGGGTGGGGTTTCTGTGAATATGATGGTACGTGCAGAGCCAAGCTGGTTCCCTTGAGTAGGGCAGAGTGGACCACTCATGGCTCAGGAGCCAAGCACAGAGTTGGCTTTGCTGCTCTAGAATCCAGACAACTGGGAAGGCTGTCAGCAGACGCTGCTCCTCTCCCAGTTTGTCACACTTCCACTCTCACCTCCTGTGCCTCACTGTGGGCCATGGCACACATTAACCTTCCCTGCTGGGCCTAGACTTAAGGATTAGCCCTTTTCAAATAGTATTTCTCAACCTTTTCCATTATCACTCCCTAAAAATCCATTTTAGACCTTTTTTCCTAATATTCCCCATGAAATATTTTTATTTATTATATACAAAATGGAATCTCCTTGAATAGTTTGACATATACTTTTTAACTTTTTATTTTGAAATAATATATTTACAGGGAATTGAAAAAAAAAGGGTTTTCCCAGCAGTAACGTCTCGTATAACTATAGTACAACATCAAATCCATGAAATTGACATTTGTACAAGCCACAGAGCTTATTCAGATTTCACCACTTTTACATGCATGTGTGTATGTGTGTGGTGTAGTTCTGTGCAATTTTATCACATGTAGATTTGTGAACCCACCACCGCAATTAAGATCCAGAACTATTCCATTACCACCAAGATTCCTCGTGCTTCTTGAGGAAATAAAATTAAAAACAAAATCTCCCTCCAACCCAGAAAATCTATCCACAAAGGTAGAAGAGAAAGAAAACAATTTTATTATTGAATAAGTATTAAACCAGAATGTGATGCCCATCACAGGCAATCTGCTGAGAGATTGCAAAGACAGAAGGAAGTCTGCCCCTCCTATAGAGCCAACCAGATCCAAGCCTTTTCATTCCTGTTCTCAGAGTAAAAAATAGCTAGTCTCAAGTAAGAGGACTTGACACCATCATTTGTCACACATAGTTTATCCTAAATCGACATGGTAATTGAGGTGACCAACTGTGTTAGCTAATTGGCTTTATCCAAAGGAAAAACAAACTTGTCTTTCTAGCAGGGCCCCATGGAAGCTAGGCTCCCATCCTCTCACAGAAACTGGGAGTAGGGACTTCACCTTTCTTGTTGATTACGTGTCAAAGAGATGGTTCCCAGGTCCTTGAGAAAGACACTTCTGGCTCCTAAAGCTGGCAAGAGGCTTATTTCACTTTTAAAAAGATTTATCTACATTTCAAAGCGATAACATTTCAAAGAACTTAAAATTACAAATGTTCTAAACTAAATACTCTAAGGGGAGGAAGAGAAGTCTCTTCCCTTATTTTCAACAAGGAGAACTAAGCCTCATTTTCCATTTGTGTTTGGCCTTACATGTGCCCAGGTTATAACCACATCCACCCCTCTCTCCCTGTCCCTTACCTCTGGCAGCCACTCATCTGTTCTCCATCTTGAGCCTTTTGTTATTTCAAGAATGTTATATAAATGGAATCATACAGCACATCGCCTTTTGAGATTGGCTTTTTTCATTCCACATAATGCCCTTGTAATCCATTCAAGTTATGCACCTCAATAATTCATTCCCTTTTACTGCTGAGTATTCCATGGTGTGGATATACCGATTTGCTTACCCTTCCCACGCCCTTCCCAGGAAAAATGTAATGCTTTAAACATACCATGTATCTGTTTATGTTCTGTGGCTCTTTGGGGGCCGCAAACCATTGTAATATTTAAGATATTTTCCACCACCCTCCAAGAACTAATTTTTGCCTCTTTAGGGGTGGTATTGTCCCTGTTGAGAATGCATGTTCCTAAAGAATTTGCTGACTTGCTCTTCCTTCTTGCTTCAGGTAAGTGCTCATCTCCAGATGGAGGTAGAAAGACTTATAGTCCAAAGCTATGTCCTAGAACATCAGAAAACAACCACCCCTGATCCTATGGATGACCCCTGCTTCAGCCATCGGAGTCGCCGCAAACTGGCCAAGTGAGTGGTTTCCAGTGACTGCCTTTCTGTGCTGTGCTTGTTTCAGAGTGTAGCAGAGCAAGCAGTGCTGCCTCGTGCAGCACACTCCCGGAAACACTGGCTGATCACCTCGCAATGAAATCCACTCTCCTCACTTATCCGCCATCCCCTAGCATCAAGCCAACTGGGCAGCTTTCTGCCTCTTAGAGTGAGAACATTATAGCTATGTCTAATGGACAGGCTTCACTTCAGGTCCATAAGGGCCCATGCTGAACATGTTCTGAGATAATGGCCAAAACAGTGGTGTGAATCTCTGGGGGAGTTAACGTTGTTTCTAGTCTCCATTTGGGTAGCCATTTGTTGTTCTCCACTCTGGAGAATAAAACTGTGCACAGGAGGTAGAAAAAAAAAATCAGACTCACTCACTTTTGGAAAAGTAGCCTTCCAGGTTTGAAAGTGACTAGTAAGGTCTATTAACCATTTCAGAATCCAGCTACCAGAGTACATCCTGGACTTTGGCTACATCATCCTTGGCGAAGTCCGAACCCACATCATCAAGATCATCAACACCAGTCACTTTCCAGTGTCATTCCATGCAGACAAGCGTGTCCTTCATGAGACAGGTACCCAGGCTGGGGAGACCCTTTCCTATTGCACTTGGTCATTTCTCTCAAGGAACCCATCAGTACTGTCCTCCTGGAGCAGCTTTTGTGCCTCTGGGATCAGCTAAAAGGATTCTTGGGCTATTCAGTGATCCTCTGAGCAGTCATTCTGACCCAGTGGGGGCTTTCTCTAGAGCAGCTCTTGTTTGCTGTTTCTCTTTTCCATGAAGAAATTTTTTTTTGTCTTGGTCCAGGATTCAGTACTGAGCTAGATCGTGTAAAGAATCTACCTCATTGTGAAACGGAAATATTTGAAGTGAGATTTGACCCACAGGGGGCCAATCTTCCTGTTGGAAGCAAAGAAGTCATTCTGCCCATCAAGGTACAAGGCACCGCTGGGCCCACCCGGACCTGCAGGTTTCCAGCTCTGCTTGCTGATGGCCCCTGGGATAATCCAGTTATTATGTCAGAGCCATGATTCTTCCTTTCCCCAACCCCATGACACATGATAACTGCAGTTTATACCCTCTCTAGGTGGTTGGAGGGCCAACAGTTCACATCTGTCTCCAAGCCAAGGTGACCATTCCAACCATGACTCTCTCTCGTGGAAAAGTGGACTTTGCCACAATTCAGTGTGGACAGTGCCTGGTGGAAACTATTCAGCTTTCCAATCATCTCCAAGTCCCTTGTGAATGGTTCGTCCAGAGCCAAAAGCCTGTTGACAAGGTAAATGAGCTGTGGCCCATTGGTCCTCCTTTCTCCATCTCCATTGCAGCCAGATTTGTAACTCTAGGTCTTGGCGCTCATCATTTCAATCTCCTGCTCAAAGACTTTCAGTGGCAACCATTGCCTCCTGAATAAAACCTGGGCCCTTAGCCCAGCGCTTGAGGTCCTATCAGGCCATGCTGTCGGGTGGAATGTCTTATTCATCTTTGCACCTCTGGTATCTACACATTCCCCGACACCTGAGAGGTACTCAGGAAATGTGGGTTGTGTGAGTGGAAGGTGAATGAGCTCATTTTCCATAGAAGATGATCTAATTCTCTAATATTTATAAACCAGCTGGAGAAACACATGCCGAAGTACTTAAGACAGAAACTACGCGCTGAATTAAAGCCAAAGACACGGATCTTCGAAATCCAGCCCATTTCTGGAGTCTTGGATCCTGGTGAGAAGTCCAACGTGCAAGTGAAATTCATGCCAAAAGAAGAGGTGAGCTTTAAAGAAATATGGCTTCATTTAGATTCTCTGGACCTCTTTGAGCTTTACTCAAAGTCCATGCTTGTTTGGGTCTCAAGGGAAGCTTCGAGTGACCTGTGCCTTGCTTTTCTGAATATGGCATCTCAAGCACTTCTGGTTCACATAGGAGCTGTGTGGCCTGGTGGTCTGGAATCATTGGACTAACACATCAGTTTTTATCAGAAGGCCTGGGTTAGTAGCCTTCTGCCTCTGCACACTTACATGCTGTGTGTCTTTGAGGAAATTACTTAGCCTCATTCAGTCTCAGTTCACTCATAGATAAAAGAAAAAATAGTCATGTTGCATATCAGAAGTCCTTATTGAAATTCTGAAACCCAGTAAGATCCAAAACTGGGGGTGGGGGGTTTGAGATTTCATAAGCTTCGCACTAAAACTCATTTGGCAGAAAAATCTCATCTGAACTGACATGACACCATTTAACCTTTATTTGTACAACTTAGTTTTCAGAGTCAAACATTGCCAACAACTGTTAATGTGTTTGATTACAGGGGACCTGCCCCAGACCCTGCTGAGGGTATTAGGTAACATAGGGTATATGCACTGTGTTTACTATTTGAAAAATCTGAATTTGAAAGTATCTGGCCCCTGGGTTTCAGATAACTTATTGTCAACCTGTAATGACTACCTCCTAAGGTCATTTTGAAGATTAAATGCACAGTATTGAATAAAGTACACAGTGTGCTGCTCTATGTAAGTAAATCTCTCAATAACTATTAACTATTATCATCAGTAGTCGTGAAAAGTACGTCCCAGTAGATGGCCTCCCGGAGCCTCATAAATGTTTCTTTTGTGAACATAATCAACTCAAAGCTACTTCTGACCAGGAACATAATAAAATTAATAAAATCCTCGAACCAGAGAATCTCAAGAGGTTGCACTGTAAAGACTTTTATTCAAAGCCTAAGGCACTTGGGAAATATATTTTTCTCTATTCTGTTATTTTAAAAGAAAAATTGATTTGTGTTTTATAGAAGAGCTATGGTTAACTCCCATTTTCCTTGTAATCGCTTTGAGGAAATGCTTAAGCACCTTCAGTGAGAAAGAGAAAAAGCAAATGACTTCCTATCTCATTCTAAAATAAAACCCATGTTTTTATCATTATCAAAATCTTCCCAGTCCATTTAAAAGAAAATTAGTAATATGTTTGTCATTCTTAAAGAGTCTTAAAATTTTCAAAGGGTTTACTCAAGATTGTGGATTTTTTTTCCATTACTTAATGAGGGAAATATAGTAAAAAAAAAAAATAGATTTGTTCAAGCAGTTTCATGAATGTTGAGTTGGAATTGGTCAAAGTTAGTAAAATGTTTCCACCAATTAAGAGAGAAATTTATTAGCTGTATACAAGGAATTGGTTAGCCCTGCAACCCATACGATCCATATATCTGCATCATCATCAACATCAGCAGCACCAAGAAATCAGTGACATCCACACCAACAATTCTTAGGCATGATAACATGTTCAAGAAAATGAATGAAATGTTTTAGAAAGATTTCCATAAGGAGCAATTAAAATACAGAAGTTTGAATCATAAGGTACTAAGCCCATAACTATAGAGAAACCCTTCTTAGCCAGTAATTTATCTTTTTGTGTCCAGAAATAGATATTTCTGTGTGTATGTCTGTATACATTCCATCCATTTGCTTTTTCCCCTTCAAGCTAAGATAGGAGGTCTTCAGATTGTGATTTGCGTAATTTCCTCTCAAACCAAGCTACAAGTCCAGCTATACCAGAATAACCTAGGCATCTGGTTAAAAATGCTGAATCCCAGCCTTACTCTGCCCCTACAGAGTCAGGATTTCTAGGGATGGAATCTGAGGATCTGCATGTTTAATAGGTTCCCCAGTGAAATCAGACTAGGAACTATGGGATGCAATGTAGATTTGGGTACCATTTTGAGAAAACATGTGAGTAGTTATGATATCACTATTAACCAGTATCTGGTTGTAATTGTATCTGATGAACTGAATGCCCCAGCTCTGGCATTCTGCCAAACTCTGGGAAAATACACAAAGTACACACTTCAGAATCATCACTCCTCAGGAGCAAGGGAGCTGGGGTCTTTTTACCGTAAATCCCCAGAGTCATTGCTTAATAACTAATTCCAGATGGTATCATTTCCCTGGCATTTTTGCCCTGCCCTCCCCTGCCCATGGACAGCAGGTTCCATGAAATGAGAACCTTCAGGCCCAGAGATGCAGACAGTGGCAGCTGGAAGTCTGAGCACACTGGAAGATTTGAGGGATGTGAAAGTGATACTCAGAGGGCTTGCTACAAACGATGAAGCACTTGGTACAAGTGCTAGAATGCTAGATACCCAGAATTTATTTGATATCTAGCACTTGGTACAATGCTTGGCATGCTAAATACCCAGTACTTATGTTAATTCGGTAATAAAAATTACTCTTATGCAATTTTATAATAAGTTTTCTCCCTTAATCTAAATAGATAAGTTTTTTCCCCTCAGCAGTGTTTTGTTTTACATGACATGTAATGGAAATAAACTCAGATGCTTGTTTTGTTTTTATGTTTTCCAGAAATTCTACAGCCAAACCCTGGTGTTTCAGATTGCCCAGAGTGCTCAAAAGCTTACCCTCCTGGCACGTGGGCAAGGTCTAGAGCCACGCCTGGAATTTAGTCCTTCAGTCCTGGATCTGGGGCCACTGCTACTTTGTGCACCTGGAGACGAGGCCGAGGTGATAGTGAAGAATCCCTGCAACTTCCCCATTGAGTTTTATTCCTTAGAATTTGATCAGCAGTATCTCATAGAAGAAAAGGTGAGCAGAGGTCAAACCAAACTGTTTTTCTACACGTTCCCATCTTTTTCCCCTTGAATTCTTCCTTGTCAATTTAGTGATTACTTCCCTATAGCCTTTTCTGACCTACTTCCCTTGACCTGAGTAAAATCCTAGACATTTTAAGCAACTAATTGAAAAGCTAATGCATGTTCATGGTTAAAATTCCAACAGTAAAGAACCGTATATAGCAACTTGTCAATATCATTGTATTTGAAGTTGAGTTACTTGTAGACAGCATGTAATTGGGTCATTTTAAAAAATATGCTATCAGTCTCTAACTTTAGTTGATATATTTAGACTTTAGTTGATATATTTAGTTTACATTTAGTGTAGTTATTGCTATTTCAGGACTTAAGTCTGCCATTGCATGTTTTATTGTTTTTTGGAATTTTTTGCTTTCAGGAATTTTTTGTTTACTTTTTCCTACTTTCCTATCAGTTGCTTCAACATTATTTAAAATTCCATTTTTATTTACCCAGAGTGTTTTTTGGGTGTATCTCTTTGTATAGCTCCTTTAGTTATTGCTGTAGGTATTACATTATCTATACATAACATTATAATCATTGACTGTCAATGATTAAATGTCAATCACTGGTATTGACATTTTAGCAGTTCTAGTGTATTTAGAAAACTTTCCTCCATTTAACTCCCTTCAGCCTTCCGATTTTTAATATAACTGTCTTAAATATTTTTCTTATATTAGCTAGCACTATAATTATTGTTTCAACTGTCAAACATACATTTGAAGACCCCAGAGGAAAGAGAAAATGTATTATATTTGTCTCTCTTTTTACTCTTTCTGTTCTTTCTTCTTTTCTGATACGCCAAGATTTCTTCTTTTATTATTAACTTTCTGTTTAGAGAGCTACCTTTAGCTCTGTTGTTAGGGTATGCCTGCTGATAGAAATTTCTTAGTTTTCCTTCATCTGAGAATGCCTTGACTTCCCCTCTCATCCTTGAAGGATTTGCTCACTGGATATAGAATTCTGAGCTGACAGTTCTTTCATCCCTTGAAATATATGCCACTTTCTTCTGGCCTCCATGGTCTAATGAGAAATCCAATGTCATTTGAATTATTTTTTTTCCTCTGTAGGGAAGATTTCATCTCTCTCTCACTGCTTTCAGGAATTTTTCTGTGTCTTAGTTTACAGAAGTTTGACTATAATGTGTCTTGGCATAAATTTCTTTGGTTTATTGATTTTGGGATTTGCTGAGTTTCTTGAATCTGTTGATCTTTATCTTCTTTCCAACTTGGAAATTTTTCAGGCATTATTCAAGTACCTTTTTCAGCCTCATGCTCTTTCTACTCTCCTTCCAGGGCTCAAATGACACTCATATTTTGTTTTGTTACAGTTTTACAGTTCTTTGAGGCTCTTTTCTTTTTTTTAAGTCTATTTTCTCTGTTATCCAGAGTAAGTAATTTCTATTATTTTATCTTCAAGTTTGCTGATTTTCTTCTCCATCCATTTCATTCTGCCCACATATTGAGTTTTTATTTTGGTAACTATATTTTTACGTTCTAAAATTTTCATTTGGTTCTTTTTTATATCTTGTGTTTCTTTGCTAAGACTTTCTTTTTTTTATTTGCTTCAAGTATGTTCATAATTGTTCACTAAAGCATTACAATGATGGCTGCTTTAGAATCTTTGAAAGATAACTAATATCACTATTACCTTGAAGTTGATATCTATTCATTTTCTTTTGTCATTCAAGCTGAAGTTTTCCTGGTTGTTACTATGATGAAGGATTTTTAGTTAAAACCTGGGCGTTTTTGGTATTATGTTATGAGACTCTGGACCTTATTTAAATTTTGTTTTAACTGGCCTTTTCTGAAATGACTTGGGCAAGGAGAAGGGGGCACTGCCTTCTTACTGCCAGATGCAGGTAATAGTCTAGGTTCCCTCCTTGGCCTTCTTTGACAAACAGTAGGAGGAGCTCTTCATTACTGCTGGGCAGGAGTGGTATTTCTGGCTCTCCGCAAGGCCTCCATTGATACCTTCCTGGCTGGGAGGGGCAGGAGTGCCTTGTTACTACTCTCCACACGGACTCCACTGACTCTGCATGGAAAAATAGAGGGGTAGCCGTACTACCCAGGACCACTGGGTAATGACAAAAGTTCTGACTCCCACTAGACCTCAGCTGACACCACCCCAGCAGAGGGGAGGAGGGGCATTTCTTTACCACCAGATGGACGTGGAAGTCCAGGCTCCCTACATGGGCTTTACTGACAGATTTGGGGGGAGGTGAAGTCTTGTTACCCACTGGCAGGGAGGACACTCCTAAGATGTCCCAGACTTGACGGGTTCATTTCCTGCCCAGACCTGGAGTCAATCATTTCTCCAAGGAGCCCTTGTTCCTTTTAGTATGAAATAGCATTTAGAGATCACAGTCTGGACCACTGGATTGTGACTTTCTAGGTCTTTTTAGTAAATAGAATTAGGAAATGTGATTTTTAAGAGGGGAAAAAAATCATAACACATAATGATGTTTCAAATTCCAATTTAAGATTATAGGATTTTATCTAAATTCTTCAATGATACATTTGTTTCTGCTTTCTCTTGAAAATCATGGATATAAACTTACTTATCAATTTATCTTATAAAATATACATTTAGCCAGGCACAGTTGTACACACCTATAATCCTAGCATTTTGGGAGGCCAAGGCAGGAGGATTGCTTGAGGATTGAGTTTGAGCCCAGCCTGGGCAACATAGCAAAACCCTATCTCTACAAAAAAAAATACAAAATTCTTTGGGAGGCCAAGGCGGGTGGATCACAAGGTCAGGAGATCGAGACCATCCTGGCTAACACGGTGAAACCCCGTGTCTACTAAAAAATACAAAAAAAAAATTAGCCAGGTGTGGTGGAAGGCGCCTGTAGTCCCAGCTACTCAGGAGGCTGAGGCGGGGGAATGGCATGAACCCAGGAGGCAGAGGTTGCAGTGAGCTGTGATCGCGCCACTGCACTCCAGCCTGGGCGACAGAGCGAGACTCTGTCTCAAAAAAAAAAAATACAAAATAATTTAGCTGGACATGGTGACACATGCTTATAGTTCCAGCTACTCGAGGGGCTGAGGTGGGAGTTCAGTTGAGCCTGGGAGGTCGAGGCTGCAGTAAACCAAGATCATACCACTGCACTCCAGCCTGGGTGACAGAGTGAGACCCTGTCTCAAAATAAAATAAAATAAGTAAATTAATAAAATAGCTTCAAAATAGTAATATCAATATTCCTACTAACAGTAAGGCTACTGAGTCATATTATCCATAAGCATGGTGAGGCCTCTGTGCTGTGTTCCAGCAGCTCCCCCCAAATCCACATCTCATGCTCCCACCCTGCTGCCCTACCTTGAGCTACACCTTTGTCTAATAACCTTAGTGCCGTGCTCTTTGAAACGGCCTCTTAATTCCCTCTTGTGAGCAATATTAAAATTAGCTAGTAATCTCTTTTTCCTTCTCCCCTTTCCATCCTCTAATTTAAAATGATTTTATTTCCAGTTAATACCAGCTGAGTAGTCATCTCATGTACCCTTCCCCCATATTTCCTACTTGTATTTTATCTATATTGTCAGAGCTTATAGTATTAAGGTATCAGGACTTAATTTCCATCATGGAGTCTTAGTTTTACACTAAGACATATTGAATGCCCAACACCAATCCTTACAGTGGAGCTTCTCCAATCACTTCTGGGTTGTCTACAGCTCATTCTCTGGTGGATTTCTCAGGCAGAGATCATGGGAATGACATTCTCTGAGTATTCAAACATTCGTAACCATTTATCTGTGACTTTTGAAGATCAGATACAATTTTCTTGGCTTACATTTTCTTCACTTGACTATTTTAAATATGTTGCTCCATTGTTTCCTCATAAGGTATTCTTGTCCATGAAGCCCAACGCTATATTTGTTATCTTTTGCTGCATAACAAATTAGCCCCAAACTTACCAACTTAAAACAATAAACATTTGTCATCTCGTGCTTTCTGTGGGTCAGAAATTTGAAGGTGGCTTAGCTGAGTGGGGGTTCTGCTTCCTCTGGACCCTCCCCCACTCAGCCTTTGAATCTTCTGTCTTCTTTACTTCCAGTGTTGATAGCCTGCTTAGTTTGCAGTCTGCTCCCAGAAGTTTTTCTCAGAATGGGAATCTGCCCCTTTGGGGAGAGTCTTTTCATTAGGAATTTATGAGATCCTTAGTGGCTTCTGTTGGCACAGCACCTTCTATCAAGAGTCAGGCTCTGTGGAAAGCACAATCTAAGACTTGAGATTTGCATGTGGGAGGTTTCTTGAGGGCACTCTCAGGAACATCTGTGAAGAATAGGACAGCAGAGTTGGGCAGAGGGAGATGAACTGTGATGAGATGGCAATGGAGACTTCAGCTAATCGCACAGGAAGCTCTGGGGCTGGGTTGGCCCTTTGGAGTTGCCCCAGTTGCTGCTTGTTTGCCAGGCCTTTGTGCCCTGTATCAGCCAGGCTTTGGCATATTGCCTCCTTTGCCCACAGATTCTCTATGCCATCTCTATGCTTTATCACAGTTCCATAAATAAATGGGTCAATTCTGAGCTCTCTCTTCTATTTCAGTGGTCAATGTGTCTTTCCCAGCATCATTGCCACTCTGTCTATTACTACAGCTTCCTGATAAGGCTTGTCATCTGGTAGGGCAATAGCCTTCTTTTATTCCTTTTCATTAATGCTTTAATTTTGCCCTTCCATGTAAATTCTAAAATTTACATGGATCTTATTTTACATGGAGCCTATTAGCAGTGGTGTTCAAATATTTACATGGAGCTTATTAGCAGTGGTGTTCAAATAACTAAAAATGGGGATCCTGAAGAAGGGTTACCTAACAAAACAGATTTTTGATACCAATAAATCAGGTTGTAGAAGAAGTAAATGCTTTTTAAAACTTAATTTTGCTGTGTCTTATAAATACACATACACACTAGGATTGCCAGATTTAGGAGAAAAAAATACAGGCTGTCTAGTTAAATTTGAATTTCAGATAAATAACAAATATTTTTTAGTATGTCTCAAATATTACACTGGACATATTTATACTAAAAAGTTATTCATTGTTTATCTGAAACTCAAATTTAACTAGGCATCTTGTATTTTATCTGGCAGCCCTAATACACATTCACACACATGTGCACACATACACGTACTTAATACTATTTTACCTCTTTTTTTCCCCTGGATCCTCTGTTTATGAGACCACACCCTTGCTTAATGTAAAATTGCTAACCACAATATTGTTGGTAAGAATGAATTGTCACTCAAGGTAGATAATGGAGTTCTGAAATTTTGTCATGGGGAAGAAAGGAAAAGAGTGTATATTAGTTTTAAAACAAGAAGAAAACATATTTCCACAGGTGAAATGCCCAGGCTGAAATGGAGCAAAATAAAGATCATGTATCCCCACAGGCTCAGAGCTCAGCCCTACTTCTGACACCTCTCCAAAGGGCCCCACTCTTTGAAATCCAGAAAGTATTTGTACAAGTCTCAGCCTCAGGCAGGAGCAGGAGTTTTATAAAATCAGTGAGCAGACCCACTTAGAGCTGCAGGGAGATTTCTAGTGAGACCAACAGGATTCTCTTTCTCCCCTCGAGCAGATCTTGCGGAAGCTGAAGGGCTATGATTCCTACAACACCCTGCTGCTGCCTCCCCGCAACCCTGGGGAGAAGCTGCCCCCAGAACTGTACGAGTACTTCAAAGAGATAAAGAAGTCAAAAGAGGAGCAGATGAGGGCGAAATATCTGGAGAATCTGGCACAGGAGAATGGTGAGAACTCAATGTGGAGAACACCTCATGCTAACCATTGCCTTTGCCCCTCTGAATTACCCCTGCTCTGGGACCAACCTGTTTCTGAGTACCTGCCAGGTGCCAGGCAGGTGCTGCCTGCCTTGTGTATTTTATTTCTAACCCTTACAAAATGGGTCGCGTTATCCCCATTTTATGGATGCAGAGGCTGGAACACATTCTGCTGTCACTAGGGCCCAATTGGGGTAGTATGACCTAAAAACAGCTAATACAGATGGAAGAACACTTGCTGGATGCCACGTTGAGGGCTTTGGACGTACAGATGAGAAACTGAAGCGCAGAGAGGCCAGGTCCACAGTTTTAAGTGGCAGAATCAGGATTCCAGCCCAGGGCTCTCTGACTCCAGAGTCCATGATGGTAACCACTGCTTCCTATGGGTAGACCTAGGTAAGGCAAAGTAATGTGTCACACAAGGTAGAAACTGGTGCCCTAAAAGCAGGGGGTGGGCATTCACACAAGCAGAAGACGAGCCCCTCCATAGTCCTCAGGCCAAACTCCAATCGCAGAGCTGTCCTGTGCTCTCAGAATTGTGCCCTTTCTGGCCCACCACCCCTGAGTTATCCCATCATCTGCCCAGGGGCTCTTGTGTGCTTGGCCATAAAGGTTCCTCGCTGACTTGTGGGACTGTGTCACTTATGAGGATGCATCTTCTCTTTCCTGCTTCTCTGTAACCTCATCTTAGAAATGTACCCACCTTGTTTTTACTTGCTTTCATCTGTGTAACAGTCATACACGTAATTATTTTCTTCACAATGCCTCCACCACTAACCAAGAAGTCCCCGTAAAGGCATTGATCAAATATTCCCCATGTGTAAAACTAGTGCATGGAACAGCAGTAGACCCAATAGTGCCCAATAAATGGGTGCTATGTGAGTGAATGCATTAATGGATTGAATGAAGTTATTTTTCCTGCCCTTGGACCTGTCTCATTGTCCAGGAAATAGAAGCTAATCAGAGACCACTAGTTTGGCTTAAAAGGAGAAGATGAGAGAAGACAGCTGCCACCCACCCCGTCTCCTAGTCACGTTCCTTGAGTTTGCTAGGGCTGCCATTGCAAGTACCACACACTGGGTGGCCTAACCAACAGAAGTTTCTTTTCTCCCAAATCTGAAGGCTAGAAGTCCAAGGCTGAGTGGCAGCAGGGTTGCTTTCTTCTGAATCCCATCTTGCAGTTGGCTGTCTTCTCCCTGTGTCTTCACCTGGTCTTCCTTCTGTGTGTGTCTGTGTCCTAATCTCCTCTCCTCATAAGGACACCAGTCCTACTGGATTGGGACCCACCCATGTGACCTCATCTTACCTTAATTACCTTTTCAAAGGTCCTATCTCCAAATGCAGTCACATTCTGAGATACTCGGGTGTTAGGACTTCCACATATGAATTGGGAAAGGACACCATTAAGCCCATCACAAGGACCCACTGTGTTGCAAGCACTGAGCTAAAGTGGTGGGAAAAAAAAATTAGTGAAAAAAGTGCCGGGGAAAAAAAAATCAGAAAATGCAATGAATCCTTACCTTTGAGAGCTCACAGTCATGAAGAGAGTGTGAGGAGAGACACACCATCAGAGGGACTGCCCAGCAGCCCAAGGCAGGGCAGCAAGGGCTGCAATGTACAAAGGACCTCCCAAAGGCAGAGAAGGCCTTGGTGCTCCCCTTGTCGTCACACACCATGTTTGTGGGCTCCCTTACCCATCTGGCCCAATGGAAGGTGATCTAAGCCAGGATCAGTGGGTGCAGAGGGAACCCAGAAAGGCACACGCCCTGCTTCTCACCAGTGCCTCTCTGATGAGCTTTGTCTACTCGCTCTGCTCTCACGCTATAGATCATCCTTCTCTGCTTCCCTTCCTTCCAGGGAAGGCCCACAGCCCCAAGTCACAGGACCACCATTCATGAGAGAGCTGCAACCCCTCAGGCTCAATTTCTACCTTGTGTGACAAAGGGAATGTCTTGCCCTGTAGTAGAGGGGGATCACCTCATACAGTCACAGCCCACTGCACCCCTGAAATGCTATAGAACAATGGGCAATCAATGAGGAAGGTGTTGGGCCAACGAAAGGATAGCTGTCCCTAACAATGACACAGGAAATGGTCATGATAAATTAAAAGGGAAAGCAGGCTACACATCAGTATGTACAATATAACCCCAAGCTTAGTTTCAAACAATTAAAAATTAAAAATCTGAGAGGTTGCAGCTCTCCTGTGCTGGTATGATAAAATTTGGTACAATTTCTCTGTCACTATTTCTTTGTCTATCTCCAACTCTTTTTGTAGCTGAATTCCATCATTTTTGGCTCTTCTGAGTTTTCCACATTTTCTAAGCAAATGTATAATTTTAGTTGCTAAACAAATGTTAAAATGTAGAAACACTGTGCACAGAGAGACTGAGGAATAGCCAACTGACTGCAGTTCTTGTTTATTTGGGTTGAATGGTCCAGGGTGATGGGAGCCCGTATGGTGAATCTCTTCTTCATCTTTTTTTTTCCTTTTCTGCCTCCATCTCCCTTGTCCCCCTCCCAACTCTTCCCCTGGTGTTTTCATCCTTTGCTACCTGGCAGAAGAGGAAGATATAACCTCATCAGATCAGGGAACCTCCAATAGCACAAAGAGGACATCGCTGAGCCGAGGGATCTCTGTCACATCCAACCTGGAAGAATGGCACGCCCTGTTGGTCGAGTCCAAAACCTACCTAGAGGAAGAGGAGGATGAGGAAAGCCTGGAAAAAATCATTTTCCAAAGTAACCGAGCATTTTAGTGTTTTGATACTAGTTCTCTCCAAGCAGAAATAGGAAGACAATATTCAGTACCTTGTCACTTTCTCTAAGCCTCCTCGTATGGCTCCTAGCCCATCCTGCCCTGCCCACCACAGCTGCCCTCCGGAGAAGCTCTGATCTGCCACTCACAGTAGGATACAAGCTTGAGAGTTGGGTGATGAGCTTAGCATATAATACATTCTTGGCACAGTAATTTGTGTTTCAACTAGACTAAATGAAGGCCTGAATCTTTCCTGCTAAGATTCTGGCAGACTGGGAGGTGTTTAGAGAAACATTATGGGGATGGGGGACATTCTCCCCAGTGTCCCCCCAGTTGGGCCATTAGGGAGCTCTTCTCTTGACCTCCCAGCATTATGGCCCCATTTTCTGGCATTTATTTTCCCCAAGTTTTGCAAGATGTTGGAACCATATTCAGAAAATTAGATTCAGTGAAACTGGGTTCATGGGGGCCATTTGCTGGTCATTATAAACCATGATAAGGCATAAGCAACCTTGTCCTGTGCCCACCCCCAGAATAGGAATCATGGGTGAGGCTCAGGAGATCTTTAGGGAGCTAAGTCATCATTCATAGCCCTCATCAACCAGGTGAGTAAATGAAGTCAGGAACATGTAATGGCAAAACTGAGATTAAAGACAGAAATTTCTGGCTCCATGCCTCATATTTAATCCACCCTGGCTATGTTGATGGGCCCCCAAGTGGTTCCTGGTCTCTCCGAGCAGCCCTCCCCACCCCATACACCCTGACTCTGCTCCCCATGCCTGGGCTCCTCCAGGGCTGACCCTGGACATCCCACGTAGAAGAAAGCATACCACAATGCTTAGGATGAAAAAACATGAAAACCATCTAAATGCCCATTAGTAGGGAACTAGTGAAATTGTGACAAAGCCATACAGTGGGAGTTATTTAGCAGCTATTTAAAAAGAATGAGCTAGGCCGGGCAAGGTGGCTCACGCCTGTAATTCCAGCACTTTGGGAGGCCAAGGCAGGCGGATCATGAGGTCAGGAGTTCGAGACCATCCTGGCTGACACGATGAAACCCTGTCTGTACTAAAAATACAAAAAATTAGCCGGGCATGGTGGCACATGCCTGTAGTCCCAGCTACTTGGGAGGCTGAGGCAGGAGAATCACTTGAACCCGGGAGGCGGAGGTTGCAGTGAGCCAAGATTGTGCCATTGCACTGTAGCCTGGCAACAGAGCGAGATGCCATCTCAAGAAAAAAAAGAAAAACAGAATGAGCTAGACCTGTATTTAAGTAAATGGAAAGATGTCCAAGATATATTATGTGAAAAGCAAGTTACAGAGCAAAATTCAGAGTGTCATCCTAGTTTTGTTATTAAAACACTGAATGTATTTGGGATGACTATATGTATCTGGCTGCACACTACTCTACAATTAATACACATATGATCCTGCAGCTTGCTTTTTTCTAGACGTTCCTCTAGGCCAATGCATTTGATAAATCAAGGTTTGGCAAACTTTTCCCATAAAAGGCCAGACAGTAAATATTTGGGGCTTTGAAGGCTATACAGTCTCTGCCAAAACTACTCAACCCTGCCTTTGGAGGGTGGCTGTGATGACAAAGACAATATGTAATCAAAGGACATGGCTATGTTCCAATACAACTTGATTTACGAAAACAAGCAGCAGGACAGATTTGGCCTGTGGGCTATAGTTGACTAGTCTGTGATACCGAAGTCATCATTTTAATAGCTGCTGTGTATTGGTTCTATAATATGAATTTACCATCATTTATTCAGCCATTTCCCTTAATGCTGCAGATTTCACTAGTTTCTAATATTTTGC
The DNA here is from genome assembly GCF_000001405.40 of Homo sapiens. NCBI lineage: Eukaryota > Metazoa > Chordata > Mammalia > Primates > Hominidae > Homo > Homo sapiens. The sequence continues at coordinate 70,960,117 of NC_000016.10, read as the reverse complement.
ACTGTAAGCCATCCTCCTCTCCACACAAATGTCCTTTCTACTTTTCAGCAAGAGAGATTCCCCAAAATGAAAGTGGGGTCAAAAAATCTGTTTTTTTATTTTAGTAGCTATAAACAAATTATTAGCCCAAAAGGGCCTAGTCGTACACTACAAGTGGGGACTGCTGCAATATTTGCCATTTAAAAAAAACAGCATTTAAAAAGAAATATCCATTCCCATTTCCATCAGTACCCATGTAAATTCCGGCTGTGTAGCATGCATGCCATGTGTGCACACACATATATTTTAAATTTGCAGCTGACAAGCTTCAGAGCATTGACAGCCACTCCATGGAGGAAGTTGGAGAGGTGGAAAACAACCCAGTGAGCAAAGCAATCGCTCGCCACCTGGGCATTGACATTTCTGCAGAAGGCCGCCTGGCCAAGAACCGGAAAGGCATCGCCATTATCATTCATGGGACACCCTTGTCAGGTAGGCAACAGTTCTGAGGGGAGGTTAAGACCAGCAGTGCCATGTCTTCTCTGTAAACTCTGCGGCTTCCAGAGTGGCAACATCAGCTGTGTGGTCATGGCAAATACTAATGACTTTATTTGAGGAACTGCATAGGGTAGTGAATATACATTAATAGCTGTGTGCCTTTGGGAAAATTAACTAAATTGTCTGTGCTCAGTTTCCCTGTCCGTAAAGTGGTATTAACGCTGTCTATTTTATAGGGTAGTCATGAGAATTTAATGAGAACATTTATATAAAATGCTTATCTCAATACTTGGCACATAGTAAATACTCAAACGAAAAGCTGTTGATGTTATCATTATTATTACTATGATGACTGTTGGCATTCACAATTATAACCATACCTGCAGTGTGAATCCTCATTGAAAAGAAACTTCCATCACATGCTAAATATTCTCAAGGAATATTTTCCTAACCATAAACCAGTCAAGGGATGAGCCCTTGATAAAGAAAGGATTTTTTAACGAGAATCCTTTATTACCTCCAAAATTACATGTGCTAACTTTACCATAAACCCAAAGGAGCAGAATCACCTACATTGGGAAAAAAAAAATCTTATTTGTATAGTAATTTGCAGTTCACAGAGCTCCTTCCCATCCATTTGTCTATCTAAACTTCGTAACCACTCAGAAAAGAGAATTTGATTTCCCCTACCTTATGGGAAGCTAAGGTTCAGAGAAATTCAAGGACATCTGCCCAAGGTCACCCAGTTAGAAAGCGGCAGAGCAGAGGGATATTGGGAGGATGCCCTGCCACCTCTCTTAGCTTCAGCTTACTTGACGAAGGGCCATGAAATCTTGTTCTGACCCAATTACTATCATTCATACAGACAACATTTATGGAGCATTTTTGATATTCTAATCACTGAGAGGTCCAGGAATCTAAAAATGTCACAATTCATTACCCCTTCCTTTGAAGAACCTTTCCTTGAGAAGTTGTAAATCAGGACCTAAAAAGTAGAAGGCCAGATGTGTGGGCAACAGGCAGAAATCAAACGAGGCAAGTAAGAACATAACTGGAAATGTTTTGAAGACCCCCTACACAAACACACCTGCAGAGGCTCAGGCCATTTTAGTGTTGCACTAAAAGGAATGTCAGAAGGATGGTTGATGGATCCATAGAAACTGCAGACAGCTGGAGAGTTAACACCAAAAAGGCACTGACCTGGAAAGAGCCACCAGCTCTGTTCTAGTGGAGGCTCAGTCACTTCTCATCTGCAGGTGAAAAGCCTATTAGAGTGTGAACTACAGTAATAACAAGCCTGACATTTTTATGGAACCTTACAGCTTTCACAGAATCTTCATGAAGAACAGCTTAACAGCCTATGTCAAAATCAGACTGATCAATATAAGTTATTTTTCCCCTTTTGTTTATGGTGAAGTTAGAACATACAACTTTTGAAGGCAATAAGAGACTCTTTTGTTTATAATCCATATAATTAAGGATTATCCCCAAACTGTTAAATTGCTGACCTCAGAGAGGGGATTAAGAAGGAGAGGGAAGACACCTCATTTGGAACGTATACATCTCTGAATTGTTTGAATTGTATTCTTTCCGTAATTTAAAAATATTAAAATATTAGAGAAAAAAATCCCAGACATTAAATTATTTAAAAAGAGAAAGAAATATATGTGCAGACTCTGACCTGACAATGTTACTTCTAAAATTTTCTTAGGAAAAATAATTAATGATGTGGACAAGATGAACTGCTTGAATGTTCACTGCAGCACTGTATGCTGTAATAGAAACTCGGGAGCAATTACAACATTCAATATGGGGAACTGGTTAATCAGGCCACAGTACATTTATATGGTGAATTTTATTGCCATTAAAAACAGTGTCTTGTACACCCATGTTCATAGCAGCATTAATCACAATAGCCAAAAGGTGGAAACAATCCAAATGGCCATCAGTGGCTGAATGGAAAAAACAAAATATGGTATGATGCAATGCTATTCAGCCTTGACAAGGAAGGAAATGGACAGGGTGTGGTGGCTCACGCCTGTAATCCCAGCACTTTGGGAGGCTGAGGTGGGTAGATCATGAAGTCAGGAGTTCAAGACCAGCCCGGCCAACATGGTGAAACCCTGTCTCTACTAAAAATACAAAAATTAGCCGGGCGTGGTAGCAGGCGCCTGTAATCCCAGCTACTTAGGAGGCTGAGGCAGGAGAATCATTTGAACCCGGGAGGCAGAGGTTGCAGTGAGCCAAGATCGTGCCATTGCACTCCAGCCTGGGCTACAGGGCGAGACTCCATCTCAAAAAAAAAAAAAAAATAGGAAGGAAATTCTGACACATGCTACAACACGGAAGAACCTTGAGGACCTTATGCAAGGTGAAATAGGACAGTCACAAAAGGACAAACACTGTATGACTCCGCTTAGATGAGGTACCCAGACTGGTCAAATTCATAGAGCTAGAAAGAGAAACAGAATGATGGTTTCCAAGGGGCTGGGAGGGTGGTGGGTACTGGGGAGTTATAGTTTAATGGGTACAGAGTTTCAGTTCGGGAAGATGACAACGTTCTGGAGGTGGATGGTGGTGATGGGGGCACAGCAGTGTGAATGTACTTAGAACCACTAAATCATATACTTATAAATGATTTAAGTGACAACTGTTATGTATATTTTACCAAAATAAAAACAGTGTCATACAAGTGTATTGAATTAATGGAAAGTTGTTCATGATATATCATTTTACATGAGAAAGGGTGCCATACTCACGGTGTGTAGTTAGTATTAGTGCCCCGTTGCTACTATAACAAGTGACCACAGACTTCATGGCTTCACATAATGCAAATTTATACTCCCATAGGTCTGGAGGACAGAAGTCTAAAATGGGTGAGCATGGCTGTGTTCCTTCTTGGAGGATCTGGGGGACAATCCGTTTCCTTGTCTCTTCTAGCTTCTAGAAATGTTGCCTGCAACCCTTGGTTCCTGGCCCCTTCTTCCTCCTTCCCAGCCATCAGCATAGCATCTCCCAGTCTCTCCTGCTACTTCCATGGTTGATTGACCTGCTCTGACTCCAACCCTCCTGCTCTCCTCTCATGGGGACCCATTGTGCCCGGTTGGATAATCCAGGCTAACCCCCCATATCAAGATCTGTAAATTAATCACATCTGCAAAGTCTCTTTTACCCTAAAAGGTAACATATTTGCAGGTGGAAATCTTTGGAGGAGCCATTATTCAGCCTACCACATCACCTATTTCTTTTTTTATAAGAAATACAGTTACATGTGTACTTAGCGACCATAGGCTAACGGTACTATCCCTGAATGAGTGGATGATGGATTTTTTTTCTTTTCTCTTGTCTGTTATATCTGAATTGTCTGCTTTTTTTTTTTTTTGTAATGAAAGTACCTTGAAATGAGAAAAGAAATCAACACAAGTTATTCTTTAAAATAAAAAGTTTTCCTATTAGAATCAGAGACAGGAGGAACTACAAAGTATTTTAAAGATCATCTGATAGAACCTGTTTCTTAAACAGACCCTGTGCAGTGGCTGACACCTGTAATCCCAGCACTTTGGGAGGCCAAGGCAGGTGGATCATTTGAAGTTAGGAGTTCGAGACCAGCCTGGCCAACATGGTGAAACCCCATCTCTACTAAAAATACAAAAAATTAACCAGATATGGTGGTGGGTGCCTGTAATCCCAGCTACTTGGGAGGCTGAGGCAGGAGAATCACTTGAAACCAGGAGGCAGAGGTTACGGTGAGCTGAGATCTCGCCACTGCACTCCAGCCTGGGTGACAGAGTGAGACTCCATCTCAAAAAAAAAGAAAAAAAGAATCTGTTTTTTAAACTGAGGGAAAACCCAGCGAGGATGCAGATTGCCACAGCATGCACGCATCAGTGGCAGGGTTAGAATCAGACCCACAGCCCTGACTCCAGGCTGAGGTCTTCCTTCTCTTTGCTGCTAACACCTCCAGCCACATGGGAAGGAGGCAGAGCACTCAGAGAGATCACTTTGCAGGGACCTCTGCTCTTGAGACCTTTTCTCTCTGGGACACTGAGCAAATGAGCACCGTGAAATTCAACCCCCTGGTCTTTTTAATAGGAAAGTCAGCCAATGCCGTTAGCGTGGCCAAGTACTACAACGCAGCCTGCCTGAGCATCGACTCCATTGTGCTGGAAGCTGTGGCCAACAGCAACAACATCCCAGGGATCCGGGCCCGTGAGCTCTGCATCAGGGCTGCCATAGAGCAGTCCGTGAAGGAAGGAGAGGAGGCTGGTAAGAGCCCATTCTCTTGGGTTTTTGTGGTCAAGTCACCAACACCCCCACTGACAACACCCATCTTCTCTGTGCCCCACTGAGCTCTCCTCCCACAGCCTGGTTGAAGTCTGCCCTACAGCATGCTGCCAACTTCATAGCCCAGAGGAGAATTCTCTTCACGAAGCATTCCTGGGTCTCCTGCCCTGCCCAATGCCAGCGTGCTCTTGCCACTGTGGGGACCAGGACAATGAATAAGACACAGCCCACACCTTTGGAAGTCTGACACCTGGTGGGGGAAGCAGACATGCGGTCACTCAGAGCAGAGGAAAATAATTTTGCAACAGAAATACCAGCTTCTTTGAAAGAGCGACTTTGGGATGAATGGGTTCCAACAAGGGTGATGTGGGAAGTTTTCAAGGAAATGGGTTTGAAGAAGCAAGAGAATATTAGTAGGCAAAGATGGGGACAAGGACATTCCAGACCAAAAAAGCAGGGAAACTGGTCATAAATTAGGGGTGGGAAGGCAGGTTGAGGCCAATCATTGTTCACCTTGAATGCCAAGATTAGGAATTTGAGTTTTATGTTCAAGGAAAAGAGCTATTGGGACAGTTTCACACTATGGAAAAATGATCAGAAAATCACAATAGGAAGGTAGCCCTTGACTATCATGTAAAGGAAGCGATAGTGAAGCTGCAGACAAATGGGCCTGGGCCGGCCAACCCGACAGCCAGCTGCATGGTGGAGAATTGAAGGAGTAAGAGGGATTCAAGATGGCCACGCCCAGCTTCCTAGCCACAGAATCCAGGAGAGAGCGATGTCATGTACCTAGATAGGGAACACAGGAGGAAGAAAAAGTTTGCTGGAGAAGAAAATAAATTGGGTTGGGTTTGGGGGAGGGGGGTTGTTTTCTTTCTTTCTTTCTTTTTTTTTTTTTTTTTTTGAGACAAGGTATCTCTCTGTCACCCAAGCTGGAGTACAGTGGCACCATCATAGCTCACTGCAGCCTCCTGGGCTCAAGCGATCCTCCCACATTCGCCTCCAGAGTAGCTGGGATTACAGACATGCACCACCATGCCTGGCTAATTTTTAGGGTCTCGCTATGTTGTCCAGGCTGGTCTCAAACTCCTGGCCTCAAGCAATCCTCCCAAAGTGCTGGGATTACAAGATTGAGCCACTGTGCCTAGCCTGAATTGAGTTTTGGAATCGCATAGTGGGGAGGTCTGGTGTGGCCTTCCTACAAAAAGTTGAGAATTCTGGCTCCATCAGGTTATTTGAGGACCTTCAGGGCAGGCGAGCAGCTGCTTGATGGGAAAATATACTAAACACCAAGCAGAGCGCCTGCTCAGAGGGGAAGCATTCCTATGTCAGTGCCCATGGCATGACGTCATCCCAAGAATGCTTCCAGCCTGCTAGTTGATAAAACTGGCTGGGACTTTCAGGGTTGTCCCCTCCCCTCAATACCTCTGCGTGGGACACTTAGGGAAATGGAAGATTCTTTGCTGGGAAGATAAGAGAAATAGCTCTTTAGTGAGAACCTCTGGCTATGCCCTAATGCTGGTTCTCTTAAATTTTTTATTTCCTTTTCTGTGAAATAGTCTACATTTCATAGTGATCTGTGGAGCCATGTTTATGTCCTGTGCCTAAGGGTGAATTTGAGTTCCTGGTCTGAGAAAATAACATCAAGCTAGAGACACAGCTGGGAGAGTCTTTCTCCATGAAACCACTAGGGTAGGTGAAGCAGCCAGAAAAGCCCAGAATGAGCCAGGAGGAATGTTTGCTGGACGAGGCAGGTTAGGACCATGGGGAACACCTACATTTCAGGAGGGGTCATGGGGAAGCCGGGAAGTAGAGACAGCAGAGCCAGGGCCACAGGGACTGTCAGGGAAGTCAAGGAAAGGGCCCCAGAGCCTTAGGAAAGGGAGAAGCGAGGAGGAGTTTCACGTCCCTCAGAGCCCTGCTGGACAGGGAGCCTTCCTGCTGGCCTAATCTCACAGCCCACTTGTCTAGCTAACCTAATACTGATCTACCTCCTTTATTGTCTGCCCCGACCCCATGTAAGCTCTGGAGGCAGGGGCTTGTGTTAATTTTCCCCACTGTAGTCCCAGCACCTGGAAGAATGCCTGGCATAGTTGACACATAATAAAGATTCATAAAGGATTCATTGAATCAAGAAATGAACAGAATTAGAGACTGCCAGAAGCCCAAATAGAATGAGCCCTGAGTAGAAGGTGGCTGAATTTCCCAGTTGGGAGGTCCCTGGGGTCTTTGGATAGAGCCTTTGCAATGGAGGGGTTAGGCCCTCACATCTCTCCTGCATCTGTTGTCACTGTGGAGTTGGTAGGCTGGAATGAAGTGGTGGCAGTGAACCCGAACCTGCCTGTGCCATACAGTAGCCACTGGCCCTAGGGGCTGCTGAGCACGTGAACCCAGCTGGTCCAAACAGAGGTGTGCGGTGAATGTACAGCACCCATGGGAACCCTGAAGATGTGATATAAAGAAAAGACTTGGAAATAACACAGTAGCAATTTTTATACATTACATGTTAAAATGATCACATTTTGTGTATATTGGGTTAAAATATGTCCCTAAAATTAATTTTTACCTTTTTAATGTGGCAACTAGAAATGTTTAAATTACATACATATGTGGTTCACATTATATGTCTATTGGACAGAACGGACTTCAGAGTGCCATCCCCACTGTCATTTTTTGTGATTCTAAGGTGACTTTTAATAAAAATTCACCCTCTCCTTATAGCCCAGGAGGCAGCTGTGGGTCAAAACGTCATAGGGCAAGGACGACTGAGCACTGACACCTTGGGCAAGTTAGCCTCCGAGATGACTCTGGTGGCCCCAGAAATTAAACCTGGAAAGAGTGTTCGTGGGAGCGTGGTGATCACCAAAAGCAAGGCAGACAGCCATGGCTCCGGGTCACAGAAGCAGCATCACTCACACCAGTCTGAAACACCACAGGTACAAATCAGGGCTCTACCGCAGAAGGGCTGGGATCTTCCTCCTCCCCAGCATCCTGCAGCCAGATCAGTGCTCTTCATCCCTGCAGTGTTCTCGCCAGGCCAGCCTGAGCACTGTCCCTGCGCCCCTCCTTCTGAAAGGGGCATTCACCCAGCTGGTGCTCAGCAAGCATCTTTTATGCTGTAGGCACTGGCAAAGTGCAAATAAAGAAAGCAGAATCCCTGCACTAAGAGTCTGATGAAGGAGATAACCACATTTGCAAACATTTGCAATAAAGTGAAATTAGTTACAAAAGAAGTGTGAAAAGGGAATTAGGCTGAGCCACAGAAAATTGCCAAAATTCAATCCTTTTAGAACTCCATAACAGCAATTTCCTATGGCTCAACCTAAATTCTAAAGGAAGTTAAGGATGAAACCATTAATCTAAGTTGTGGGAGGGCTGCAGGGGGAGTCCTGGAACGTCAGAAAGAAGTTGCAGCATTTGAGCAATGCGCCAAGGAACTTAGCAGTCTCAGCCAACTGGCCGGTGCTGCTGAAGCCAGAGACAGTGGGTGCAGTGAGTAGTGAGTTGTAGGTGGAGAAGTGAAATCAAGTGAGTGTAGGCTTTTATGATGTTTGAAAGTGAAGGGAAAAAAATGAGAGAGTAGTAGAGGGGCAAAGCCAGGGTCAGGAGAGTCCATTCTCAGAAAAGAAGTAGAAGCAGGTCTATAAAGAATGGAACCCCTGGAGAAGTGTCATGTGGCGATCCACTCAAGAGGGAATGAGATCTTGGGAGGTAGTAAGAAGGGCAGAATTCAGCACAATTAAAGGAGAAGAGAACCGGCTTCCTTTGGGGTCAGTAAAGGTAAAAAACAGACACAGCTAAGGGTGGGAGAAGCCAAGTGGAGAATGGAGGTTGGAGAAGGCCTTGTTGAATGGTGCTGTAATGCATGTAGGAGGCATGGTCTTTTGAGGGAAGCAACGAGGAGGCTTGGGCTGCAGAGCATGCTCGAGGGGAGTGGCAGAGCACTGCTTCCAGTATAGAAGCAGAAATTGGTGATGGACAAGGAATAAATAGTTGGGAATGATCATGGCCCAACCAAGACTGGAAACTATAACTTCATAGTTGTGAAGTTTCTCTCTCTCTCTCTCCCTCTCTCCCTCTCTCTCTCTCTCTCTCTCTCTCTCTCTCTGTCCCTTTTCCCTAGAGTCAGGGTCTCACTGTGTCACCCAGGCTGGAGTGCAGTGGCACAGTCTTTGTTCACTGCGGCCTTGAGCTCCCGGGCTTAAGCAATCCTTCCACCCCAGCCTCCCAAGTAGCTGGGACTACAGGTATGTCCCACCATGCCTGGCTAATTTTTTAAATTTTTGTAGGGATGGGATCTCGCTGTGTTGCCCAGGCTGGTCTTGAACTCTTGGCCTCAAGCGATCCTCCTGGCTCTGCCTCTGCCTCCCAAAGAACTAGGATTACAGGCATGAACCACCACACCTGGCAAGATTTCTCTAAGTGGACCTGGCGGCTCCCATTCAGGAGTGGAGAGAGAAGAATGTCATCATTGAGGAGAGGGGGTGTGCTCTTATAACGAGGGGCAAGAGAGCTGAGGGTGCCATCAGTATGGGAAGCCCAGCCTCAGTAGAGAAGGAATTAAGAAGAGAACATAGAATGGGAGAAACAGGAAGGGTTAAGGGTGGATCTCGTTATAGCCTGAGAGTGCTATAGGGACAGTGGGGGAGGTGGATGGAGCAGAAGTGAAAGTACTGGTAGGAGAGGAGGCCCATCCACTGGGAAGAGCAGATGGATGGAGAAGAGTTGTAGGTCTTCATGGGAAATGAGACCTGTGTATTGGATAGAGCAGGTGGGTGGAATAAAGATGTAGGTCCTTAGGCCGGGTGCAGTGGCTTACACCTGTAATCCCAGCACTTCGGGAGGCTGAGGTGGGTGGATCACTTTAGGCCAGGAGTTCAAGGCCAGCCTGGCCAACGTGATGAAACCCCGTCTCTACTAAAAATAAAAAATAAAAAAATTAGCTGGGCTTAGTGGTGCACACCTGTAATCCCAGCTTCTCAAGAGGCTGAAGCACGAGAATCACTTGAACCCAGAAGGTGGAGGTTGCAGTGAGCCAAGATGGCACCACTGCACTCCAGCCTAGGCAACAGAGTAAGACTCCATCTCAAAAAAAGTACATAAAAAATAAAATTAATGATGTAGGTTCTTGTAGGAGAGGAGGCCCACATGTTAGATCAGGTAAGAGGATGGAGCAGAGGCAAAGGTCTTCAAGGGAGAGGAGACCTGCAGGTTGGATGGAACAGCCCACAGGGCTGAACTTGTGCCAGGTGATATCTGATTGTCACTTCAGTCTTACGTTGTTCTGACACCGTGAAAACAGAAACCATTGATTCATTTTCTTCTGGAGCACTATCCTTTTCACCCTCTTTTCCAGGATCCAGTATAGTGTTCTTTACCCAAACGTTTATGGATGAACTAAAACTTATTTCTCTGTTACCATATAGGGTGTTATCAAAACTCATTTCCTTGGGTTTTGTTCTGTCCATCTGGACAGGGAAATAAAGCTTTTTAGAATTCTTCAAAGGCAGTAGAACATCCCAATTCTGACTCCAAACTCCTTTCAGTAAGGTAACCTACAGATCACAGTAGAAATCAGAGCTCATAGACCCCATATGTGGCTGCCTGCACTGCCCCAGTGTGACAAGACTCAAATGATCTGGACAACAGTGTCCCCCTGTGAAAGCACTTACCCAGGGAGATGGCGATTGGTCTTCTTGAAGCTCTCATAAAGCATGAGTTTTCCAATGACTGATATTTCAGTCATGTTGCAAATGGGAAAAAATGTGTAAGTATATTACATAATGAAGATGTGGCCCATAAGCTCATTTATTTATAAATCACCTCTATCCAGGAAAGCACCAGTTAGAAATCCTGATCTTTTGGGTTTTTTTGTTTCTTGTTTTTGTTTTTTTTATTATTATACTTTAAGTTTTAGGGTACATGTGCACAATGTGCAGGTTAGTTACATATGTATACATGTGACATGCTGGTGTGCTGCACCCACTAACTCGTCCTCTAACATTAGGTATATCTCCCAGTGCTATCCCTCCCCCCTCCCCCCACCCCACAACAGTCCCCAGAGTGTGATGTTCCCCTTCCTGTGTCCATGTGTTTTCATTGTTCAATTCCCACCTATGAGTGAGAATATGCGGTGTTTGTTTTTTTGTTCTTGCGATAGTTTACTGAGAATGATGATTTCCAATTTCATCCATGTCCCTACAAAGGACATGAGCTCATCATTTTTTATGGCTGCATAGTATTCCATGGTGTCTATGTGCCACATTTTCTTAATCTAGTCTATCATTGTTGGACATTTGGGTTGGTTCCAAGTCTTTGCTATTGTGAGTAGTGCCGCAATAAACATACATGTGCATGTGTCTTTATAGCAGCATGATTTATAGTCCTTTGGGTATATACCCAGTAATGGGATGGCTGGGTCAAATGGTATTTCTAGTTCTAGATCCCTGAGGAATCGCCACACTGACTTCCACAATGGTTGAACTAGTTTACAGTCCCACCAACAGTGTAAAAGTGTTCCTATTTCTCCACATCCTCTCCAGCACCTGTTGTTTCCTGACTTTTTAATGATTGCCATTCTAACTGGTGTGAGATGATATCTCATTGTGGTTTTGATTTGCATTCCTCTGATGGCCAGTGATGGTGAGCATTTTTTCATGTGTTTTTTGGCTGCATAAATGTCTTCTTTTGAGAAGTGTCTGTTCATGTCCTTTGCCCACTTTTTGATGGGGTTGTTTGTTTTTTTCTTGTAAATTTGTTTGAGTTCATTATAGATTCTGAATATTAGCCCTTTGTCAGATGAGTAGGTTGCAAAAATTTTCTCCCATTTTGTAGGTTGCCTGTTCACTCTGATGGTAGTTTCTTTTGCTGTGCAGAAGCTCTTTAGTTTAATTAGATCCCATTTGTCAATTTTGGCTTTTGTTGCCATTGCTTTTGGTGTTTTAGATATGAAGTCCTTGCCCATGCCTATGTCCTGAATGGTAATGCCTAGGTTTTTTTCTAGGGTTGTTATGGTTTTAGGACTAACATTGAAGTCTTTAATCCATCTTGAATTGATTTTTGTATAAGGTGTAAGGAAGGGATCCAGTTTCAGCTTTCTACATATGGCTAGCCAGTTTTCCCAGCACCATTTATTAAATAGGGAATCCTTTCCCCATTGCTTGTTTTTCTCAGGTTTGTCAAAGATCAGATAGTTGTAGATATGCGGTGTTATTTCTGAGGGCTCTGTTCTGTTCCATTGATCTATATCTCTGTTTTGGTACCAGTACCATGCTGTTTTGGTTACTGTAGCCTTGTAGTATAGTTTGAAGTCAGGTAGCATGATGCCTCCAGCTTTGTTCTTTTGGCTTAGGATTGCCTTGGCGATGCGGGCTCTTTTTTGGTTCCATATGAACTTTAAAGTAGTTTTTTCCAATTCTGTGAAGAAAGTCATTGGTAGCTTGATGGGGATGGCATTGAATCTATAAATTACCTTGGGCAGTATGGCCATTTTCACGATATTGATTCTTCCTACCCATGAGCATGGAATGTTCTTCCATTTGTTTGTATCCTCTTTAATTTCCTTGAGCAGTGATTTGTAGTTCTCCTTGAAGAGGTCCTTCACGTCCCTTGTAAGGTGGATTCCTAGGTATTTTATTCTCTTTGAAGCAATTGTGAATGGGAGTTCACTCATGGTTTGGCTCTCTGTTTGTCTGTTATTGGTGTATAAGAATGCTACCAGAGGTACAAAGAGGAACTGGTACCATTCCTTCTGAAACTATTCCAATCAATAGAAAAAGAGGGAATCCTCCCTAACTCATTTTATGAGGCCAGCATCATCCTGATACCAAAGCCGGGCAGAGACACAACCAAAAAAGAGAATTTTAGACCAATATCCTTGATGAACATTGATGCAAAAATCCTCAATAAAATACTGGCAAACCGAATCCAGCAGCACATCAGAAAGCTTATCCACCATGATCAAGTGGGCTTCATCCCTGGGATGCAAGGCTGGTTCAATATACGCAAATCAGTAAATGTAATACAGCATATAAACAGAACCAAAGACAAAAACCACATGATTATCTCAATAGATGCAGAAAAGGCCTTTGACAAAATTCAACAACCCTTCATGCTAAAAACTCTCAATAAATTAGGTATTGATGGGACGTATCTCAAAATAATAAGAGCTATCTATGACAAACCCACAGCCAATATCATACTGAATGGGCAAAAACTGGAAGCATTCCCTTTGAAAACTGGCACAAGACAGGGATGCCCTCTCTCACCACTCCTATTCAACATAGTGTTGGAAGTTCTGGCCAGGGCAATTAGGCAGGAGAAGGAAATAAAGGGTATTCAATTGGGAAAAGAGGAAGTCAAATTGTCCCTGTTTGTAGACGACATGATTGTATATCTAGAAAACCCCATTGTCTCAGCCCAAAATCTCCTTAAGCTGATAAGCAACTTCAGCAAAGTCTCAGGATACAAAATCAATGTACAAAAATCACAATCCTGATCTTTTGAATGATATTTAATCCAACACTCTTGCTTCTCAATTTCATGGCCTCCTCAGCTACTTACCTCCCTGACCACATCCTAGACATTGTTCACCGCTACCCATAAACTCCAAGATCTCTCTATCACAATCCTGCTTTCCCACAGCCATCTTCTCACTTTACAGATGACTAACTCTGGTAAGCACCTGGCCCCATCGAAACCTCCATTCCTCATCCTCACTACCTAGCACCCACCTCGTGCCCTCCCTATCCAGTCTGGATGCCATGGTCTGCCACCATAGCACCCCCTTGCAACTTGCCCTTCACCACACTCTCAAGCAAAGCTTCAACCCTGGCAAACCTAATCCTCCCCCTACTCCATGCAGACCAGCTGAACATAGCTGGGGAAGACTCTCACCTCTCCTGAAGGATCTTAATTTAAATTTAAGACCACAGGTCTCCAATGGGCCCTTTGGTCTGGCTCAGCTCTGCATCTATTCAAGATGACTGCTTTATTGCTCTCATCACTCTCCTAGCCTCCAAAATATTTTCCTCTTCCTCATTCTCAGCCGATGATCTCTATTCTGATTTCACCAAGAAAGCTGCAGCAATCAGAAGACAATGACCTCATCTTCCGGCCACCAAGTCTTCCAGCAGCCTCCATCCACACACAGGGCTGTGCCTTCTCGACAGCTGAGTGTCTGCCCTGCCTTCACCCAGGGCTGATCCCTGCACATGGGCACCCAGCCCCACCCCTTCTCTTATCCAATGGCTAAATTCCTGCAGTTGTCCCCTCTCTCCCACTTTCCCCCTACTCTACTTCTGTCAGCATCTATGCATGCTGTATTATTATTCGCATCATTAAAAATGCTTTCCCGTGACCCCACATCCCCCTCCGCCTATTACCTCCTCTCTCAGCTCCCCTCCTCTGCTGTTCCTCCAAAGAATTGCCGCATTGCCTGCCTCCTCGTCCTCACACCCACCCCCATCCTCTGTTTCACTGCTTCCAGTGGGGCCTTTGTCCCCACCATTCCACGGCTGCTCTTTCTTCTCAAGGTCCTTGGCAGTCTTCACCTGGACAAATACAGAGGTCAGTTTTCTGTCTTCATCTCACATGACTTCTTGGCAGCTGATCACCCCCTCCTCTTGGAAACGCTTTCTTCGTGTGGCTTTCAGACACCACACTCCTCCACCTTCCCTTCTACCTCATTAGCAACTCCTTCCTCTACTTCCCCAGCTTCTCAATCTCCAAATTCCTAGTCATTGGAGTAGCCTGGGACAAAGTCTTCTACTACTCTCCTTTTTGTTTCCTACATTGTCTTTGCAGGCGATCTCACTCAGTTGCATTACTTAAATATTTAAATACCTTTAACATGCTTATGACTCTCGAAATTCTATTGCCAGCTCTAATTTCTTCCCGAGTGCAGGTTCATGTATCCTTTCAATCTCTCTCGAAGGGCTTAGAGGCATCTCAAAATGTTTATATCCAAAAAGTGATTCTTGCTTCCACTGCTCCCCAAAAATTGTTCTTCTCCCAGTCTTTCCTTTCTTAGTAAATAATTTCACCATTTTCCAGGTTGCTAAGGTCAAAACTCAAAGAATCATGTTTTGGTGACTCTTTATGTTCCATCCGAAGTCCTACTGGCCCTACTTCCAAAACATATCCTGTATGAGCCACTTCTCGCCACCACCATTTTCGTCTCAGTCACCACCACCATCCTCATCCCTGTTGCCATCATCTCCTGCCCTGACCACAGTGACATCTTCCTGTTTCCACTCATGTCACCTCATGTGACGAGTAGGGTGGTCTTTTAAAAATAAAAATCAGGCTGGGTGCAATGGCTCATGCCTGTAATCCCAGCACTTTGGGAGGCCGAGGCAGGCAGATCACCTGAGGTCAGGAGTTCGAGACCAGCCTAGCCAACATGGCGAAACCCTGTCTCTACTAAAAATACAAAAATTAACAAGGCATGGTGGTGCACACCTGTAATTCCAGCTACTTGGGAGACTGAGGCAGGAGAATCACTTAAACCCGAGAGGCGGAGGTTGCAGTGAGCCAAGATGGCACCATTGCACTCCAGCCTGGGCAACAGAGTGAGACTCCATCTCAAAAATATAATAAAATAAATATAAATATAAATCAGATTATTTGTCTGCTGAAACACACCAACTTCCCATAATACTTGGAATAAAATACAAATTGCTGACCATGGGCTACAAGGCCCTGCGTATTCTGGTCCTGGCGGTGTGGTGTCTTTAACCTTCAGCCTGACTGTCTTCCCCATTGCTCACTCAGTTCCAGCCCCACTGGGCTCCATGTGCCCCCGAGATTCCCCGAGCACACTTGCGTTGAAAGAGCTTGCTGTCCACTCCCAGAAAGGCTCTGCTCCCAAGATCTTGTCTCATTCTTTGACGTAACCCGGGTAACATGAGCATCCTCTCTACATAGTCTTTCCCCAGCCCTGTTATGATTCCTTATTCCCTTACCTGGTTATTTCCTTCCTAGCACTCATCACTTTCTGAAATTGTATTGATTTGTGAAGGAAGGTGGCCTTTTCTCTCTCTTCCATTGGAATGCAATGGTGGATTGCATTGGAATGCCTGGGGGCAGCGCCATTGTTTGTTGTTATATCCCTAGTACCTAAGCATGCCTGGTGCAAGATAGGTGCTCAGTGAATAATTATCGAATGAATGAAAAGCTGCGTGCAGTTCAGTACACAAACAACGTACCTTCCATGCTATTCCCACTTGAAACTTACAGTGGTTCTTTAAGGAAGACAGGGTCCTTCCATTTTATAATGCAGTTCCCATTGTACAGATGAGGAAATGACAGATTATGTGATCTTCCCAAGGTCCTGTGGCTGGTAAGTGTAGGAGTTGTTGAGATACAAGGCCAGATTCTGACTCCTGATCCTTCTCCCACTCAACAGATTTCCTCCAGCCCTCTCCCCCCGGGGCCCATCCACCGCTGGCTCAGTGTTAGTCCCAGTGTCGGAGGCGAGACCGGGCTGATGAGCTGTGTGCTCCCGGATGAACTTCTCGTGCAGATCCTGGCAGAGCGGATACAGGTGGGTCCATGCCACCTGCACAGAGCTGCAGGGCTTGGCATTCACGCACCATCCCCACACCCTGGACAGAGGTTCTGGGCCATCAGCCACCCACGGCAGCTCGGCAGCCCGGAAGGCAGTCGTTTGCTTGTCTTTTTGACAGCTCTTGTCGACCCCTGACCCTGGCCCGGTCTACAGCCTGAAGCCATTCACCTTCTTCAAGGACCAGAGAGCAGAAGACTACACAAAAGTTTTTTTAATGACCAGAAAGAGAGTGATGTTGTTAAAAATTACAATGTGGAGCCATTCTAAAAGTTAGAATTTGGAGCTATGTTAATTGCTTCAAAAACCCATTTTCAATGTTATTAAGTGAAAAAGAAGTAACTAGGAAATACTGGTTAAAACATAATAACATTCTATATAAATATTTAGAAATGTATACTACACACATAGTAAAAACTTTTAAAATACATGTTAACCATTGTTATCTTTGGGTAGCAGGATTATAGAATTTTAGTCTTCTTTATACATTTCTGAATTATTTTACAATGACATATTGCTTTTAAAGTCAGAAAAACAGTAACACTCTTTCTAATTTTTAATTTTTTTTCCATAAGAATTCTACAGTTAAAGACAAGAAAATAAGATCAGCAGGATTGAGGAGGGTATCACTTAAGCCTGTTTCTGCTCATGGTTTGCAGACACAGCTACATTGCTTACCAGGTCCTGGAGCTGGGTGTTTGCTTTGTGTTCTCAACTAGGGCCACAATATTAATTGCAGATTTAAATACAACAAAATTAACTTGACGTTCCCAGAAGAGGAGGAATATCATCACAAGAAAGTTTTTATGTTAAGATTTGCACTGCTACTACATTAAAGGTACATCACTTTCAACTGATTTGAACAAGGTGTTCCCATAAGTGTGCCAATGTTTTAGATACCCAGAGTAAAGGCTGAGAAACACTGGTAAGGCCCCAAAGTAAGCCAGTGGAGCTGTGCTACTCAAAGTGCTGGTCTCTGATGACACGTGGAGCTTACAGGGCTTCTTTCATCAACAAAGTCTTGCTACAAAGTTTAGCTGCAGAGAAGGAATGATGTGGCCACGGTACCTGTTCAGTTGCCAGCTGAACCAAATAGTGTGTTTAGTGATACAGGTCATTTACATTCTGACACAAGCTTCTTGTCTCATCAAAAACCTAACGCTCATTCACTGGTGGCCAGTCTATGGGCTACACTTTGAGTAACACTGAGTAAGGCAGAGGCTGTTCTTCAATGGTTACTGTTACCAAAATCATTACGCTCCAAGGCAGTAAGACTAATAAGAAAAATACAAAAGGCCCAGCTGCTCCCCCTGCTGCCTGTGACTCTGTGCTTGGGAGCATCTTTCCCTTTCCATCTCATTTTTGTGTACCTCATGGATCTTCCCAGATCGGCCCTTTAACATTTTTGTTTGTTCATTTATTTCTACAGACAGAATAAACCCTTATTATTGTAATAAAGACCATCTGGCTGGGCGCAGTGTCTCATGCCTGTAATTCCAGCACTTTGGGAGGCCGAGGCAGGTGGATCACCTGAGGTCAGGAGTTCGAGACTAATCTGGTCAACATGGTGAAACCCTGTCTCTACTAAAAATACAAAAATTAGCCGGGCCTGGTGGTGGGCACCTGTAATCCCAGCTACTTGGGAGGCTGAGGCAGGAGAATCACCTGAACCCGGGAGACAGAGGTTGCAGTGAGCCGAGATTGCACCACTGCACTCCAGCCTGGGCGCTGGAGTGACCGAGGGAGACTCTGTCTCAAAAAAAAAAAAAAAAAAAAAAAGACTGGCTGATTAAACATTTTTATTCTTTTCTTTTATTTTATGACAGCACCTTGGATTTAGCAAGCAGAAAGGCATGGTGTTTGCATTGGGGCCCAGTAGGTCTGCAGAACCCTTTGCAGCCCCAGTAAAAGCATAAACAGAACAAATGAGGTTGTGGCCATAGTAACTGTCTTTGCTCTCTCTGGTTTCAGCTGAGTGACTGCTACCGAGGAGTGGTGTTTGATGGCCTCGACACTCTCTTTGCTCAGAATGCTGCAGCCGCCCTCCTCTGCCTGCTGAAGGCCATTGGCAGCCGGGAGCATATATACATTCTCAACATGGCCCAGGATTACGCAGCCATGAAGGCCCAGGAGAAAGCCAAAAAGGAGCAAGAAGGCAAGGCCTCCTACCTTTCCATTGGGCTTAAGTGAAACTTTGACATTTGCTATTCCGTTGGCGCCTCACCTCTGCCCTGTAAGGTGG
This sequence comes from Homo sapiens, assembly GCF_000001405.40. Classification (NCBI taxonomy): domain Eukaryota; kingdom Metazoa; phylum Chordata; class Mammalia; order Primates; family Hominidae; genus Homo; species Homo sapiens. Next base: position 70,941,548 of record NC_000016.10, on the reverse strand, counting down.
CCAGGAGTTGTATTTCTGCTTTGCTAGGAGGGAACTGGGACGCGAGTGGCCGGCTGGGAAGTTCTATGATGAACGCTTTGCTGACAGCAGGTGCATTCCTGCTTCCCTCCCATCACACTGTACCCCTCCATCCTTTCTGCAATTACAGCCATTACGGGTCCCATCCTGACTCAGGCAACTGATTTCCTTGTTGGTTTTGTTTAAGCCAACTGTGCATTTCTCATAAAACTCACGGTGCTAATACATTTTCCAAAACATTTACACCTTAGCCTGCTGCACACCAGGCACCGTAGCAGATATTTTGTATACTTTGGGACATTTAATCCTCACAATTACCCTGTGAATCTTGTCCCCATTTTACACTAAAGGAGAATGTAGCTCAGAGATAGCAAAAGTCTTGTGCCAAATCACATTGCCAATTAGTAGGAGAACCGGGTGCATGTAATTCTAAACCCTTTGCTTTTCCTATCCTTATGCCAATGGCCTGAGAAAAATTTTAATAACTGAAAGGTTTGATTGAAAGATAGGTACACACACACACAAGTAATGTTAGCTTAAGTTCCCAATGTAGTCAGAAGCAGCCCCAGCAAATCTTGGCCCCCCAGGGCAGGGGTTGAAGGACAGAGGCTGGTGGCGCTGTCTACGGGAGTCAGAGCCCCACCTCCCAGGAGCTTCGGCTCCAGCCACACGACTGCCCTTCCTCACTCCGGCTTACCGCTCCCTTCTAACACTATCTAGTCAAATCATAATGCTTTTCCAATTAAGGAAATACTTACAAACACTGGGCTGTCGAAGTCCTTGAACAGAACTCAAAGTCAGCTTCTTTATAGTCTCATCCTGAGAAAAATCTGGAGCAGTGACCAGGCATCCCTCAGCAGTCATCCAGCCTCCAGCTGCCTAGTTTTCCAGAAAGCTCATTTCTCCATACTGATCCACTTGAAAATAATTACCACTTCTCCTTTTCCCACTTATCTTCAGAATGAAATTTCTCCCAGTTCAACTGTGGGCTCCTCTCCCCTAAATCATCTAAATTGAAATGTCCTAAGATGGTATACGGTCACACTATTATTACACTAAAATCTCATGTTTGTCGAACATCTATGAACATGCCAGGCACTGGGGAAAGCACTTTACATGATCGCTTATTTAATCTCTACAACGGCCGTATGTTATTATTCTTATCTGTGATTATCTCTTGATAAGTGGCCGGGAAGGAGCTCAAATGCAGGTGTCTGAGTCCACAGCTCAAACTTGCGAGGATGACGGTGAGAATGCTGTGCTAGGGAGGTGTGAGGAAGGAGCTGGTGCCTTTGTCCTAAGTGTGAATCACATGCCTAGACCTGGAATCCGTAGGGCAGGGCAGGGAATTTCCCTTGGTGTGCAAATGGCCCTGTCACCATGAACCCGTTAGTGGCATATGCTCATAATGAGTCAAGTCAGTGGGTGGTATATGAGTCTTCTATCATTGCTGTGACAAATGACCACTGTCTTAGTCTTTTCAGACTGCCATAACAAAATTCCATAGATTGGGTCGCTTATCAACAACAGACATTTATTTCTCACAGTTCTGGAGGCTGGCAAGTCCAAGATCAAGGTGCCAACAGAAACAGTGTCACCTTCTGGTCACAGAAAGCATCTTCTCACTAAGTCCTGAAACAAGCTCCCTCAGGCCTCTTATAAGGACACTAATCCCAGCCATGAGGACTCTATCCTTGTGACCTAGTCACCTCCCTAAGGCCCTTCTTAATACCATCCCCTTGGGGAATTCAGTTTCAACATAGGAATTTCGAGGGGGCACAAACATTTACACCATAGCAACCACAAACTTGGTTACTTAACACAACATAGAAATGTATTGTCTTACACTTCCGGGGTCAGAAGTCCTAACATCTTTCCCTGCCACTTATTAAGGGATAATCACAGATAAGAATGATAACTCCTCCCTCATAGGGCTGTTGTGGAGATTAAATAAGCAATCATGTAAAGTGCCTTCCCCAGTGCCTGGCATGTTCATACATGTTAACAAACATGAGATTTTAATGTAATAGTAGTATGACAGTATGCTACCTTAGGACATTTCAAATGCAGATGATTTAGGGGAGAAGAGCCCACAATTTAACCAGGAGAAATTTCATTCCAAAGATAATGGGGAAAATGAGAAGTGGTAATTATTTTCAAGTGGATCATTATGGAGAAATAAACTTTCTGGAAAACGAGGCAGCTGGAGGCTTGATGACTGCTGAGGGATGCCTGGTCATTGCTCCGGACTTTTCTCAGCAGGGCCACGTTCCTTTTTTGGCTGTTAGGTAGCCCCTTTTTCTTGTCTTTTCTGGCTTCTAGAGGCCTTCTGCACTCCTTGGCTCCTGGCCCCTTCCTTGCAGCCCTCTGACCCCTGCTCCTACTATCACATCATCACCATCTCTGACTGACTCTCCTGCATCCCTCGAAAGGACCCTTATAATTAGACTGGGCCCCCCAAAATAATCTGCCCACCTCAAGATCCTTAAATTTAATCACATCTGCAGAGTCCCTCTGCTATGGAAGACAACACAGTCACAGGTTCTGAGTAATCTGATATGGGCATCTTTGGGGGCCACTGTTCAGCCACCTGCAGACAGAGCCCAAATGTGGAAGTGCATGGATGAAGGGACCCCCCCACCCCTGCAATCAGGGATGAGGCAGACCAGGCGCCGTACCAGCTGCCCCACACTAAGACCCTACTCCGCCTGCTTAGGCTGCTAGCGAGACTGAGAAGGACTTTTCCTCACCTTCCCGTCTCTGTTCCCCTCACAGAACGCAAGCACAAGGGAGCTCTTGAGAAAGAGAAGGAGCGTCTCCAAAACATGGATGAGGAAGAATATGATGCCCTGACTGAGGAGGAGAAACTCACATTCGATCGGGGGATTCAGCAGGCGCTCCGCGAGCGGAAGAAGAGGTCAGGGCCAAGGGCTGGCCAGAGCAGAAGCCATTCCCCCGGGACCGTCCCCACAGAGTGACCAGGACCGGGGTGTGAGCCCAAGCCATCTTCCAGGCAGGCAGCAGGAGCTGCAGAAGGCCCTGGAAGGTGACCTGCAAGGAGCAGAAAGATGCATCCCGCCCATCAAGGGTGCTGGCTGCTGCACCATTCAGGGTTTCTCCCACTCTCCTTATTTCTCACTGGCGGGCATTTGGGACCAGGCTGTAATGTCATGGGTGGCCCTGGAAGAGGGGCCACTGGCCTCTGTGCTGCCCTGGGGCCCCTGCTGGCCCCCCCTGACCAGCACCCCCGCGTGTGGCTTATCAGCCTCTGTGCTCACTGCCTCGGTGCTTCAATGTCCACAGCTGGTGATCCAGGGTCCACTCTATTGACCTGGGCATAGTGACTGCTCCCCAAATCTCAGCCCTTCCTCCCCCTGCCTGGGTCCCCTTCTTGGCCTTGGGCGGTGCTGCCCATCCCCTGAGGTCTAGCTGCCATGGGATCCTCAGCCTGGGCAGATCCTCAATCCTGGGACTGTGGGCAGACTCACAAGCCAGCACCCTCAGCCACTTTCTCTGCCCCTCCCTGGGAACCACACAGAAACTACTCGATCCCCCCATGCCTCCTAGTGCCCAGGATACTTAGGACTGCCACCTCGGGCTATCTCAGAGGGATGGGAACAGTGGGACATGTGTCCTTTCTGCCCTCAGATCTTCAAAGATTGCAGGGATGGGGTGGGGGGCAGTGGTTCTATTTCCTACCTCCTCCCTGGGATTTCAGGCGCTGGAGGTACAGAGCCTAGATACTCACCTACTATTTACCCTGTTCTCTCCTCCAGCTCCACACTTCTCCCACTGACCTGAAACAGCTTTTGCCCTCCCTGCTGCTACAGTATGTCCTAATCTTTTTTTTTTTTTTTTTTTGAGACAGACTCTTGCTCTGTCATCCAGGCTGGAGTTCCTCCATCACGCCTTGAGTGGCACAATCTCAGTTCACTGCAACCTCCACCTCCTGGGTTCAAGCAATTCTCCTGCCTCACTCTCCCAAGTAGCTAGGATTACAGGCATGTACCACCATGCCCGGCCAATTTTTTTGTATTTTTAGTAGAGACAGGTTTTCATCATGTTGGCCAGGCTGATCTCGAACTGAACTCCTGGGATCAAGTGATCTGCCTGCCTCAGCCTCCCAGTGTGCTGAGATTACAGGCGTGAGCCACAGCGCCCAGCTGGGTGTGCCCTGATCTTTCTGTGGCATGGTCCACTATAGAAATGCCCAGTCCTCCAGAGTTACAGAAAGCCTTGCTTTGAGATTTTAGAGGAAACTCGTTTTTCACCAGGGCTGTTGCTTTCAGGCATTCATCTCATGGTGGACTTGGAAAATGCAAATTTGATTCTCAAAGTGCAGCAACAACTTGTTTGTGTCACACCACACACGCGCACACACACACACACACATGCACACACACACACCATGAAGTAAATGAGTTTGCTTCAGTGGGCAGAGAGCCATGGCAACCAGAAACAATTAGGAATTCCTGGATGAAAATAGCTGGGTTAACTATTTTCAGAAGTACCATTCCCTCACTTGTTTGTGCTTGGTGCTTGGCTTTGGTCCACTCTCTGCTGTCAGCAGCAGGGGCAGGAGCAGTTGAATGACAGCGGAAAGGGAAAGAGAGGGTGGAGGAGGGGAACACGGCTTTCGGACTGAGCACCATGGCTCTGAGCTAGCCACCATAGAAACTGCTTTGAAAATACCGTTTCTGGCTGGGCGCAGTGGCTCATGCCTGTAATACTAGCACTTTGGGAGGTCAAGGTAGGAGGATCACCTGAGGTCATGAGTTCGAGACCAGCCTGGCCAACATGGCGAAACCCCGTCTCTACTAAAAATACAAGTTAGCCGGGCATGTTGGTGCACACCTGTAATCCTAGCTACTCAGGAGGCTTAGGCAGGAGAATTGCTTGAACCCAGGAGGTGGAGGTTGCAGTGAGCTGATCACACCACTGCACTCCAGCCTGGGTGACAGAGCGAGACTCTGTCAAAAAAAAAAAAAAATTCTTATTTTCTGAACAGCAAACATGCTCAGCTATGGGAGGCGGGCCTCATCTGCACTAATACCAGAACAATCTTTGAAAGTTGCTTTTTTTAAGTGCTAATATCAAGCTTATTTTCAGCCTTTTTCTCACTCTCCCATGAGAGGAGATTGGACTCAAAATACAGATTAATGGAGAATTCCTCCTAGTTGAGTTTCAATAAATCAGAGTCTTGATGAATGACCATTCAAACATAGATGGTAGTCATTTTTTCTTTCTTTCCTTCTCTTCCTTTCTCCTTTCCTTCCACATATCCAGCTTACTTTGTTCTTTCTTTTTATGCCCAAGAAAGCTCTGCCCAATGTCCCTACACCTGGAAATCCCAGGCAGCAGAGGGGTGAGGCATGGGGGCCCCTGAACTGTTTTTTCTCTGCCTGGTTTGATGAAGGGAGCAGGAGAGGCTGGCAAAGGAAATGCAAGAAAAGAAGCTACAGCAGGAGCTGGAGCGACAAAAGGAAGAGGATGAGCTGAAACGGAGGGTCAAAAAAGGAAAGCAGGGACCCATTAAGGAGGAGCCCCCCATGAAGAAATCTCAAGCAGCAAACAAGCAGGTAACAGCCTCACTTACTCCTTGCCAGGAGACAGAAGCAGAGGGCAGCCTGGTGCATTCCCCTTCCAGGAAATTAGCCTGATCATGTTGGGATTTTGTGGTGGGGCAGAAGGCAGGAGGAAAGGGACCAACGTTTGTTGAATGTTGATTGTATGTGAAGTGTTGTGCCTGTGTCATACATAATCCTCTCACCCTGTGAGGTTCAGAGATATGAAGATGCAGATCCAGGTCCTCACCCAGTTGGGTCTGGCCACAGCCCTTGCTCCTTCCACTGCCCCCTGCAGGGCCCAGGATGGTGCCAAATAGGCTACTATTAAAGATGTGTTCCCAGGAAGCCACAAAGCCAGTGAGCCCATGTGTCCAATCAGGAGCATACCCTTGGCAACCGTCAAGGAGATGCTTCGGCATGAGCCTATCCTCGCAGGCAAGTGCCAGTAGTTTATCAGCCTGCCAAGCACAGCAGTCACCTCCCTGCTCCCTGTGGCACTGGAAGGGCAGAGTGGCTAGAGGAGCCCCCAGAGTGATGATCCTGGCTGAAGGTTGTGACCAGCTGGTGTGGGCAGCCACGAGTCCTGAGGGTGAAGCTATAACCAGTCTCCAGACAGGGTACAGACTGGTCCAAGTAGGTGAGTGAAAGACAGTGACAGTGGCTGGGCAGAGAAATTAGTGTGCAGCGGTCTCAACCAGGGAGTGCTCAGGAAGGAGCAGGATCTAAGCATACAGAACTAGGCACAGATTTGGGATGCCTGATACTGACCTGAAGGAAATCTATGACATCTCAGGCTGAGAACAAAAGGGGGTCCCTAAGAAAAAATTACCAGGACTGATCCCTGCCTCTCCCCGGTGATTTTGTACATGAAGCCAGCAGGGAGAATTTGTGTACCTGTGTGTTTCAGCCATTATTTTTGCCATTAAACAAAGTCAATTTCTTATGTGGCATAAGTTCAGGATAATCTATGCAGAAGTTATCTACCAAGCTTGCTTTTAAAAGACAACATTTCATTCATCATTAAAAGAAAGACTATTTGCAGCACAATTAACCTCAAATTATACCCACTGACTCCATCACTGGTGTCTCCATCTGGAATCTGTTTTAAGTAGGAGCATGTGGATTTTCCTATTTTAGTGTCAGTTCAAGTTGCTGTCACCTGACCACCCACCCCCAGCCCCCGACCCCAGACCCCACTACCAGATTCAGGGCAGGTACTTTTGTATGTGCTCTGTTGACCTTGGATGGAGGTGATAAGGACCTTATGACAGTCATCCATTTGGAGACAGGCTTGTGTATCACTTGAGCTTAGTACAAAACACAATCAATCATGTTCCCTAGGGGGACTTCTTGAGACTCTTGGACTAATGCGGTTGCCTGGTCTGAAAACACTTAAGCTGAAGAAAAACTGCTGAGACTAGATGCATTCTCAGGAAGTGAAAGAAAATTCCAGGGGGAGTGCCAAGGTGAAAGGGAATGACTAAAGACCTTCCTGCTTCCTCATCAAAAGGACTGCTCTATGTCTTCGACCGTCAGCACACCTGTTTTCCTCTCTGCTCTGGCTTCAGCTCTTCTCACAGGCTTTGAAGATGTTCTCAAGAATCACCCACCTTTAAAATGAAAAAAAAAAAAGTTTTCTTCAACCCTGGTGCCCCCGACAAGCACCCCATTTCTCTCCTTCCCTTCATGCTTGTCTCCACTTGCTGGCTTTGCCTCGTCACCCCTCATTTCTGCCTCCCCGTTTCCTACCCTGATTCCTGTCTCCACCACTCCCTCGAATCCAAGGCTCCAGCCTCTCCATTTCCAGATCTAATGGGCATGGGTTAGGCCTTGACTTGCTTGACGTCCTCCTCCATGAGCTTCACACTGTGGATCGTACCCTCCTTGGATCGCTCTTCTTTCCTAGCATCCTGGTCCGCCCTTTCTGGCTTTCCTCCTTCTCCCTGGTTTCTTTCTGGACCCGCCTCCATCCATCCTTAGTCACTCTGCAGGTTTCCAGCGTCAGCCTTTGTGTCTTCCTGCTTGGTCTAAGGCTGACCCCCATCCCATGCGTGACTTCAGTGCTACCTGATCATACATAATGGGTTGGAGGAAGAGAGGAGGGGAGTCAGGAAAAGCTTGCAAATTCCAAAACGAAGTGAAGGGCATTCCAGGCAGAGGGACAGCCCAAAAGAGGGAGGAGAGAAAGGCAGAAGCCACATGAAAAAGAGCTAAACCAATGTTTTAACAACTAATAGCTACTGTGTGCTGAATTCCTGCTATGTGACACTCCCTGCTGGGAACTGTGAATAGATCCCATCACCATCTACCTCCAGTCTCCACAACACCCGCTGAGGGAGATATGATCATCACCATCATTTTGGAGATGAGGAAGCTGGAATGCAGCACAGTTAAGTGATGCACCCAAGGTCACATGGCCAGAAGGCGGTGGGGGCAGGCCCAATTTGTCCAACTCCAAAGCAGGCACTCCTTTTCCTGGTTCTTGCACTGCCTCCCAAGCCCTTAGTCCATCCATGGCTCCTGACACTTCTTCAGATTGTCCCTCGGACACTGGTAACTCAACACGGCCCACACCAAGCTCATCATCTATGCTGCCTTTCTTCCAGACCTCTTCCTGGCCCTATATTCCTCCCCAACCCTTCTTTCAGCTCCCAGGCCCAAATCCCAGAGTCACCCTGACCCTGTCACTTCTGCACCTTCACCCCATGACCAACCAGGAGCCCTGTGAGGGAGTCCCCCTCCTAAATTGTTCTCAAGCCCGTCCCAGACTAGGGCTCTCCTTTCTTCCCCATCCCCAGCTGTCTCACCCGTCTTTGCTGTGGTACTGTGTAGCTACATGGTAATTCCATCATCACACCCCCTGGTTTTCTGGTTCTGGAAACAGGATGGGGAAGAGGACACAGTTTGCAGAAACATAAAGTGTATTTTTCTGTTTTTCTTGCTTGTTGCCAAATTAGTTTAATATCCATGGAAGGAAATCATAGTGGAGAGACCAAAAGTGTCTCACTTAGAGCGGAATCTTTGTACATATCCATGCTTACTTCCTTAGGATACATTTCTAAACATGTCATTCCAGGGTTGAAAGGTGTGTATTTTACCCCTGACCTCACAGGCTATAGGTTTTAGCATTCCTTTTAATCCTTGCTGACTAGATTCGATGGGTGAACAACTGAATATTTTTATTGCTTGGATTTGCATTTCTTGAATTGTTAATGAGGTGAACCTTTAAAAAAAAACATGCTGGTTGGCCACTGAACTCCTCTTCAGGATTTTATTTAAACATCCCAGCAAGGCCTTCCCTGGCCACTCTATTTAAAATTGAATAAGACAAAAGCAAAAACAAAACAAACAAACGAAAACCAACAAAAAAAAAAACCCACTTCTTAGCCCCTTCCCTGTCTTCTTAGCACTCATCACCATCTCACATACCATAGATTTTTATGTGATTTTGTCTGCCTACCTGCCCCTGCAAAATATAAGCCTCATGAAGGCTGAGGCTTTTGTCTGTTTTGATCACTTAATGAGTCTCCCACCTGGCAGAAAGGTGCTCAAAAATATTTGTTTTATGTGTGGGTATGTTTTTGTTTATTTTTTATTTCTTTATTTTTTGAGACAGAATCTTGCTCTGTCGTCTAAGCAGGAATGCAGTGGCTCGATCTCGGCTCACTGCAACCTCCGCTTCCCATGTTCAAGTGATTCTCCTGCCTCAGCGTCCCGGGTAGCTGGGATTACAGGCGCCCGCCACCACACTCGGCTAATTTTTATATTTTTAGTAGAGACAGGCTTTCACCATGTTGGCTAGGCTGGTCTCGAACTCCTGACCTCAGGTGATCCACCCACCTCAGCCTCCCAAAGTGCTGGGATTACAGGTGTGAGCCACTGCGCCTGGCCAATCACTTTTTTTTTTATTTTGTGGATTGTTTTTACCTTTTTTTTTTTTTTTTTTTTTTTTTTGATACAAGTCTCGCTCTGTCGCCCAGGCTACAGTGCAGTGGTGGGATCTCGGCCGCAACCTCCACCTCCTGGGTTCAAGCGCTTCTCCTGTCTCAGCTTCCCAAGTAGCTGGGATTATAGGCACCCACCACCATGCCTGGCTAATTTTAGTATTTTTTGTAGAGACAGGATTTCACCATATTGGCCAGGCTGGTCTTGAACTCCTGACCTCAAGTGATCCATCCACCTTGGCCTCCCAAAGTGCTGGGATTACAGGCATGAGCCACCACACCCAGCCTGTTTTTGCCTTTCTAATCGGAAGATTTCCTTCCATCTAATAGCCTACTGCTCTTTAACTGTTTATCCTATAAAATGAAATCTGCTGGTGATTCTGATTTTCTCTATATCAGCTTTTCAAATCTGAATATGCACGCAAATCACCTAGGGATCCTGTTAATATGCAGAGAGGTTCCGATTCCGTAGGTCTGGGCTGGGGCATGAGACTATATTTCTAACAAGTCCCAGGTCACATTCATGCTGCTGGCTCTTGGGTCACACTCTGAGTAGCAAGGCTGTAAGCAGTTGCGTAGCAGCCAACACTAACGTTAGCAAAAGCACAGTCTCAAGTGGATATATTGTCAGGAATCTTTAAACTGCAAGAAATAGAAGACTCAATTCAGGCCATCTGTGGTGGTGTGCACCTGTAGTCCCAGCCACTCAGGAGGCTGAAACAGGAGGATTGCATGAGCTCAGGAATTTGAATCCAGCCTGGACAACACAGCAAGACCCTGTATTAAAAAAAAAAAAAAAAAAAAAAAAACAGAAGAAAGAGAGACAGAAAACCCAATTCAAAAAACGTTAAAAAAAATTTATTTGCTCACATGTATGAAAATTCATGGCTTGTTCCTTCCTGAATTCTTATTTCAGATACTGTATTTTTCACTTCTAAAATTTCCACTTGGTTCTTTTTAAATTTTTCAGTTTATCTGCTTGGATTTCCTTCTGCCTTACTGATCATAGTTATAATAGCTGCATATAGTTCTTGTCTGACAGTTCCTCCATCTGAGTCATCTCAGGGTTGGCATAGTTGACTGTCTTTTCCTTTGAGAATTTGTCACAGTTTCCTGACTCTTCATATGACAAGTAATTTTGTATCACATCCTGAAATTTTTTAATGTTATGTTGCAGACTCTGTATTGTATTATAATTCTCCAAAGAATGTTGATATTTTAGGTTTAACAGACAATTAAGCTTGGTTGGATCAAGTTTTGGTCTTTTGCATCTGCAGTGGTCAGTGACTAAGATGTCAGTTCCATTCTTTAGACCTTAATTACAAATTGCTTCCAGTTTGCCCCCCGCACACATAGTTCAAGAGTCAGCCAGCCAGAGATTTAGGCTGCTTATACAGAAAATGCGGGGTTCCTCTTCTTTGGCTCTCTCTCCTTTCTGGGGTTTCCCTTTCACTCTCTGGAGGCTCTGAATGCTCCAGGACTTCTTTCTGTGGCTCCTCTAGAATGAAGATTGGTGGGTCTTTCTTTTTTTTTTCTTTTGAGACAGAGTCTCACTCAGTCGCCTAGGCTGGAGTGCAGTGGCGCAATCTTGGCTCACTGCAACCTCCGCCTCCCAGGTTCAAGCCATTCTCCTGCCTCAGCCTCCCAAGTAGCTGGGACTGCAGACGTGTGCCACCATGCCCGGCTAATTTTTGTATTTTTAGTAGAGACGGGGTTTCGCCATGTTGGCCAAGATGGTGTGGAACTCCTGACCTCAGGTGACCCTCCCACCTCGGCCTCTGAAAGTGCTGGGATTACAGGCGTGAGCCACTGTGCCCAGCCCGGTTGGTGGTTTTTTCTATTGTGGTGTGGCCACCAGCCACTACACTGCCATGACTATCTTCAGTGTAAAGCCATGAAAAAGGAGGAAGAGGACTTACTTTATGCAACTCTCTTATTCCGAGTTTCAACAGCCCCTTTAAAAACTGCCTAATTTGTTTTTAGTCTCTAGAGCTCTCAGGGAGTTATGTTTCTATTTCATTCAGTCTGTAGCTGTTATGTATGGGACAATCAGTTTGCTGGTTGTTCATTCCCACGCATGAGAACCATAAACCCCCATGCAGAGTTCTTTGCCTGCATCTCTTGGCTCACCTGTGCTGGTTCCAGTCTCTGACTGATGCCCTCCACGTGAGAGCCCCCGAAAGTTCTGGCTTAGATTCGCCTAAATCCAAACCCAGCTGGAAAGGAGTGCTTCGTTAAACACCATTTTGGCCACAGTGCTGGCTTTCACTCTCACTGGAGAGTGCCATGTGCCTGCTCTGAACCAGTCCCCTTGGCCAGGGGGATGCCATTCTGTGACTGGTCAGTTCTGAATCTGCTTGCTCCTGGAGGAAGAGGTATTGCACAGAGCAAGAATCAAGGATGGGAAAATAAAGGGATGTTGGAAAAGAAAAAAACATCACAGAACCAGCTATAATGGGAGACAGGAAAGGAAGTGAGAAATACACCTGTCAGTCTGGAAACTCAAAGACTAATCTGTGAAGCTGTGAATTTGTCATATACCCTCTGGGCCAAAGTTTCCTTATCTCATCCCTAGATGATCTCTAAGTTCCCTTCCTGCTCCAGTCTTCTCTGTCCTCTTGAAAAGCCTGTTATCTCTTAAAATTTTTGTTTCAGAAATCTAACCAAAAAAGTGCACTTCAACTAAATCTGATCCTCGTTGTTGTTGTTGTTGTTTTGTTTTGTTTCTTCAGATGGAGTTTCACTCTTGTCGCCCAGGCTGGGGTGCAATGGCACAATCTCTGCTCACTGCAACCTCTACCTCCCAGGTTCAAGCTATTCTCCTGCCTCAGCCTCCCGAGTAGCTGGGATTACAGGCATGCACCACCACGCCCAGCTAATTTTTGTATTTTTAGTAGAGACAAGGTTTCACCATGTTGATCAGCCTGGTCTCAAACTCCTGACCTCAGGTGATCCACCTGCCTTGGCCTCCCAAAATGCTGGGATTACAGGTGTGAGCCACCGCGCCCAACAAAAATAATCCTGTTTTAAACAAATGGATGATGATTTCTCACTGAAGAAGAAGAAAGCCTTGCATCTGGCCATCGTCCTTGTTTCTACTTTGAACTTTCCTTTGCTTCCTTCTTCTTTCTCTTTTCTGTCAAAAATCTTCCTCTCTATCCTCCAGCTCAATCTTAAACCCAATTCCATCCCTCTCAATTTGCCTTCCTCCCTCAAATAAGCCCTTGCCAGCCATCATTTCTTACTCCAAATCTATAAAAGCAAATTTCTCCCAAATGTTATTCCTTAAAAAGAAAGTTTACCTTTATGTTTATATTTTGGATCAATGGTTTCTTTTGTATTGGCTGTTATTTACTAAAGTACAATTGAACAAAGCCTAGTGGAAATTTGATCCATGTAATCACTTGACTAAATAGTGTGTTAATAGACTAGAAAGAGTCTTATTTTCCTCAGCCATCACCTTCAAGTGTTTCTGTTGAAGATGCAAGAGTCTTAGAATAATTTAACCTCATTTAACCACATGGACCCATTGACCCTGTTTTTTGTTTTTTGTTTTTTTTTTAGGCAGGGTCTGACTCCATCACCCAGGTGCTGGAGTGCTTGGCGTGATCACCACTCACTGCAGCCTTGATCTCCCCCAGGCTCAGGTGATCTTCCCACCTCAGCCTCCCGAGTAGCTGGGACTGCAGGCGTGCACCACCACGTCTGGCTAATTTTTTTGTAGAAATGTGGTTATGCCATGTTGCCCAAGCTGTTCTCAAACTCCCGGGCTCAAGCAGTCCACCCGCCTCGGCCTCCCAAAGTGCTACCCTCTTCTAAATTATATGCTAATGTAGTTATGTATTTGAATTCTCACTATATATTTTTTAATGCACAAACATTATTGATTAAAACAATCAATTTGCATTTATTTTTACCTAAATGCCCATTTATCAATATTTATCAATATGCATTTCTCAGCACCCTCCTAAACACTCTTTAACTGCTTTCTACATCTCTTGTGTCTGTTTTCTTTTACCTAAAGAACATTCCTGGGTGTTTGTTTTTTTTGTTTTTTGTTTTTTTTTTTTAGGTACAGGTTCTTTGGCAACAAATTACTCAAGTTTTGCTTGTCCGAAATGTCTTTACTTCACCTTGATGTTTCAAGGGTGTTTTTTTCTAGGCAGGCCTCTAGGTTGCCAGCCATTTTTCTTCAGCACTTTGATGATATTATTTTTCTATCTTTGTCTTCCATGTGGCTGTTGAGATGTCGGCTGTCGGCATGATTGTGCTCCTTCTGTGTTAGCCTTGATGCAGGGCAGGTGAGCCCCACAGTGGGGCTTAGCCCAGAGGGTTCTTGGCTTTGCCCAGGAAAGTATTCAAGGGCAAGCTGGAGGTGGAAGAAAACAGCTTTATTGAAGAGGCAGTGTGACCGTTCTGTGACTGCTCCTGCCCAGCACTTTGACTGCTCCTGCCCAGCAGGGCTACCCTGTAGGCAGAGAGTAGCAGCCCAGGACAGTTTACAGTAGTATTTATACGACTGTAGTTGCATGCAGATGAAGGGGCAGTATAGCAGAAATTTCTAGGGAAGAGGTCTTTTGGGTCATTGAGTCATTGCCCTGAAAGGGGTGGTAACTCCTGGGTGTTGCCATGGCAGTGATATATTGACATGGCACACTGGTGGGCATGTCTGATTGGAAAGCTGTTTCCACCCCCACCCTGTTTTAGCGAGTCCTCAATCTGGTCCAGTGTCTGAGCCCCGCCTCCTACCTCATTCTGACTCTAACTGCCTTTAAGATGTTTCTCTTTGTTTTTAAGGTCTCAACACCTTTAAGATGTCGAGTCTTCATTCAGTAATTTACTATGATTTGCCTAGGTGTGGTTTTCTTTGTATTTTATCCTACTTGGGGTTTATAGTGATTCTTGAATATGTGGGCTGGGAACCATTAGCCACTAACTCTTCCAGATTTCTTCTCCATTCTTTCTCTCCTCTCCGTCTAGGATTCCAATCATAAATGTGCTAGGCCTTTTTGCAAACCTTTCACAGTAATATATGTCCGTTGTGCTTTTTCTATGTTCTACATACTTTTGTCCTCTCTTTATACTGAATATTTTCTTCTGACATATGGTCTAGTTCGCTGTCTTTTTTTCAGTGAGGTCTAACCTGCTATTCAAACTTCCTTTCAGTTTTTCATTTTGTTATTGCATTAAAAAGCCATTAATTCTTTTCTTACTATTTCTAGTTCTCTTTAAAATTCTCACTTCTCAATAGTGTCTTAATTCCCTCAGCATATTAAATATGTTTTAAAGTCCTTGTCTTATAGTGCCATACGTAGATCCCCAGCAGTCTGGTCTCCCGTCTGTCTTTTGCTCTTGCTTTATGGTCACATGGTTTTGTCTCTTTAGATGCCAAGTATTTTTTTTTTATTATTATACTTTAAGTTTTAGGGTACATGTGTACAATGTGCAGGTTAGTTACATATGTATACCTGTGCCATGCTGGTGTGCTGCACCCATTAACTCGTCATTTAGCATTAGGTATATCTCCTAATGCTATCCCTCCCCTCTCCCCCCACCCCACAACAGTCCCCAGAGTGTGAGGTTCCCCTTCCTGTGTCCATGTGTTCTCATTGTTCAGTTCCCACCTATGAGTGAGAACATGCGGTGTTTGGTTTTTTGTCCTTGCAATAGTTTACTGAGAATGATGATTTCCAATTTCATCCATGTCCCTACAAAGGACATGAGCTCATCATTTTTTATGGCTGCATAGTATTCCATGGTGTCTATGTGCCACATTTTCTTAATCCAGTCTATCATTGTTGGACATTTGGGTTGGTTCCAAGTCTTTGCTATTGTGAATAGTGCCGCAATAAACATACATGCGCATGTGTCGTTATAGCAGTA